>NC_000004.12:182860774-183163805 GCF_000001405.40 Homo sapiens | reverse complement strand
TTTGTATTATGACCTAGAAAATACCCACCATCTCTTCACAAAATTGAAACTTCTGAATTAAATTTAATAATTTTGAGCACCATCCACATACAGTAACACAATCAAGACAAAGGGTACTTCCAAAGTAATTTAGCAATGACCTGTAACGTAGGTCAAGTCAAACAACCAAAATGAAAAATAAAGGAAATAGAGACGTATCCTAATTTACACTGAGGTTATGCCCCAAACACTCATTGGTAGTCAGCTGTTTCGCACTCAGGTTATTCATTTTGTCATGCCCCCAAACCAGATCACAGAAGTCTCAACCTCACAGCTTACCTAAATAAAGTTATCTGCATCCTCCCTATCATGTGACCAGTTTTTTTACTGGACTGATTTGTTGTTCTGTTCTTACTATCCCCTGTGGCTATGGGCTCTGGGCTTCTCTTCTGGTGATGAAAGAACAGATTTCTCAGCTTCCAGCTGCACTCCACTGATGGATGGCTACTCCGGCAGCCCAGGGCAGGGGTGAGCTGGCAGTGTGGGGTGTGGACCAGAAAGAGTGAGGAGCTACTGGCAGTCAACATCACCTTGGCACACTTTAAGTACTAAACATCTCCCAAGACACTTATTTTCTAATCTCTGTGTGGCCACGTGAACAGGTCTGCCTGCTTTCCTTTTACCGTCACCACTTTTTAATAGTTCCAGTTTTTCCCCTTTATGGGTTCACTGAAGAAAGTCTTACAGCTTTGCTCTACCCTCTTTTTGTCCCTAATGGAAATCGCTGTTTTATCTCAAAGCTTTTTACTGCTAGGCACTCATGTAAAAGGGCTCCTTCCTTTGAAGTCATCTCATCTCACCAAGGCACTAGAGAGAAAAACAAAAATGGAACACCAGGAAATAAAGGCACTTCTTGGAACGCAAAAGAAAGATGAATACATTAGAAAAGGCAAAGCCCTTGATAAGGCTTTGGGATTGTGGATGAGACCCTAAGGACATGCTCTAGAATAACCAAATAACCACTAACCTAGATTAACTAGACAAGGGGGAAATGATGATGCTGGAAGGGGAGGAGGGGCCTCTGTGGGAAGAAGGAATGGGGTAAGAAGAATGGCTGAAGAAACTACTATAATGGTAGTTTCTCGTGACTCAGACAACCTAAAATTCCTGCAAAAAAACCAGCTGTCAAGACAGCAGATCAGAAAAGAGGGAAGATGAAGAAATGTCAGTCAAGGAGCAGCTGGAGGACAAGGTGCCAAAGAGTAAAGGGAATACTACTAAGAGTCTAGGAAGAGTTCAATAAAGACAATAAAACGATGGTGATGTTTGCTGAAGGAAAGTGATGGCAGGAAGAGGCAAAGAACGTTTATTGTTTGGAAAGGCAGTCCTTGCTTTGCATGGTAGTGCTGCACCATAAAAATTACCTTGCAAGCTGAAATATGCAAAGTAATTTTAATAATTATGAGAACAGAGTATAATTATTCCATGACCTTTGAGAATTTTTATCAAAACGTTTAAAATTCTCTATAAGTGTATAGGCAAATGAAAAATATAGTAAAAATAGTATTTAGTATACTGCAATTTGAAACATTAGAAACACTGAGAATTAGGGTTTGTTTCTTTGTAAAAAAAAACTAATCGGGTAGTTTGAACAGGGTTTGCCTTCTTTGTTGTATAACTTACAATACAGAGCAAGTATCTTTTCTGTATCTTAACAAGTCGCAATACTCCTTCCTAAGTTTGGATTCACTATCAACAATTTTTCCTTTGTACTTTCAATGTCATGTATTATCTCTTTTAAAGTAAAGACATTTGGTAGCATCACTTCCCCTGAGACATCTCCATCCTTCCTCATTTATGCTGAAAAATCTGCCCTCACTACGTTCCTATGAGTACATATCTGAAGTCTCTCAAATGGTGGAACATTCACAAAGTCAACTACAGTTATATGTTGCTTAGTAACAGAGATATATTCTGAGAAATGTGTGGTTAGGTGATTTCATTGTGCGGACCTCATAGACTGCACTCACACAAACCTGGAGGTGTAGCCTACTACACACCTAGGCCATATGGAAAGGCCTTTCGCTCCTAGGCTGCAAACATGTACAGCATGATACTGTACAGAATACCGTAGGCAACTGTAACGCAATGGTAAGTATTTGTGTAGCTAAACATAGAAAAGGTATGTAAAAATATGGTATTTTAATATTATGGGACCACTGTTATATATGCAGTCCGTCCTGACCAAAATGTCCTTATGCAGCGTGTGACTGTGTTTCTTCTATAACTCTATGTTCAATTCGAATTCTGCAAGGTTATTTGCACAGTGTGGTAAACATTCTGCCATACTGCACACACATTACTCACTGTTACTTCCCGCTATGATGCTTGTTTTCTAATGCATGCTTTATGTCATATTTCTTCCAAAATTCAGCTACAGAAATGCATAATCTCTACTTGTAGCATTAATAACCTGTCTGAAACTCCATCTAAGATAACAGGCCTTAAAAGCTCAAATAACTCCTTGGTTCACTGGCTGGATTAATGAAGTTTCTGTTTGTAGTAAAAAGCAGATTTTCACATTTTCTTTTAAGTACTCAAGAGAACTGGGGTGACTTGCAACATTATCCAACAGTAGTAGTTGTGCTCTAAAAGTTAAAATTATTTTGCCAACCTCTGGACAAAAACACAACTGAAACAAGTCTTGGAGCAATGGTACTGTAACCCATGATCGTTTATTTGCATGCCAAATGACTGGCTGAGATGCCTGTTTCATGATTTTTTTTTTTAATGCTCTAGGATTCTCAGACAGAGAAGCATAGATTTTATTTTACAGTTACCTTTTGTGTTGTCTCCTAATAAGTTGCTCTATCTTTAACTCCTTAAAGCTACTTCTCGATCTTACATCTTCTGTGGCACAAGTTCCTGATGGAGTTGCCTTACAACTTATCTCATCAATATTAAATATTTGATGATCATTATCATCACCCACCTTAAATAATCCTTGGAATCTGGATGCAAATTTCCCAGCAGCATCCTTCTCTGTGCTACAGCTTCACCTAACAGATTAATCAACTCACGCCAACTTCTGAATGATGAAGCTAGTCTTTACTGGTAGAATTTCTTCCTCAATCTCAGTGTAATTACCATTTTCTTTCAATGTGGCAACTAACTTCAATACTTTTACCTTAATGCTAACCAAACTGATTGGGATTTTTTTTAAACGGTCTTCAATCCAAAGTGAAAGTAATACTCCACTTTAGCCATAAGCAGCTTTCTGTTCCTAGTAAAATTTAAACTAAAACATAGTGACTTGATTTTATTTTGTTTTTTATATTCACAGGACTGATTCAATATGGTTCATACCACTGCTTCATGCAGGTCTACCTCTCATCCCACATTTGCTTTGCTATCAATATTTTCAGATCTTCTAATCACTTCCAATTTCACTTCGAGCATTTATCACTTTTCATTTCTTCGCTGCACTTTTATCTTTGTTGGCTAATTCGTCTTTCAACTATTCATTCTTACAAAATGTTACGTGAGTTTATCAGTGGGTGACATAAAGAAGCAATACAACTACATACTTTGCTGTCTGTGTATGAACTGAATAACAGATTAACAGTGACAATTACTGATAGAGTTGAAAAAGAAATGAGATTTGTCACTGATCATGATGCACATTTGTTACTTATACAGGATTTGTGGACTGAAGGGCCAAAAGCAAAATCTGTACTTTACGCAGTTAATAAACTGTGGAAGGTGAAATTTCAATCAAGTTGCTGGGGGACTGGTGTCATTTAAGTAAACCATCATAACTGACATATGTGCACATCAGAATCAGGCAAAGTGAGAAATGCCTTATTTCATTCCAATACCTGCTCAAAAATTAGTTTAGGTCAATTTGAGCTAAAGATTTTCAATTCTTATTGAAATAATGAAACTTTAGGGAAAAGCAGATCCCTACACTGTGATCAAATATGGACAAATTCATTATACAAATAAGGCATATGGAAGGAGGAAAAGGAGTTATAAATTTTTGCTTTGAAATACATTACTCCACAAAATTAATGTATTGTAAACAATTTTTTTTTTTTAAAAAAAAAAAAAAAAGGTAAGTTCAGGCAGGTACAGTGGCTTATGCCTGTAATCCCAGCACTTTGGGAAGCTGAGGCAGATGGATCACCTGAGCCTAGGAGTTCAAGACAAGCCTAGGCAACATGACAAAAACTGGTCTCTACTGAAAATACAAAAAATTAGACAGGTGTTGTGGTGCATGCTTGTAGTCCCAGCTACTCAGAGGCTGAGGTGGGAGTATCACCTGAGTTCGGGAAGTCGAGTCTGCAGTGAGCCAAGATCTCGCCACTGTACTCCGGCCTGGATGACAGAGTGAGACCTTGTCTCAAATAAATAAATAAATAGATAAGAACTGTTGAGAGAAGAATCTGAGTAGCAGCAGTAATGGCAGCTGTGCAAAGTCAAACCTCCCAACACCTTCTCCAGAAATATAAAAAGACAATTTTAAAAAGCAAGAACAAGTGGGACTACATAAATCCATGCCTAGTCAGAAAACTAGAGTAATTTCAAATTACCTGTAAGTAAAAAAGTGAACATCAAATTCTAGTGAACTACTATCAGTTCTGCTGTAATATCTGTTTTAAAAACACAAAATTTGGTGTTCAAATGTGATTGATATATTAGAGAACAACTTTAGCATAATGAGAATTTTGCATTTTATGGGTATTTTCATCTGCTGAGATACTAGGTGAATGCAGAAAACTGCACCCAGCAGAACCAAGCTGGCAGGAATAATATACAAAACACACACAGGCACAAGCACACAGCACACCTGGAGCATCTGCCAGCCACCCTGGCTCACCACAGCCATTGTAAGCCACACCCATTCATCTGGTGCTAACTTTCCATCTGACATAAGATAAACCTGCCTGCATCATTTCAAAATAAATTACACGCTACAGTCTCCTTCCTATGCCCACTCCCACAAGCAAACTTCCCATCTTTTCCGAGGTAAAGTGCCATGTTTACTGGAATGTTTATGTATTTCTAATGATTTAACAGGGGTAAAATGGTGCTACAGTTTTTACTAGTTTCTGTATTTTTGTAATGTGTCATTGACGTTTTGAGCACTGTGACTTGTTATGAGCTGACTTGTGTCCCCCAAAATTCGTGCTCAAGTCCTAACCCTCAACACCATAACCTGAGGTTTGACTGTGTTTGGAAACAGGGCCCTTAAAGACATAATTAAGGTCAAATGAGATGATGTAGGTAGGCCTAATCTAGACTGACTGGCATTCTTGTAAGAAAAGGAGATCAGGACACAGACCCACAGACAGGAAAGACCATGTGAAGACACAAGGAGAAGACGGCATCTGCAAGCCCAGGAGACAGGTCTCAGAAGAAACCAACCCTGCCTACACCCGGTCTCAGACTCAGCCTCTGGAACTGTGAGAAGATACATTTCTGTTGTCTAAGCCACCCAGTCAGTGCTACTTTGTTATGGCAGCCCTACAAACTAATATATACCCCAAACCTCATTTTTTCCACAAGCGCTGTGGTTTTTATTGTGCAATTTTGCATAGCACAATGATTTTCAAGAATGCATACGCTGCATTGTAACAGAACTGACTGTATATCTCAAGTTTCTGCTATAAGCCCTAACAGGAACAAGAGTATACAGAGAAAAATGGAAGGGAAGAAATAAGGGGGTGTTAGATGTGGCCCTAAGATTGATCTAAAATCACTCCCTAAAAGACAAAGTTCATCTAAATGTGAAAATACTAAGGTGAGATGGAGGAAAGGGGGGAAGGTGCATCATCGCATACTACAGAAAAGGAACTTAAAAATACACCTTGGGACTCTAGGAGGCAGTCCCTTGGAAAGGCAACTGTTTGGGGGAAAACAAAGTAGTTAGAAAAGGAGACCTTCTTTGAAAACTGCATGGTAAAGAGAAAAGAAGAAAAGGGGAAATTCAGAAGACAGTGAAAAAAAAAAAAATTAAGTGACACAGTTGGGCGCGGTGGCTCACGTCTGTAATTCCAGCACTTTGGGAGGCAGAGGGAGGCGGATCACAAGGTCAGGAGATCCAGACCATCCTGGCTAACACGGTGAAACCCCTTCTTTACTAAAAAATACAAAAAATTAGCTGGGTGTGGTGGCATGCACCTGTAATGCCAGCTACTTGGGAGGCTGAGGCAAGAGAATCGCTTGAACCCAGGAGGTGGAGGTTGCAGTGAGCTGAGATTGCGCCACTGCACTCCAGCCTGGGCAACAGTGCGAGACTCCGTCTCAAAATAAATATATAAAAAAAAATTGAGTGACACACAAGTCCTTTCCCCTTCCCATTTCTGTAAAGCACCCAGTAAAACAACCACTAGAGGACACTGCCAGAAACCTGGCAGACATCCCTCAACAGGAGACCAAAGTTAGTATCACGGGGAATGGAACCAAGAGACATCATCATGTGCCCCCTGACATGGTATGTTGAGAAGGACACAGCGTACTTCAGCCAAAAATGCATAACCTGAATCTAATGTTTAAATATCAGACAAACACGAATTGAGGACCCAATTAAGTGATCTGTGTTCTTCAAAAATGTCAAATTTATGAAAAATAAAGAAAACTGAGAAAATCATCCAGATTAAAGGGGAACAAAAAGACATCACAACTACATAAAACAGGTGAGCCTGAATTGGATGTGGACCAGGGGAAAGAAGGCCCTATAAAGGACAGTAGGGGACAATCTTGCCCAATTTGAATAAATATATAGATCATTATAGTGTGATCAGGTAAGTGAATGCTATTGTTTTGGGGTAAAGGGTATCATATCTGCAATTTACTCTAACACAGTTCAGAACAAAAATTAATGAGTACGAGGGAAGAGATGTATGTGTGTGTATAAAGGGCGGGAAGGAAAGAGGGCGAGAGAGAGAATGACAATGCCAACATGGTAAAATATTAACATTTGAGGAATCTGGGTAAAGGGTAAATGAGAATTCTTTGTACTCTTTTTGCATCTATACTGTAAGTATGAAATTATTTCCAAATAAGAAAAAAGAGCAAAAGATAAATTGTACTTAGCTTTCCAATGTGTACTTTCTGATCAAGTCCTTAATTCATTTACTGAGAACAGTGAGGTCACTGCAGAGTAGATGGGAGAATAAATGAAGAACAAAGGTGCCGGGCGTGGTGGCTCACACCTGTAATCCCAGCACTTTGGGAGGCCAAGGCAGGTGGATCCCCCAAGGTCAGGAGTTCGAAAACAGTCTGGCCAACATGGTGAAACCCCGTTTCTACTAAAAATACAAAAACTAGCCAGGCATGGTGGCATATGCCTGTAATCCCAGCTACTTGGGAGGCTGAGGCAGGAGAATCACTTGAACCCAGGAAGTGGAGGCTGCAGTCGAGATTGTGCCACTGCACTACAGCCTGAGCAACAGAGTGGGACTCCGTCTCAAAAAAAAAAAAAAAAAAAAGAACAAAGGGCCAGGCATGGTGGCTCACGCCTGTAATCCCAACACTTTAGGAGGCTGAGGTAGGCGGATCACCAGAGGTCAAGAGTTCGAGACCAACCTGGCCAACATGGCAAAACCCCATCTCTACTAAAAATACAAAAATTAGCCAGGTGTGGTAGCGGCACCTGTAATCCGAGCTACTCAAGAGGCTGAGGCAGGAGAATAGCTTGAACCTGGGATGTGGAGGTTGCAATGGGCCGAGATCACGCCACTGTACTCCAATCTGGGCGGCAGAGCAAGATTCCGTCTCAAAAAAGAAAAAAAAAAGGAAAGAAAGAAAAAAACAACACAACGGAATTGGCAAATCACAAGTGACATCATCACATCATCTTAAAATCTCAATTCAGAAAACTTGAAAAATATTATAAACTTGTGAAGTAATCAGGCTCTGTAAAACAGACTGAAAAATCCTGATTTAAACCACCAACCTTGACAGACAGAACCGGAAAAAGGTACTACTATTTCTTCTTAAGGGGTGTCTTGGCTCAATGACTCTGAGTAGATTCTCTGTTAGCATAAGGCACTCACGTACAGAAAAGGACTGAGTGAAAAGTCAGCATTACTGTATATGACATTTTCTTAAAGTACATCTTATGACTTTAAAGTACATGTAGTCCAACCAACTGCTAACAGGGAGAATAATGGAGTGACTCTTAACATAATCTCATTCCAATACCAGCACTCTACACAGACACCTTTTTCACCCCTATACCATTATAGTATTGTCCAAATTCGTCTCCTCCCTCCAGTCACTCTACCTTTCAACCTCTCCAGCAACACTCTTCCAGATTCTTCATTCTAAAATACCCCTTCCACGTCACACTCCTTTAGCAAAACCCTTCAAAAGATATTTATAACATAAAGAATCAGGTTCAAGTTTCTTACTCTCAATATCCAAGGCCTCCTATCATTTAGTCTTCAGCTTCTTTTCCAAACTACTTCTCTCATCTCCCTTCTGCCAAAACTGGCCACTATGTCTCCGCTGACCCCTAGCACTTTGCCTGCCGATCCTCAAAGCCAAATGTGGAGCCAGCTGACTGCAGGAAGCCTGTCCTCACCACGTCAACTAACTCTCTCTCTCTCTCTCTCTCTCTCTCTCTCTCTCCTCAGAAGATGAAGTCATTAGAACTTGCTGCAAATAAATAAGCAGTATGACAGCCCTACCAAGTTCTAACTTTTCTAATTTTTTCCTTCATGTTTGAATGTCAATTATCTAACTTGTGCCCACAATGTCCCTCCTTCCTCTCATTGTTTTTATTGCTCCTGCTTTGCAGGTACGCTAGCATGTGCTTATTCTATAATACAATGGGACAGAGCAGCTGCGAGAGCAAGGCGGTGTCAAAGGAATTTAGTGCTTAAAGAAGCATGAAAGCAAAACCAGCACTGAAGGATTGTTATCTGCGGTCTGAGAGAGGGGCCAGAGTCCAGGTTAGGCAGTAGAGCGGTTCTGAGCCCAACCCACAGGTGGGCATTGTGCTTGCAGCATACTGTCATTGGCTATACGGCATATCTACTATCCTCCTAGGCGCCACAACTGCAGATAGGGGAATGTGGGGGATGGCTGCAAGAGGGTGAAGGTTAGCAAATAATGCCACCATAGACAGAAGAGTGAGCTTCATCTTAATCCGGTTAAATTATTAAAATTTATAATGAGATAAATCCAAATTTGTGAAATGTTGCCATACCTTCAGACACAGTGGTAGAGTCTCTATGCAAGATGTAGCCATTTGGTTATAGAAATGGAGATCCTGCTGGTGAACACAGAAGTCCAACACCGGGGAAATCACAAGGTTGTGCCTGACCTTTTCCTCCTCATTCAGGACAAGGGCTTGAGGGTCATCACGAGATATTCCCTGGGGATCATGGCCTTCAGAAATGGCACATAACCCAAATACAGTTTTCACAACTTAAGGTCATCACACTAACACATGTTGAGCAGGTATCGCTGGATGCTCATAATAAGCCTTTGACTTAAGGTCCTTCTATAACCCCTACTGTACAGATAAGGAAACTGAGGCACAGAAAGATTAAGTAACTTGCCTGAAATCACACAGCCAGTGAAAGGCAGAGCCAGGATTCAAATGCAGGCAGTCTGCCTGTCTCCAGAGTCCATAATGAACTCAACTACTACAAAAACACAAATGTGCTTAAAAAGATCAAATAAGTTATGCTTTCTAAAAATTAACCCAGAAATTTAATATTTGAATTGCAGTTCCTTAAATGCAGCCTAATTTAAAAGGAACTAAATGATGAATTAGATTTGGGGTTTTTTTTTTTTTTTTTTTTTTTTTTGCTTTTTAAAGCCAGCAATTCACTGTTAAAAGAGCAAGTCCACTAATCATGACTGTTTGGGCCAGGCACAGTGGTTCATGCCTGTAATCCCAGCACTTTGGGAGGATGAGGTGGGTGACTGCTTGAGCTCAGGAGTTTAAGACAAGCCTGGGGGACATGGTGAAACCCCATCTCTATAAAAAATACAAAATTAGCTGGGCGTGATGGCACACACCTGTGGTCCCAGTTTCTCAGGAGCCTGAGGTCGGAAGATCACTTGAGCCCAGGAGATCAAGACTGCAGTGAGCCGTGATTGCGCCACTGCACTCCAACCTGGGTGACAGAAAAACCATGTCTTACCAAAAAAAAAAAAAAAAAGACTACTTCTAGGGCAATAATGTTTACTAAAAACTGACATTTCAATTATTAGTTAAAATAACACATTAGTATCGTATGAATATTTTTCTTTAATAACAATATTTTTTAAATGGCACACATTTTAAATGTTTAACTATTTTAGTTACACGTATGAATTATAGTGGCTTTTCAAACCAAAATGAAGTAAACACAAATTAAATCTTTAGAACATTTCAGCCAGATTACCAAATGTATCTGGAATGTGACACAGTCTTCACATTCCTTTACCTGAGAGGCAGTGAAGCAAAGAGGACTAAGTCTAGGCTTTGAAGCCCTACTTGAATCTCCTACTCTGTAATCTCAGATAAGGTATTTAATCTCTCTGAGCTTTGGTTCACTCAGTTATTAAATGGGTATAAATAACATCAACAGCCTAAAAGTCCCAAACATAAAAACATATAAGACCATGTGCAGTGGCTCACACCTGCAATGCCAGCACTTTAGAAGGCCAACGCAGGAGGATAGCTTGAGGCCAGGAGTTCAAGACCAGCTTAGGCAACATAAAGAAACTCTGTCTCTACAAAAACTATATATATTTTTTTAATTAGCTGGGTGTAGTGTGATGTACCTATAATCCCAGCTACTGCGGAGGCTGAGACAGGAGGATCACTTGAGCCCAGGGATTCAAGGCTGCAGTAAGCTGTGTTCACACCACTGTATTCCAGCCTAGCTGATAGAGCAAGAACCCAACTCTATTATTTTTATTTATTTTTTATTTTTTTTTGAGACAGAGTCTCACTCTGTCACC
Organism: Homo sapiens; assembly: GCF_000001405.40. NCBI lineage: Eukaryota > Metazoa > Chordata > Mammalia > Primates > Hominidae > Homo > Homo sapiens. Next base: position 183,152,858 of record NC_000004.12, on the reverse strand, counting down.
CAGGCTGGAGTGCAGTGGCACAATTTTGGCTCACTGCAACCTCTGCCTCCTGGGTTCAAGCGATTCTCCTGCCTCAGCCTCCTGAGTAGCTGGGATTACAGGCACCCGCCACCACACCTGGCTAATTTTTTGTATATTTAGTAAAGACAGGTTTCACCATGTTGGCCAGGCTGGTCTTGAACTTCTGACTCAGGTGATCTGCCGCCTTGGCCTCTCAAAGTGCTATGATTACAGGTGTGAGCCACCATGCCCGGTCAAGACCCCAACTCTCGAAAACAAAACTATATGCACATGTGAACGCCTGTGTGTGCGTTTTTTTTTTTTTTTTAAGTTTCACTTTACCTTTTTTCTTTTTTTTAAGAGGCAGGGTCTTGCACTGTTGCCCAGGCTGGAGTGCAGTGGCACAATCTCAGCTCACTGCAACCTCCACCTCCTGGGTTCAAGTGATCCTCCCACCTCTGCCTCCCAAGTAGCTGGAAGTACAAGCACACATCTACATGCCAAGCTAATTTTTTTATTTTTTGTAGAGACAGGGTCTCACTATGTTACCCAGGCTGGTCTCAAACCCCTGAGCTCAAGCATCCTCCCTCCTCAGCCTCCCAAAGTGCTGGGATTACAGGCATGAACCACCATGGTGGGCTATATATTTTTAAAATGTACATAGAACAACCAGACCCAAAGGAAGAACTTAATAAACGTTAAATCCTTTTCTTTCTTACGAGAAACAAGGACAGATACATTGTCTCTGTGGATTTGTAAGTCCACACTACACTGATACTTTCCAGAATCCAAGAGACAAGCAATGTTTCTCCACACCCACTTTCAGTTACGACACTGAGGTTAACAAATCCCAATTCTAGATTCCAATGTATATGGAGGCTTATATAAAGTGTTTACTATAAAATGTAATTTTTTAAATTGTTTAGTTTTTCAGCATGGTACTGGTACCAAGACAGATATATAGACCAATGGAATAGAACAGAGCCCTCAGAAATAACACCACACATCTACAACCATCTGATCTTTGACAAACCTGAGAAAAACAAGAAATGTTGAAAGGATTCCCTATTTAATAAGTGGTGCTGGGAAAACTGGCTAGCCATATGTAGAAAGCTGAAACTGGATCCCTTCCTTACACCTTATACAAAAATTAATTCAAGATGGATTAAAGACTTAAATGTTAGACCTAAAACCATAAAAACCCTAGAAGAAAACCTAGGCATTACCATTCAGGACATAGGCATGGACAAGGACTTCATGTCTAAAACACCAAAAGCAATGGCAACAAAAGCCAAAATTGACAAACGGGATCTAACTAAACTAAAGAGCTTCTGCACAGCAAAAGAAACTACCATCAGAGTGAACAGGCAACCTACAGAATGGGAGAAAATTTTTGCAATCTACCCATCTGACAAAGGGCTAATATCCAGAATCTACGAAGAACTTAAACAAATTTACAAGAAAAAATCAAACAACCCCATCAAAAAGTGGGCAAAGGATATAAACAGATACTTCTCAAAAGAAGACATTTATGCAGCCAAAGGACACATGAAAAAATGCTCATCATCACTGGCCATCAGAGAAATGCAAATCAAAACCACAATGAGATACCATCTCACACCAGTTAGAACAGCGATCATTAAAAAGTCAGGAAACAACAGGTGCTGGAGAGGATGTGGAGAAATAGGAATGCTTTTACACTGTTGGTGGGAGTATAAATTCGTTCAACCATTGTGGAAGACAGTGTAGTGATTCCTCAAGGATCTAGAACTAGAAATACCATTTGACCCAGCAATCTCATTACTGGGTATATACCCAAGGAATTATAAATCATGCTAATATAAAGACACATGCACACGTATGTTTATTGTGGCACTATTCACAATAGCAAAGACTTGGAACCAACCCAAATGTCCATCAATGATAGACTGGATTAAGAAAATGTGGCACATATACACCATGGAATACTATACAGCCATAAAAAAGGATGAGTTCGTGTCCTTTGTAGCGACACGGATGAAGCTGGAAACCATCATTCTGAGCAAACTAGTTTGGTTTTCGCAAGGACAGAAAACCAAACACTGCATGTTCTCACTCATAGGTGGGAATTGAACAATGAGAACACTTGGACACAGGGCAGGGAACATCACACACTGGGGCCTGTTGTGGGGTGGGGAGATGGGGGAGGGATAGCATTAGGAGAAATACTTAATGTAAATGACGAGTTAATGGGCGCAGCAAACCAACACAGCACACAACCCTGCATGTTGTGCACATGTACCCCAGAACTTAAAGTATAATAATTTTAAAAAGTTTAGTTTTTAAAATCTTTTTTTAAAAAACAAACCTAATACTATATAATGACATCAACGTACAATGTAAAACTCTGATTTTGAGATTAAAATTGATGAACTTGGCTTCTGTGATGACCTTGAACTCTGTTTAAGATGCAAATCTAACTCAGACTTTGATTTTGAGATTAAAATCTATGAACTTGGCCTCTGATGACCTTGAACTCTCTGTAAGATGGAAATCTCTTCACCTATTGAAATCTCTTAAACTACTAATGGCAAGCGATAGGACCAGATGATATTTAGTAGTTTCATATAGCAAAATAAGGTTTTAAATCTGTCAACAAACAGGAATAGATCCAAAAACTGGGCAGCTGAAATGGACAGGTACAGAGTCCATTCTTCTGAAGTACTCAATGGCAGCAACAGGCTTGCAGGCCAGGACCTCTCACTCCCTGTCCAACCTAAGAACCAAGACACTGTCACTGGACCTATGCCTATCAAATGGCCCTTTCTAGGTATGTTCAGTTTCTCAACCTCAAAGAGGTCCCAGGAGAACCCCATAGCTAGTAAATCCCAGCAACCCAGAAGCCTCCTGGGTACCCTATACTACTGGGTAACAAAGAAGCAGATGAAGAGAAACCCCAGTTTATAGAAATGTTTGAGCAAACAAATGAAAAAGAAATGACTGAATGAGATCATTGTTTTGCAACCCCATATTAATTCACGGATCTAGACAGTAGATATCAACGGCTGCTAACATCTCAGACACTGTGTGCTTTCGAAATGTTCATATACATATATTCTGAATGTGAGCAAATCTCTAGATCCACTATCAATTTACAAGAAATACAAACTTGCACAATGGGGATTCTATCAGCCAAAAAAAAAAAAAAAGAGAGAAGCTATAGATTAAAAAAATACTTAAAGATTTTTTTTTTTTTTTAGACAGAGTTTCACTCTTGTTGCCCAGGCTGGAGTGCAATGGCGCGATCTTGGCTCACCGCAACCTCCGCCTCCCAGGTTCAAGCGATTCTCCTGCCTCAGCCTCCTGAGTAGCTGGGATTACAGGCATACACCACCACACCTGGCTAATTTTGTATTTTCAGTAGAGATGGGGTTTCTCCATGTTGGTCAGGCTGGTCTCAAACTCCCAACCTCAGGTGATCTGCCCACCTCGGCCTCCCAAAGTGCTGGGATTACAGGCGTGAGCCACCGCGCCCGGCCAAAGATTTGTTTTTCAAAAGAAACAACCACCTATGATATTTGTCATTTTGTCACCCAAGCATGTATTCCTAAAGAAAAGCAAGGAAATGATTGCCATAAAGGTCAGGATAATTACTTTTATGAGAAGGGGACTGTAAAAGGCTTCTGGGGTGGCTGGCAAAGTTCTAGTGTTCTGGTTGGTGTTAGGAGGGTATTCGCTTTATGACAATTCATTAAAGCCATACTACTTTGTCTTCTGTGGATTTCTATAGGTTTTATTTTTTACAATAAAAAAAAGACTTAGATGAGTGAGATTCTAAAGGTAATTCCAGATTATCCATTAAGCTAAGTATGTACTGAGGCACTTTGAGCATCAGTAAATAAGGCCCTTCCCTACTACCACTACTCCAATTACGAAAAAAAAAAAATTTGGATTTGATACTTTAAAAAGTCAAAATTCTGGCCTAAACCAATCCTCCTGCCTCAGGATTGCAGGCATGAGCTACTGTGCCCGGCTGGGTCCATTCCTAATTGCTCATCTACACTAAATGCTTTTTCTAACTCATTCGGGACACCCTGGCACAGGAAAGAAGCAGTTTCTTCTAGAAATTCCTAGTTGAATAGGAAAGTCCTTGCTGCAAGGAGCTCAAATTTGGGAACAGAAGTTGCATAGGAACACAGATCATTATCTTATGAGCTGAGAGCTACAACAAAGATATCTAGAAAGAAGCGAAGACATACAATCATTTTCTGAAATCCTGAGCCTATTTATGTCATTTATATAGTGCCACCTTTGGAGAGGAGGAAAGCCATTTCTGATTTAAGCAGAGAAATGGGGAAGGCAGCAGGGAACATACTCATAGAATTCAGTAAACATTAAGATAGCTTAACAAGAAAATCAGAGATGGATATCAATGTTCTTTACATTATATTAAAATGGGGAGGAGGACATACAAGCAGTAGAATAATCTTAAATACATTTACTTAGTTAAAATCTAAGATTCACATCTAATTTAAATAAGGTTAAACAAGCTTCCTAGACCAAGTTTACTAAAATTCACTATTCATCAGCAATGATATAAATAAGGAATAATATCATCACCAGATGAAACCTTGGATAGTTTCTTTTAAGCAGTATTTTTCATTAGTACTTTATATCCCAAAAAAACTCAGTTTTGCCAAGTCAGGTATTTGTCCATGAAGGGGAAAACGTGCGTTCCTAAGGTACTGTGAGAGGCCACAACCTCACACGCTACATGTATCTTTTGTACTCGGGAGGTAAAGCAGAGTATAAGGTTGGCTTTAATGAGATCATTTCACAGCAGAGCTGGAATTTCACAGAGTTCTAAGATTTCTTATAACCTGCTTTTTTTTTAACTACTCAAAACAAAAGGATTATTCAGTACAATCACTCTAAGTATTTATTTTATAAAGGCTGTTGCCATTCATTTTGAACAATGAAACAGAACAAAGTATGTTAGCATGTGCAAATATATACCTTACCAGAGAAAAACATGTTTTACCTTATTGTTCTTCTATCTGCCTTGATATGCTTTTATGTTTTGTCTTTATGGCATTTCAAAACACAGAACTTAAATAATGCAGACAATCCTTTGTTTTAACATCACTCAAAATCTCTCATAACAAAATTAAAACTGAAATCCTAAATGAAAAAGGCCAGAAAGTTCTGTAACATTTCAGCTTGATCCTAAGCTTTTAAAATTTCATTATTTTTCAATATTCTCTTTTATGACATTTTTAAGCAAAAAGCTGAAGGGGTTTTACCAGTGACAGATCTCTGAAATTCACTTGGTGTAACTGTCACGTTTTAGATCCTGGTGAATACAGAAATCTACAATAACAACAGAGTGATCTGAGTGCTTCTCACCCATGACTGAAGGGAAGTCTCCCTCCACTGCCTAAAGCTTCACCCTGTTGTGCAGCGACTTGTAGAGAAAATAATCTAAGAGTTACAATAAGGATTTGGCATTAACTCAAAAAACCAGTCATAACACAGACTAGCTGTGTAGCTTTGGGCAAATTACTTAGCTTCTCTGAGCCGCCACAGCCTCATAGAAAATAGAGATAGTATGACTTTTATGTCTGTGAGAAGTAAATGATGCTATACATATATATAAGCATCTGGGATAGAACAAGAACTCAAAAGTTCCTATTTCCTTCTCTTTTCAGAAAAGTTGAGACTGGAGGAGTAAGAAAAGTTTGCCTGTGATACAGTGTAAACACAGAATTGTGGTCCCAGGACCAGCAGCATTGACATCACCTGTGAGCTTGTTCATGGCTTGGGCCTCAGCTCAACCCTATAAATCCAAATCTCTGAAGATGAGTATAGGAAACTATTTTAACAAGCTTTCCAAGTGTTTCCAAGTGTTTCTCGAGAACATTAAAGTTGGAGAGCCACTGATCTTGAAAAACAAAATAGATCTATGCAGTACCCTCCCATGATTGACTAAGGATCCCATTTTCTGATCCTTGCTTACCTGTCTCCTTCTCTGTTGGTCACTCCAGATCCTTCAACTGCCCAGCTGTGCAGATTTCACTTTTGGCTTCACCAACTCATTTCTCAGACCACAACTGGTTTCTAACCTTCCTGGCAGAGTCTTTTCGTGCTGACAACGTTGTCATTGTCACATTCCCCAGCCCCAGCCCCACCCTGTCATACAGACAGACATCTAAAAGGGCTTAGTGTCCACCCAGGCTGTACGCTGCGCACATGAGCAGGCCAGCCTGTGCACACTCAATTCCTGTGATCCTTCCCCACCCTGTCCCAGAAAAGGAAGTTCCAAACATCAAGCTGCAAACCTATGGTACCTGGGCATGAAAGAACTCCCCCAAACTCTGAATTTCATACATCTCATTGTCAAAGCTTTTCCAACAAGTCAAATAAGAAATGTTTTTAAAAAACTAGCTGTTCTGTTTACCATAACTGAATCCACCCCCTACGGCCCTCATCTAGAGAGAGAGCAACTGATCTTCAGGTCCTAGTGATCCATATTCCTCCTTCTTTTTTTTCTCTGGAATAGTGCCCTCTCAAAGTCCAGTTCTACCAACACCTAAAGCCGACGATGAAAATGAAATCATGGTCCAATCTGTTTGGCTTCAAGAGGCTGGCCTCTACTAATACATGCTCACTAGTTCAATCAGAACCCCACTTGGCATGAGCCCTCAGACCTGGAGGGAGAAAGGACTGGGACCACCATTCTGGCAATGAATTTTTGCAACTGCCTCCAAAAGATAAGTCAGCTCAACTTCTCCAATGGTGGAGCCAGGATAAGCAAAAGCTGTTACTCAGACCTTCCTACCATCGATATGAGATACCCAACTAAGGAGTTTATTCTACATGTGTCATAATAAATCCTTCAAGTAGACACATTAATCAACCAAACTTCAAAACTTAAGGAATTGTAGTATCTCTGACAGGGAAGTCAGAGTAATGATCTCAAACAAGTATAAGAGATGAAGGCAGGCATGCCCCATAAACTACACAGGAAAACTAGGGTTACAGAAGAAGATTTCATGATACATAAAAACATCAATCCGAGATTATCCTTTTAGTTAAGTTCAGATCAAACAACTGTTCTGTTTCTCTGCTATTGGCTCTGGAAATATTCAATTTACAGTCTCACTACTGCTATGCAAGAGTGCTTATATACTGATGTTTTTAAGTCTGTCAGTTTTGGAAGGGGAAAACAGTTCTTCTTCCTTATGCATTTAACTTCCTGAAGAAGTTGCTCCAGCTGCTTAGCACTCCTTCTCTCTGAGGAAAGACTGCTCTGCCCTCTCCCATGTGGCTATATTGTGACCACTATGCCCAACCCATTCCCTAGCAAGCTTGCTATGTAATTATGATCTCAGTTACATAAAATATGCATGCAGGTAAATTGAAATTACAAGATATTAAGCAAACAAACATTATTTTAAAATATTGATAATATGGATAACTATTTTTAAACTCTTCTTTAATACTGTTGTTCTATCATCTTTTTAACAATAAAAAAAATAATCCTTCTAAATATACTTTCAAATAGCTCGAAAATAAATATTGCCAGGAATATTCTTTTTAAATGCCATTTATATTCACTTACTATGAGGCAGTTGTTATTCTAAATGTTACAAATGACACACATTTAACCTCTTTAACAACCCTATGAGGGCAAGAGGCAAAGAAACTTGCCACAGGGCTACAAAGTCAGTAATCTACAGTGCCAAAATTAAAACCATAGCCTCAACCATAGGCCATGCTACTTCCCAACTGCAGTTGCTAAATTGATAACGCCTTCTCTCTAACTACAGGGTATCAAACCACTCTAAAGAAGCACCGGGAATTCTATGAGCACAGCATCTCGCCTACGGCTATACTCCCTTAGGTTGTGATTTCTGTCAGACTTTGACAGCTAAACAAAACCAAATCTAACAAGGACTAAGAAAAGCAAGAAAAGCACAGTGGATTTAAGAATGCCCTAGATGTTGCCATGACACTTTTTCCCAATAGTTAAAAGTAATAATGTTTGCTTACGACATTATCTTCTAATTAGAATGCAACGTGTATGTAGAATGAACAGCGTTCTGTATATGATAAACATCATTAAACAAATCTTGTCTGTTATAAACAATGAGTATGAAAACTACTGAACCCAGAACCTCTTATTAGTAAGACATCGCGAATAAGTAATGGCATTTGGGATCATATATTTTCTCGCTACAAAAATTTCAATTAGTCCTGGCAGCCATGGACTTAATTATTACTTTCAAATATTAATTTTAATCTTCAAAATAACGATTTAGCAATGCTCCACAATTATGAAATGCCAAGCAGTTTTCTTCACCATAGTACATTTTAGTACTAATCTCTTAGCACTATAGTCTCTAAATTTGTAATTTTTTTCAACCTGCAATTGAAATTCCAAAATAGGACACTAAAGTTTTTTTTAAATAAAAAAAAATGCAGTTTTTTTAAAGTTTCAGAGTGAGCAATTATTATTTATTCATGTCAAATGGTGACATTTCACCAAACTATAATCTTACATTATCTCTGCAACCACTTCCTTTCAACACAGATACAACAAACAGCAAAGCAAAAGCTCCCCGATTCAGACTAATGAAAAACTAATAAAATCAACTCACCATTTAAAAGAAACTAACTTGATTATTTTTCAAATACTAGGTAATTCAAATGGGAGACACAAATCATTCAGAAGTTCTGAAGAAATGCAAGTGACATATCAACTGTTCCCATTTAAACAGGCTTCTGAAATACATATACCTGAAGATACTCAGAAGAGTTTATTATAATTTCCTTCTTTATTTCTCTGTATCTGTTATCTTAATTTCATATTCACTAGTAGTTTGGCCTTTCTGTTAGAAAAGAGTTCATTCTGGAATATCAAACCATACAAAGTCATCACTTAAAATACGTACCACCTTCAATTTTAGTAAAAGCTTTAAATATATTTCACTTAATATTCTAGAAGTAAAACTTAACATAATTCTTGCCTTAAAATGTTTGTGTGTATTTTTTTTTTTGCGGGGAGGAGGTGAGACAGGGTCTATCTCTGTTGCCCAGGCTAGAGTATAGTAGCACAATCTCGGCTCACTGCAACCTCTGCCTCCTGGGCTCAAGCGATCCTCCCACCTCAGCCTCCCAAGTAGCTGGGACCACAGGCTCACACCACCATGCCCAGCTAAATTTTTGCATTTTTTGTAGACATGGGGTTTGCCATATTGCCCAGGCTGGATTTGAACTTGTGAGCTCAAGCGATCCACCCTCCTCAGCCTCCCAAAGTGCTGGGATTACAGGCATGAGTCACCATGCCCAGCCAAAAAATGTTTGTATATTATTAAAAACACATGAAACTTTAAAAATGTTCACTACTTTATAGCACGTTTCTAATTATCCAAACAGGGTTCATCTATACTTAACAGGACAGAGTTGACAAATGAGTTTCATCTCTTGGCAATTCTCATCAATTAGTAATGACTTACTGCAGAAGCTGTTGAGAAGGAGTATGAGAAAGCAGATGCCATGACTGGAATGCAAATCAAGAGTACAGGGGCCACATCGACGCCATCACTGATGCAGTTTTTTTTCTGGCAAAATGTCAAAGAGTTTGGCTTTCTTCTGACCCAAGGCCATGCTTGAGTCACCTACACCCATTATTGATAAATACTCAGAAACTGCTAAGTTAATTTTAATATTATTTCAATAAAACATAATTTAAAAAGAAAATTAGTCTGCAAAAATGAGTGTCTCATTATGAATTCCAAAGCCAAATAAACATGGTGTGGGGACAGTGCTTGTTGCTACACCTTCTATCTGGTGATTCTCTTCTGACAGTGACAGAATGATGAATTTCACTGTTCATTTCTGACAGGAGATTGGATTTTCTCATGCTTCACTTCATATTGCTCATTCTGGGAAGAAAACAGCATTTTCGTGGTTTTTATTTTATATATAATTTATGGAAGGAAGTTGAACATTTGTGTTTTGCTTTACAGGATACTGAACAGTAAAACCACCCAGCCCACACCCTAATGCCCTTGGGTAACATTAGCCTGCTGCTGAATGTAAGCCAGAACATACGCCACATGGCTCTAGTCCAGGGCTTCTCATACTGGTGCAAGCCAGGAGTGTGCCTGGGGGCAAGGGTATTCAAATCCACAAGACAGACACGACACAGCTCCCCAAACCACCATTTGAAACATTATTCCAATATTAAAATAGGCACAAATATATTCTCTAAAAGAATACAAAACTGGCATGAAGCTTTAGAAGAAAACGAAAAGATTACAAAGAAGTGTTCTTTTTGGAAGGACCTATACACACTCTCTTTGTCGGGGTCAACCTTCTTTCCATTAAGAGTACTGTACTTGGGTTGAAAACTCAGCAACCCATTACTCCATTAGTGTGCATAAACTGAAAACTGACTCAGAAATTTTAACAGTTATCTTGATTTTAAAAGGGGAGGGGTGGCAACCTAATCCCTGTAACAACTTAGCCTCAAACAAAAAAGCATATTTGGGACAGACAGGAAAATGTGTATTGCAGTTAAATCTGGACCTTATTCACATTAATAACAGCAATATTTAACATTTATTGAGCATTTCCAGGCAATATAACCCCAGAACCAGGGGGTGTCACCCTTATACTACTTGTCAAGAATATCCCAGGTATGGGGCCTCTGTATTTGGTATTTCATCCCTCTGTCCAGAAAATGTTCTTTTCTCAAATATTTCCCTGACGAATGCCCATGCTCTCCTATCACTTTTCTAAAATAGCACTCCAACCCACCAAACTGCTTTCCTCAACAATTACCATAGCTTTCTGTGTTTTCTTCACAGCACATAGACATTGTGCTATGTATTTCTTTGTCTGTTACTTACTAAACACATGTCCCCTGCTATAGTCTATATGCCATGAAGGCAGAGCCTTGTCTCTGCTAAGCTTTTTGCTGTAGTATTCATGGCTACAAGCAGTGCCTAGCATACAGCAGGACAAACAGACATTTGTTAAATGAGTATTAGATAATATCTATTTAGTTAGAAATGTAAAATAACATAAAGCTGTCATGTATAATTCATGAAGATATCAGAACTGTATATCTACATAATGATACACCTCTCAGTATACAGAAAGACTGACTCCCAGGGTGTTTGTACCTTATTTTTGCAACACACCGGCACCTACAGAAATGGCAAATACTTTGAAATAAGTATTTTGGTGATACAAAGGTGAATCTAGCCACTTGGTAATAATTTTTAACTGACACTCATTAGAAGATACTAGAGAAATCATCTCGGCTTAGAGGATGCTATATATTTGCCTCCTGGGGTGGTAGTAGGGTGCTGTGGGCTGAATTATGGTCCCACAAATGTATACGTTGAAGCCTAATTCCCAATGTGAATATATCTGGAGACAGGGTCTTTAGGAGGTATTTAAGGATAAATGAGGTCATAAGATCAGGGCTTTGATCTCATAGAATTGATGTTCTTATAAAGAGACAAGGGAGAACTGACGCTCTCCCCTTCCCAAGCACACACACATGGTGAGAAAGGCCATGTGGGGACACAGCAAGAAGGCAGTCTCTGCAAGCCAGGAAGAGAGCCTTCACCCAAACCTAATCTGCTGACACCTTAACCTTGGACTTCAAAACTGTGAAAAAATCAGCTTCTGTTGTTTAAGCCATTCAGTCAGTGGTATTTTGTTATGGCAGCCTGAGCTGACTAATACCTGGAGAATAGAAATCAGATGCTCCTTAACAGCCTTGAAATCCTTCAGCTCATTCTTCTGGCTGTTCGGTACTTCCTGTGGTTTCCCACGAATTTTTCTCACCCTGTGCTACACTTATTCAGAGCACAATTATCCAATTTTACTCCCAAAATAATACTATGCAGTGGGCATGACTAGTACCCTCATTTCAGGAAACTGAAGCACAGAGAGGTTACATAGTTATTAAGCAGATTGGTGGAAATCAGGCAGTCTCACTCTAGAGTCTATGCTCTTAATTGAGTGTCTGGCCTAGAGTAAAAATTCAGTAAAGGCTGTGGCTTTTATTATAAAAACTATAAAATTAGTAGAGTGGGCACAAGTCAAGAAGGTAAATGAATTTTTCCTTTTCCATGCTGTTCTTCCAAGGTCTTATTAATAATTTGATCTAGCAGTAAAACTGTAATTCTGCTTATTAAAAATAATGCTTCTTTATATACAGTAAAAAAAATACTTGCTAAACCCAATATATTCTTTAAAGTACTGAAAAGTTCTAATAGTTTATACTCATGACTCCCACGTGAGTCAGTATCTTCCCATTAACAACACAAGGGCAAATCTGCTTTGTCTTTATCTATTGGCAGCACCAGACCACTCTCCCCTTGAAGCAGTGGTCTCAAATCTTGTGTATGAAAGAATCATTGCAATAACTGCTTGAAAAGGAAGATTCCCAGGCCCCACATCTAGAAATCCTGACTTAGTAGGTCTCGGGCAAGGCACCACAGGAATCTCCACTCTTAATCGGGAGCCCACATGATTCAGATATACGTTGGACCACCAAGGTCACAGTTTACAATGTACTCACTGTTTTAGAGTAATATTTGTTAAACATCTATCTTCCTCCCCACTGTACATTCCTGAACAGTTCTCAATCCCTACAACACAGTACACATTCATTCATTCATTTACAAGTATTTATTGAGCACCTATACATACCAGCGATGCAGCAGTAAACAAAACAAATTCCCAGGCTGGGAGCAGTGGCTCACGCCTATAATCCCAGGACTTTGTAAGGCAGAGGCAGGCAGATTACCTGAGGTCAGGAGTTCGAGACCAGCTTGGCCAACATGGTGAAACCCTGTCTCTACTAAAAATACGAAATTGGCCGGGCGTCGAGGTGTGCACCTATGATCCCACCTACTCGGGAGGCTGAAGCAGGAGGATTGCTTGCACCCGGGAGATGGAGGTTGCAGTGAGCTGAGATCACACCACTGCACTCCAGCCTCGGAAACAGAATGAGACTCTGTCTCAATTTAAAACAAAAACAAAAACAAAAACCAATTCCCTGCTCTGAGAACTAACGTTATATGGTGGCAGATGACGGGGGTAGGGCGGCACGGGTGAATGCATATGTGTGTGTACTTACAGCATAATAAACTGTATCAGTTAGGATAGGCCTGGTTATTCTAGGACCACAAACAAGTTTAAGATCTCAAACAGCAAAGTTTATTTCTCACTCACACTATCATATTCATCATCTGTCAAGAGTGGGCTCTGTTCTTTGTGGTTGCTCATGGACCTTGGCAAATGGCAAGAGGAAAAAAAGAAGTACACAATGACTGTAAGGTTTTTGGCCTGATCTACTGGTGGAATGCTGTTGACATTTACTGAGATGGAAAAGAAAGAGCCAAATGTGGGGGACAGATGGGGAGTTCATTTTTGGACATGTTTTGGATGAGGGGGCCCACTAGACATCAAAGTAGACCTGTCAAGTAGGCCATTATAGAGTCTGAAGTTTAGGCCAGCAATGTGAACTGGAGATTTCTGAGCATACAGAGGTAGAATTTAAACCTACGATTAGATGAGATCACCAAGGAAGTGACTGTCCTCATTCCGCTTACCCCATCCAAATGGGAACAATGGCTGGATTTCCAGCTTCTAGCTCCTGACTCCCAACTGAACCTTGATTAAAGGAAGGAGGCAAAAGAGTTACCACTGTGATCCTGCAGTCTGGGGCTACAAAGCAGCTGGTCCCTCCTAGATTTCTTGGCTGCTAAGAGACAGAATCAGTAATATGTTACTGATACAAACCTCCACTACAATCGACTGCCACTCTTCCAATTCCCACATCTTCTGTAAGTTTGACTAGAATTCAAGATGCAGAGTACATGTGATAGCATTCTCTGCAAACTCACCTATCCAGCTGTTACCTGTAGTACATCCCAAGCCTGACAATACATCACTGGGGCCGTGTTATAAAAATACATACGTATTTCCAGCCACATGAAGGACTAGATGCCAGACCAACAATCCTGCTTAAGACAACTAAATGTGTTACTTAAAAAACAAAAAAACAAAAAACTTGCCTTTGTCCATGAGCTAGCGAGAAAATAAAGAATGTTCAGGCCAGGAACTGAAGGAAAGCAGTAGCCAGAAAAGGAAATGGGGCCCTAAAGGAGACTTTCACCTAATTAGATAGGGTGTCCATCAGGTTAATGACTTTGCGCAGGAGTCAGCAAAGTTTTATATAAAGGACCATACGATAAATATGTTCAGCTTTGCAGACCATATGGTCTCCTGCGGAAACCACTCCACTCTGCCACTGAAGTACAAAAGCAGCCATAGATAACACATAAAAGAATGGATGTTGTTGTGTTCCATTAAAACTTTATTTACAAAAAGAAAACACCAGGCCAGACTTGGTCTGCAGACCACAATGTCCAAACCCCTGAGCTAAGCATGAGTTTTCCTAATTAGGATCTACAACCACACTCAAGAGTTTGACCAAAGTGAGGAAACTAAGCAAAACCCTACCATTAAGTTCAGATGCCAAAGAGACTAGATCCTCTTATAATGGTAAAGTAATACTCACATCCATCCCAGAACCCCAGAAGACTGCAAAAAGAAAGAGCCTGTCCGAAACTCCAGCCCAAAGGTTATAGGGGGAGGGTGAAGCCCACCTCCCCCAAGAATTCATAAAATCAATACAACTTCCAGATAGGTTTTACAGCCCAATTTTACCCTATGTGGTGGCTAAAACGAAGCAAAGATAGGAATTTAGGTGATTCCAGACTGGCAGAGCCCCTCAGCACCTAGAAAAAGTAAATATAAACCCTTTCTGAAAGAACCCATCTTTTGCCAGGCCTCAAAGGATCAATACATACAAAGTTCTATTAAAAATAAGTAACTTAGCTCACAGTCAAAAATCACTAAACATACAAGGAAACAAAGGTATCAAGAACAAGAATCAAAAGAAACAAGTCTGCGTTATCACACAGTAACAACGAAAAGTCAAGTACAGTCATGTACTACACAATGACATTTTGGTTCCATAAGACTATAGGCCAGGCACGGTGGCTCACACCTGTAAACCCAGCATTTTGGGAGGCCGAGGCAGGCAGACTGCTTGAGTCCAGGAGTTCGAGACAAGCCTGGGCAACATGGCAAAATCTTGTCCTTACAAAAAATACAAAAATTAATCAGGTATGGTGGTGCGCATCTACAGTCCCAGCTATTTAGGAGCCTGAAGTGGGAGGATTGTTTGAACCAGAGAGGTCAAGGTTACGGTGAGCCAAGATCGTGCCACTGCACTCCAGCCTGGGCAACAGTGAGACTCCATCTCAAAAAAAAAAAAATTCCAAAGAAGCTGAGAAATGCCTATCACCTAGGAATATCTTGATGGTCCTGACCCTATGCAGGCCTAGGCTAATGTGTGTGTTTGTTTGAGCTGTTAACAAAAAAAGTTTAAAAAGAAAAAATAAATAAATATTTTAAAACAAAAAAGCTTATAGAACAAGGACACAAAGAAAAGATATTTTTGAACAGGTGTACAATGTGTGTGTGTTTTAGGCTGTTATTTAAAAAAAGTCAAAAAGTTCAATAAAATTAAAGTTTTAAAGTCAAAATGTTACAGTAAGTTAGCATTGATTACTGAAGAAAAATTTTTTAATAAATGTAATGTAATGTAGCCTAAGTGTGCAGTGTTTATAAAGGGTACAGTAGTGTACAGTAATGTTGAAGGCCTCCACAGTCACTCGCCACTGACTCGCTCAGTGCAACTTCCTGGAAGTCCTGCAAGCTCCATTCATGTTAAGGGCCCTAAACAGTACTTTTTCTATGTTTAGATATGTTGATACACAAATACTTACCATTGTGTTACAACTGCCTACAGTATTCAGTACAATCACATGCTGTACTGATTTGTAACCTAGGAGGAATAGGCACCACCATATCGCCTAGGTTTTAGGTATAGGCCTAATAGGCTATAACATCTAGGTTTGTGTAAGTACACTCTATGACAGCAGTATCCAATCTTTTGGTTTCCCTGGGCCACACTGGAAGAAGAAGAACTATCCTGGACCATACATAAAATATACTAACAATAGCTGATGAGCTTTAAAAAAATTTTGCAAAAATATCTCATAATGTTTTAAGATAGTTTACGAATTTGTGTTGGGCTGCATTCAAAGCTGTCCTGGGCAACATGCGGTTCGCAGGCCACGGGTTGGATAAGCTTGCTCTATGATGTTCACACAATGACGAAACTGCCTAATAACACATTTCTCGGAACGTATCCCCATCGTTAAGCAAAGTGTGACTGTGTAAGAATTACCAAGCACAGGCCCTAAAATAAGCATGCGTACTATGTTTCCAGGAAAGTCTTAAAAATGAATAAAGAATGACCAGATTTGAAAATGAACCAATGAGATCTCCCAGAAATAAGATATAACTAAAATTAAAAATTCAAATAAGAAGTTTCACAGCAGATTAGACACAATCAAAGACAGAATTTGTGAAGTGAAAGTCGCAACTGAAGTAACTATCCAAAAGGAAGCCCCAAAAGACAAAGAAATGAAAAATATGAAAGAGGTATAGACCATAGAGTAAGTAACATTTTTCTAAATAGAGCTCCATAAAGAAGAAAGAGAGAATGGGAGAGAGGCAATATGTAAAGAGATACTATGTAAAGCCTTTCTAGAATTCATAAAAAGAACACCTATCTACAGATTCAAGAGGCCTAGTGGATCTCAAGAAGCATCAATAGAAAGCAATCTATACCCATACCTACACACATCAAAGAGAAATTGAGGAACACCACAGATAACAAGAAAATGTTTTAAACAGAGTGAGACCTGGTCTCAAAAAATAAAAGGGGAAGAGAAGAAAAGAAAAGAAAAGAAAAGAGAATAGAAAACTCATTTAAAGGAATAACATACTGTTAGCTGATTTTAAAAAACCAAAAATAAAAGCCTAAAGACAGTGGAATTGTATCAACAGTGTACTGTGAGAAAATAACTGTCAGCCTATAACTCAATATTTAGCAAAAAATCTGTCAAAAATGATAATGAAATGAAGACATTTTCCAAGAAAAATTGAGCGTGCAACCAGCAGATCTTTGACAAAAGACACTTGAAAAGGTATGCACTGAGGAAAGAAAGTGATCCCAGCTGGTAGGTTTGAGTTGCAAGAAGGTATGAAGAACAAGAAAGTGGTACGGAAGTGAATTAAACAAACATACTACATAAAACATTAATGCTCTTTTGTCCTCTCTCTCTCATGTACTCTTTCTACATGTGTATCTATATATATATATATAATTAAAGTACTGAACAAAAGTAGCATATAAATTGGGAAAGGATACTTTAAGTACTACAAGGTTCTCGACTTGTCCTAAAAGAAGATAAAGATACTAATTATTAATAGAATCAGAAAAAAGTAAATATGAACCTCATCATTTGTAGGGTAGCCACCAAAAAAAAAGCAAACCTCTAAGCTAGTAGAGAGAAAAACTAATCAATCAACTAAATAGGAAGAAAAGGCAGGGGAAACAAAAAGTACAAAATAACACAGTAGAAACATATATGAACACAGTAATAATTACAATAAATGTAAACTAAGTAGTCCAGTTAAAAGATAAAGATCAGCCAGGCGGGGTCGCTCACTCCGGTAATCCCAGCACTTTGGGAGGTCTAGGTGGGTGGATCACCTGAGGTCAGGAGTTCGAGTCTAGCCAACATGGTGAAACCCCATCTCTACTAAAAATACAAAAAAATGTGGTGGCACACGCCTGTAGTCCCAGCTACTCGGGAGCTGAGGCAGGAGAATCGCTTGAACCCAGGAGGTGGAGGCTGCAGTGAGCCAAGATCGTGCCACTGCACTCCAGCCTGGGCAACAGAGCAAGACTCTCTCGAATTTAAAAAAAAAAAAATAAAGATCATATCGGACTAGATTTTTTTAATTTAAATATATCATGTTCAAAAGACACATCTAAACAAGGAAAATAAGGAAATTACTAACTAAAAGTTAGTGTAGTTATATTAATAATAGAAACAATAGATTTTAAGGCAAAAGCATTTTAGAAATAAAAGTTATTACATAACAATAAAAGGGACAATTCAGCAAGATGTCATAGTTCTAAGTTTGCACGTACCTACTAACAAATTATCATATAAAGCAAAAATCATGAGAATTATGTGAAAAAATTCACAAACTAGAATTCATGGTGAGAGAGATGAAACAAACAAGAGGCAACAAGATAAAACACCTGAGCAATAAAATTAACAAGTGTGATCTGATGCATATATACAGAACAGTTGTCTGTAAAGCCAGAATGGTACTTCTAAATAGTTAGGGGTAAAAGAAAATGAAATAACAATTACAAACTTTGTAAAACTAAATAATAAAACTCCACATATAAAAACATGAGATTCAAGTAAAGCACAATGTACTTAGGTTTATTATCTAATAAGCATAACTTTTAAAGAGAAAAGACCATCTACTATGCTAAGCATCCCTTTTAAGAGGTTCAAAAAAAAAAAATAGTAAAATCAACCCAAAGTAGAAGTACAGAAATATTAATAATAGGCACAGAAAATAATGAAACAGAATGCAAACTATAAAAAAGATGAACAATGTCAGTGTCAAAACTTAGTTCTTTGAAAGAATAATAAAACTAACATCTAACAAAAGCAAACAAAAAGAACTACAAAAAAAAGCAAGAGAGACAACAGATGTTATATAGATTAATCATACATGAATTTATTATGAGTTACTTTATGCTAACAAATTCGGACATAGGGATGAAATGAACAAATTCCTTTAAAAAATGAAACTGAAAAAAACAGAATCAAGAAGAAATAGAAAACCTGAATAGTTTTGTAAGCAATAAAGAAACTATCAGTAGTTAAAATGCCACAACCATATGCTTTTATGGGCTTGTTCAACCAGTCAAGAAATAAATATTACACCAACAATTCCAGAGTCTAGAAAATGTGGGCACGTTTCTCAATTCATTTCATCATGGTGCATAATCTTAATGCCAAAACTTGACAAGAAAAACATGAGAAGGCGGGGCATGGTGGCTCACGCCTGTAATCCCAGCACTTTGGGAGGCCAAGGTGGGCAGATCACGAGGTGAGGAGTTCAAGACCAGCCTGGCCAACACGGTGAAACCCCGTCTCTACTAAAAATACAAAAATTAGCTGGGCGTGGTGGTGGGCATCTGTAATCCTAGTTACTCGGGAGGCTGAGGCAGGAGAATCATTTGAACCTGGAAGGCAGAGGTTGCAGTGAGCTGAAATCGCACCATTGCACTCCAGCCTGGGCGACAGGGCAAGGCTCCGTCTCAAAAAGAAAAAGTAAAAGAAAAGCATGAGAAAGTAAAATTGTAAACCAAGCTCACCTGAGAACATAGATATAAAACAAAAAAAAATCAGAACACTTAACTGGCATTAAGACATACATTTTTAAATCTCTAAAACCAGAATACATCTTAATCTATGGCATCCTATAATTATCATCAGTCATTTGAAAAAAGAAAACAGGCAGGCAAGGGGGTGTGCTCCTATAGTCCCAGCCTCTTGGGAGGCAGAGACTGGACAAAGGCTTGAGCCCAGAAGTTGAAGGCTGTAGTAAGCCAGGATCACATCACTGTGCTCTAGCTCCAGCCTGGGCAACAGAGCAAGACCTGGTCAAAAAAAAAAAAAAAAGAAAAAAAAGAAAGAAAGAAAAGAAAAAAAGGGAAGGAAAAAGGGAAGGGAAGAAGGAAGGAAAAAGGTAAGGGAAGAGGGAAGGAAAAAGAAAAGGAAAAAAGGGAAGGGAAAAGAAAAGGAAAAAAAGGGAAGGGAAAAAGAAAAGAAAGAAAAGAAAACTTAATATCCCTGAAATAGGGACCCATTTTAAATTTGGGAACAGGGGCTAATAATAAAGTATTGATAAGTCAAATCCTAGCAAGTGCAATAATAATAACAATCATTTGTGACAAATTTTGGTTAATTCCAAGAATGTAAAGTTGGCTTGATGTTAGAATATAAATTAATGTATTTAATATAACTTCTACTATTCACAGAAAAAAAAATCATTTGATTACCTCAAAAGAAACAGAAAATCGGCCGGGCGCGGTGGCTCACGCCTGTAATCCCAGCACTTTGGGAGGCTGAGGAGGGCGGATCACGAGGTCAGGAGATCGAGACCATCCTGGCTAACACGGTGAAACCCCGTCTCTACTAAAAATACAAAAAATTAGCCGGGCGTGGTAGCGGGCGCCTGTAGTCCCAGCTACTCGGGAGGCTGAGGCAGGAGAATGGCGTGAACCCGGGAGGCGGAGCTTGCAGTGAGCTGAGATCGCGCCACAGCACTCCAGCCTGGGCGACAGAGCGAGACTCCGTCTCAAAAAAAAAAAAAAGAAACAGAAAATCTTTTTATAAAATTCAACACCCGTATATTAAAAAAAAGAAACCTCTTAGCAAGCTAGGAACAGAAGGGAACTTCCTTAACCTGATAATGGGTGTCTACAAAATATCTATTTACATTGAAAGTACTCCCTGTAGGATTTAGAACAAGACAAAGATGCTCATTATTACTACTTCAATTCAACACTGTACTGGGAGTCTGAGCTAGTACTGAATGGCAGGAAAACAAAATAAAAGGATTAAGGATAAGCAAGGAACAACAAGAGTGTCATTATTTGTAAATGATATCACTGTCTTCACATATATAATCTGGGAGACTTTCCCTACCAAATATCAAGATTTGTTATCAATATTATAAAACTATAATATTGAAGACAACATGATATTGGCAAAAGAAATAAATAAAAGAACTAAAGGAACTGAACTGCAACACAAAAATAGACCCACACAAACTTGGAGACTTGATTTATAGAAGAAACTGGTGTGGAAGAGGCATCATAGCTGCTCAGTGTGAAAAGGCTGGACCTTTCAATACACAGAGCTGTGATGACAAGTTAGACATACAGGAGAAAAAAATGAAATTGGTCTCATCCTATAACCCATACTCAAAAATCAAATCCTAGTGATTTGAAGACCCAAATATAAAGACAAATCTCTAAAGCTTTGCAAAGTTCATGTAGTATAACATATTATGACCTCAGGATGAACAAAAAACAAAATGCGCAAGCACAAATGAGAAAGAAGATGGACAAATCTGACTATACTAACTTTGGAACTGCCATTTATCCAAAACTCCACAAAGACAGTTAAAAAACAAGCAATTAAGTAGAAGAAGATATTTGTAGCACATAGAACAAAGATTTGCTTCTAAAATACTTAAGGAACTTGTAACAATCAATAAAAGATTAACAAACCAATAAGAAGATGAACAATCAAGAAAAAACAAAAACCCCATCTAGGAATTTCAAAGAAAAGGTAAACGAATGGCCTATAAACATACAAAAATATATTCAACCTCGTTTTCTTAGCGGCATCATCCACAGAAGTATTTAATTTTGATGAAGTCTAAATTACCATTTTTTCTTTCATGAATCATGCTTTGGTATCATGTCTAAGAACTCTTTGCCCAACAGAAAGTCATGAAGATTTTTTCTGATGTATTTTCTAAAATTTATAAAATTATAAATTTATAAAATTATAATTTTATATTTTACATTTATATCTATGATCAGCTTTGAGTTAATTTCCGTGTAAGATGTGAAGTTTACACGGGAGTTTGTTTTCTGCATATAGATGGCCAATACCATTTGTTAAAAAGAGTAACTTTTCTTCATTAAACAGCATTTGAGCTTTTTTGAAAATCAAATGTCCACAATTGTGTGGGTCTACCTCCGGATTTTTTATTATGTCTCACTGATCTATATCTAACTTTCACAAATACCACACTGTCTTGATTGCAGTGATAGTTCACTTTATGTGTCAAACTGGCTAGGACACAGTACCCGGATATTTGATCAAACACTAGTCTAGATGTTGCTGTGAAAGTACTTTTCGGATGAGATTTAACATTTAAATAGTACATTTTGAGTCTTTTTTCAGGAGGTAGAGGAGAATGCCCAATGTGACTAGAGTGTGTATTTGCAGGGAAAGAAGAAGGTGACTTGTTAGGTACAAATCCAGAGAAGCAGACAGGACCTGGCATGATGCCTGGCACAATGCAAGCACTCAGACAGTGGCTGAATGAATAAATACGTGGACAAATGAAGAAACTGGGCTCAGATCCAGCTAAGATACCTCCTGGCTAGGTCACCTCAGACAGATTATTTAACCTTTCTAAACCTCTTTAAAAAATGGAAATAGTCACGTCTACCTCTTAGAGTTGCTGTCAAGGACTAAATAAGGTACCAAAGAATCAAGTACATAATCAGTGCCCTGTGGAAAGCCAAGGAAAGACCACAGCACTCACAGTACAAACTGAACACATCCAAAGTTTGCATCCCTTTAACTACTCTGCCATGAAGATCACAATAAACACCTTTTGTTTAGCATAAAAACCCAGCCACACATAATTTTTTTTTTAATTTTAAAGATACTTAGGAATGGCTGGGAGCGCTGGCTCACGCCTGTAATCCCAGCACTGGGAGGCCGAGGCAGGTAGATCATGAGGTCAGGAGATCAAGACCATCCTGGCTAACACGATGAAACCCCGTCTCTACTAAAAATACAAAAAATTAGCAGGGCGTGGTGGCGGGCGCCTGTAGTCCCAGCTACTTGGAAGGCTGAGGCAGGAGAATGGCGTGAACCCAGGAGGCAGAGCTTGCAGTGAGCCAAGATCATGCCACTGCATTCCACCCTGGGCGACAGAGCAAGACTGTCTCAAAAAAAAAAAAAAAAGATACTTAGGAATAAAGAAGAGTGTTATACCAAATAAGAGCATACGCTTACATTTCCAGGCAAAACAAGGGCAGGTGCTGAAAGTAGAGAAAAAGGCCAGAGACAGAAAACACAACAGCCCTGCACTCTGCTGAAGAGAAAAGAGGGAGCTGTGCTGTAAGATAAAATGGACAAGTTGTGCAGCTGGTGTAAGTGATCACATGACTGCAGACATAGAGCTATCACAAAAGCCATCAAAGACATGGATTCTAACTTTCCCTAGTAAAAGGCCAGAAATATCCAAATGATTAAACTAAATGTAATAAGTACATGGACATCTGCATAGTACCTGAAAAGAATAAAATACCCAAACATTTGATGGGTTGGTACAAATCGATTCATCTAACCTGTACATTATCAAGACTTAGAAAGAACAACTGTACAGATTCTTGGCATCAACAGTGATAAGAAACATACCACTTCATAAGGCAGCCCTTACATTCTTCAACAACTGAAGAATTGGATTATGGCTTGTTATAAGGAAAAAGATGCAGGTCTTCTTGTAGTTGTGTCCACTGGTCCTAAATCTCCCATAAATGAGGTCTGATCTTTCTTTCACAAGACAGACCTTAAAATATTTGGAGATAAGTAGGTAACCATGTTTCCATTTGCTAAGACAGTCCTAGTCCACGCCCATCATCCCAGGATAAGTATAGATAGTGATGACCTTCAGTCTCAAAGAGCCCTGGTTTGAACAATAAATTATATCATCATCCAGTCATAAGAGATACCCCTCCCCCAAAAACATTCTCTCCTTCAAGCTAACTATTCACCTTTCCACCAGCCGTTCCTCCTGTGACATAATTTCCAGTCCCTTCACCATTCTTTAAGCCGTTAGCTCTAAATGAACTCCAAGTAACTGCTATCCCTAAATCAAATGCAATATTCCAGGTATAGTGTCATAGTAAAAAGCAAAACTTATTCTTCTGATCATATGAAATCACCTTAGCATTTTCAAAAATCAGGTCACACTCTTTGCTTATGTTGAGCCAAATAATCAATTAAAACTCTTAAGTCCTTTCCCTTTATATGTCCACCAGGCAATACAGTACTTATATAATAAATCACTCAATTACTAGTATGCCTAACTAAAAAGCTAGTAAGTCTATATTTCACTGTGTTCTTCATAAGAATGTTATAAATACCTTGTTCAGATACACTACATCTACTGCATGAGATTGTTCTGGGACACATTATTTTGGAGGCAACATCTGAATGCCAATGTAGAAAATCCTGAAAACAGTTGGAGGACAAGGACAGAGGTACATTCATCCATTCATTCAATAAATACAGCTTCTCACATATGTCAAGCATTGCGCTGGCCCTGATTATACAACTGTAGCAAGATAAATGGCCCCTACCTACCTAGAATTCTGAAAAACACCCATTTTTAAGGGGTTGGAAGACACAATCAAAAAACAAGTAGAAAGTAAATGATGAAGGTGAAGAACAAGGAGGTTGTCTTATAGGAAGAGCCACAAAAAGACACATTTTGATCTTTTTAAGACAGGATCTTGCTCTGTTGCCCAGGCTAGTATGCAGTGGCACAATCACAACTCACTGTAGCCTCCACTTCCTGGGCTCAAGCAATCCTCCCCACCTTAAACTCTTGAGTAGCTGAGACTACAGGCATGTGCCACCACACCTGGCTAATTTTTGTCTTCTTCTTTTTTTTTTCTTTGAGACAGTCTCGCTCTGTCGCCCAGGCTGGAGTGCAATGGCACGGTCTTGGCTCACTGTAACCTCTGCCTTCCAAGTTCAAGCAATTCTTCTGCCTCAGCCTCCTGACTAGCTGGCACTACAGGTGAGTGCCACCACACTCGGCTAATATTTGTATTTTTAGTAGAGAGGGGGTTTCACCATATTGGCCAGGCTGGTCTCGAACTCCTGACCTTGTGATCTGCCTGCCTCAGCCTCCCAAAGTGCTGGGATTACAGGCATGAGCCACTGCACCTGGCCTTTTTTTTTTTTTTTCAGAGATGGGGTCTCACTATGTTGCCCAGGTTGGTCTTGAACTCCTAGTCCCAAGACCCTATACTTATTTCACTTAGTATAATTATAATGTACATTTCTTTATTAGATTGGATTGTTCTCATAGTTTCCTTGGAAAATGTCTCTTACATTTAAATTGGATGCATCTTATGATCTGTAAAAAGCTCTTATATAATTAGGACAGTTGGCCCTTTGTAATGTGTTACATATATATGTTTTCAATTTAGATTTTATGGATTTTTATAGTTTCATGTTTTCAATTAAAAAATTGTATTGTACACATTTAAGGTATATAATATAGATAGTAAAATGATTAATATGGTGAAGCATATGAACACATCTATTATCTTGCATAGTTATTCCCCCCTTTTTGGTGGGGGCAAGAGAAGCTACAATCTACTCATTTAGCAAAAATCCCAAATATAATGCACTATAATTAACTGTAGGCCTCATGTTGTATATTAGGTCTCTAGACTTGCTCATCCTCCCTATCTGCTACTTTGTATCCTTGAACCTACATCTCTCCACTTGCTAGCCCCTAGTTCATCCTTGATAACCACTGTTTCATTCTCCATATATATATTTGACTTTTTGTTTTTAAAGATTCCACATATAAGTGATATCAAGCAATATTTTTCTTCCTGTCGGGCTTATTTCACTTAGTATAATGTCCTTGAGGTCCATCTGTGTTGTGGCATGAACATGAATTTTTATTAATCAAATTTCCCAGTCTTTTATGCTTCTGGGTTTTATATAATGCCTCGAAAGGCCTTCTCTATTTGAAGATTATTCATCTATTTTTCTTCTTGCTTTCCTTAAGGAATAATTTTATACGTTTAATCTTTGAATCATCAGAAATATATTTTCTTATTATTTAACATGCTCAAGGTCAAACTCTTCTCCTTTCCTTTGCAAACCAATTCTGCTTTCCAGTGACATTTGTAATTCTCATGACTTTGACCCTTTCTTCATCAAAAGGTCTCTTTCCTGGCTAGGCATGGTGGCTTATGCCTATAATCCCAGCACTTTGGGAGGCTGAGGTGGGTGGATTCCTTGAGCCCAGGAGTTTGAGACCAGTCTGGGCAATACAGTGAGACTCTATCTCTCTTTAAAAAAAAAAAAAAAAAAAATTAGCTGGGCATGGTGGCTTGCACCTGTAGTCCCAGTTACTCAGGAGGCTGAGGCAGAAAGATCACTTGAGCCAGGAGGTGGAGGCTGCAGTGAGCCATGATTCCAGCCTAGGTGACAGAGCAAGACCCTGTCTCAAAAAAATAAATAAATAAAATAAAATAAAATAAACCAGTGTGTGTGCATACATAGGCCATAGAAGACTTTCCAAATCACAGTTTTCCTTCTTCATATTCACTCTACTAGGTTTGATGTAAAAACTAATCTATCCTTTGACCTGAAAGTAAAATATGTAGGTTTTGGAAAGTGCTAAGGAAACTCTGCTGCCACTTGATCTACAACAGTCCTCTCCTATTCCTAAGAACCCCCTAGTGTTATTTGCCACAAAAATGACAACAGTGGATAGAAAGAACACATACCTATCACCCAAGACATATTTAGGGGCAAGTACTAGATATTTGAGAAGCCCCATGATGCCTGCTGAGTTGAGAACCAGGATGTCATTGCATCTGATAACCTTCTCTGGCATAACAGGATCCCAGAGGACTGGCTTTAGCAACAAGCTCTCAGTAGCAAGACTGTCTTTAAATACGCAATCCAGGAAGAGAAACACTGACATTACCTCTCAAACAATCCATAATAATAACTTGTTCTCACCCAGTTCTGTCAGCAGTGGACAAAATTTATCTGAATACCCCAATGAACAAGGCAGTGGTTTCCTAGTTACTTTGAGAATAAACAGGCTCAGAGAGAGTCTGCAGAAGGAGGAAAGAATGGACACATGGAGGAACTGAACTGGGCCAGGACCAGGGTGAGGCGAGCCAGGGTCCTAAGGCACAACATTTAAGGGGCACTTGTTCTAAGGGTTATGCCATGCTGACCTTGCATCTACATGCATGGCAGAGCAAGTGCCTCCTTAAATTCTGCACCCTGGGCCTTTCCTTAGTGAGATGCTTTGCCTCACCCTAGTCCAGCCGTGGACATGAACAAGGCCAATCCTTCTCATTTCACCAACTGTGTGTGTTCATTAAACAGTCCTAAAGGCCTTCAGTGCCATGCAGCTGGGAATGAGGGATGTTTTCTCCCTTCTAACATGGAGAGAGGAACATGGGAATGAGCATGAATTCTTCTGGAACACCGAAGATAAATAAAACACCTACAGACTCAAGTAAACTCAAAGACTGTACGGAGTTTTCTACTTCGATATTAAAACAATTCCTAAAAAGGCATACTAAGTTGAGTATGAAAAGTTTTCAAAGGGCTTAATGTTATATGGGGACTGGCAGGAGCAAGAAGACTAGACAATATTATAAAACTTTAGACCCAGTATTACACAATGCAATACCAAACTAAATCTTTTTCATTTTCTCTCACAACGGAACACGTACACAACTGGCTTAAATCAAACAAACATTTAATTGAAGCAAAGGAATCCTCATGTTTTTCACTAGAAATAGCATTTTTGAAAACTTTTTAACATTCATTTTTGTAAATGATAAAGAATTTACTTAAAGTATTACAATAACTATAAGCTATAAGCAATGACAGCTACAATAACAAAACAGGACAGATGTCAGGGAGCACTCATATATAACTAGAAATATGTGCAGATAATTTGAACACAGCACCCAAAAGCAGATTTCATGATACCCTTGAACTGAGTCACTTGCAAATTGAACCTGTAAAAATCGAGGATGGACCTGCATCTTCACTCCAGGAAACAAGCCTTATTTGATATAAAAGCTTCCATCCCTGAGGCACTGCGGGCATGAAGAAGCCCTGAAGGAAAGCCTGTAACTCCAGCCCTTATTCCTGCATCGGTCCCACACATTACAAGCAGCCCTCATAGCCCCGGGTCCCCTCCAAACACCCTGGCAATGGTGAGCACTGGGAATGCTTCCTGCTCTTGGGACTATTTCTTTGGCTACACATTCCATCAGAAAAATTTAGTGTGTTTAATCATTTCCACGCTTTTGTGGAGGAGTCTGAGCTACCATAGATTCTAAGTTCTGAATAAAGAATTCAAAACTGTAAGTACAAGATAACGAAATCACAACATAGCAGGCAGATCACAAGGTCAAGAGTTCAAGACCAGCCTGGCCAACATGGTGAAACCCTGTCTCTACTAAGAATACAAAAAATTAGCCGGGCATGGTGGCGCGTGCCTGTAATCTCAGCTACTCGGGAGGCTGAGGCAGGAGAACTGCTTGAATCCGGGAGGCGGAGGTTGCAGTGAGCCGAGATCATGCCACTGCACTCCAGCCTAGGCAACAGAGCAAGACTCCGTCTCAAAAAAAAAAAAGATCTGCAAGCTGGGCATGGTGGCTCATGCCTGTAATCCCAGCAAAAAAAAAAAAAAAAGAGAAAAAGGAAAAAAAGAAAAAGCAGAAAGAAAAACTAAAAACAAAAGCATAAAGTACCGAATTAGAAAGAGTCATTTGTATCAATAAGTCCAAGAGCTGGTTACTTTAAGAAAAAAATACCCAAATAACTGAGAGGTTAGGTAACCTGAACTAGAGAAAGGAAAAAAAAAAGAAAAAAGCACAAATACATAAAGCTATAAATGAGAACAGGAAAACGATTGCAGTTACAGTAGAAAAGAAAATAATATTAAAGGATTATCCTGTCCAATAAATTTGAAAACACTGAAGATTTCTTTCCAGGAAAATGTAAATACCAAACTGACCCCTGAAGACAAGAAAATCAGCCATATAGATACCCAAACAATTATCTGCTACCAAATAGATAACTAACAGGAACTGTTTGGGTATCTATATGGCTATCTAGAAGAACAACCCCTTCCCAGAAAAAGTACAAGATCTCATAATCTATAAATCTGAATTCTACCAAACTGCAAGGAACATATTTAATTCCAATGATACTTAAACTGTTCCAAAACATGGAGAAGAATGAACGTTCCGAATTTTTTTAGGAAGTCAGCATAACATTACAACCAAAATCTGGTAAACAAGGCATCAAAAGAGGAGGAAAATAAAACTAGACTACTCTCACAAATATTCACGTAAAAATCCTAAAAAAAAATTAACAAATAGAATCCAGCTTCATATCAAAATTAGGAAATCTTTTAAATTTAAATTTATTAATAAAATTCATCATATTAATAGTGTAAAGCACAAACTATCTCTGTATAGTGAAAAGGCATGTGGAAAATTCAAAATGTATATTTAATATATGTCAAAAAATATGAAGGCCAATAAACATGTATGTCTATAACACCAAGATTTAAGAAATGATATTATGCTATATTTGCCTTCAGATTTAAAAAACAAAGAACTGTAGATATCTTTCAGGATAGACCCCCTTACACTCTTCCTTCCCCACAGAAAACCACTATCCTGATGCTGGGGTAGAGCATTCCTGTTTTAAAATCTTGACCACCTATGTATATATCCATAAATGCTATATGCCTTAGTTTTGTGGGGTTTTAAATTTTACATGAAATACACACACACACACACACACACACACACACACCTGAAACTTGCTGTGTTTCTCTAAACACTGTCACTGAGATTTGTCTATGTTGGTATTTGTAGGAAGATTCAAGTTCATTTATTTTAACAGCTGTATAGCACTCTGTAATTAAACCATAAAAATTGTTTAATACAATCTCCCATTGACAGACATTTGTATTGTTCAAAATTTTTTGGGTTTACAAATTAAGCTACAATGAACTTACTTGAACATACATGCAAGAGTTTCTCTAGGATACACAAATGGAATCCTGAGCTGAACAGGATGCAAATGTTTAACCTGACATACATTGTGCCAACGGCTCTCCTTAGTAGTAATATCAACTCACACTCCTATCAACAATGATGAAAGTTCCTATTTCCCTACATCCTCTCCATACCTGATGTTGTTAGGCCTATTAATTTTGGTAAATGTCATGGAAATGAAATGGTCTTTCATTGCAGTTTAACTCTGCATTTCTCTTACTTCTAATGAAACTGAGATCTTTCCATATATTCATTGATCACTCTGTTCTCTTCTGAGAACTGGCTGTTACTTTTACCCCATTTTCTTCTTTCTCATTTACTTATTAAAATACAGATCTTGGCCAGGCACGGTGGCTCATGCCTGTAATCCCAGCACTTTGGGGGGCCAAGTTGGGTGGATCACTTGAGGCCAGGAGTTCAAGACCAGCCTGACCAACATGGCAAAACCCCATTGCTACTAAAAACACAAAATTAGCTAGGGGTGGTGGTGCATGCCTGTAATCCCAGCTACTCAGGAGGCTGAGGCACGAGAATCGCTTGAGCCTGGGAGGCGGAGACTGCAGTGAGCTGAGATCGCACCTGCACTCCAGCCTGGGCAACAGAGTAAGACTCTGTCACAAAAAAAATAAAATAAAATACAGATCTTTATTCATTCAGGATACTAATTTTTTACTGATTATATGCAAACATTTCCCCTTTTGTCTTTAATTTATGCCTTTTGTCATGTCAGAGTTTTAATTTTATTGTAATCCACTATGAAATACAGATACCCATCCACCTATAATTTTCTAATAGCTTAAAATCTGTATCTCCTTGTTGATTTTAGGCATAAATCGATGCACTAATTTGTGTGTGTGGGAAGGCATAGGGATCTGAATTTTATTTTTTAATATACTAACAGATGGCCTATTGTACCAGCACCATTTATTAAATAATCCATTCTTGCCCCACTGATTTTATAATTTGCCTAATACATAAATAACATTTATAAATCAGTAATAAAATAGCAACTTTCCAATAAAAATAAAGAGCAAAGAATATGAAATCTAGTTCACAGAAAAAAAATGCTTCTTGGCTGGGCGTGGTGGCTCACGCCTGTAATCCCTGCACTTTGGGAGGCGGAAGCGGGCGGATCACGAAGCCAGGAGATCGAGACCATCCTGGCTAACACAGTGAAAGCCCGTCTCTACTAAAAATACAAAAAATTAGCTGGGCGTGGTGGCAGGTGCCTATAGTCCCAGCTACTCGGGAAGCTGAGGCAGGAGAATGGTGTGCACCCAGGAGGCGAAGCTTGCAGTGAGCCAAGATCGTGCCACCGCACTCCAGCCTGGGCAACAGAGCAAGACTCTGTCGCAAAAAAAAAAAAAAAAAAGCTTCTTAACAAGTGAAAAAATGTCCAACCTCACTCATAATAGGTGAAAAATGCTATTTCATTGTAGTTATAATTTGCATTTCCCTTATCTATAACAAATATAAACTATTTTGAAATATAATGTTTGACAAAGGTGTGGGGAACAGGCATAAATTCATGGGTTACTGGGAATATATATTGGTACAACCTCCATAAAGAACAATTTGAAACAATCTATCAAAATTATAAATGTATATACCTCTGACCCACCTCTATTAGATTGAGTATCCCTAATTTGAAAATCCAAAATCCAAAATACTCCAAAATCTGAAACTTCTGAATGCCGACATAACACTCAAAGGAAATTGCTCATTGGAGCATTATGAATTTTGGATTTTTGGTTTAGGGATGTTCAACTGGGAAGTATATAATGCAAATATTCCAAAATTTAAAAAAAAAAAATCCAAAATCTGAAACACTTCCGGTCCCAAGCATTTCAGATCAAGAACACCCAAACTCTATTAGCACAACAATCATCACAGAAAATTACACGTCAACAATTTAATTATTTTCCTCCACAATGTTACTTTTTTTTTTTTTTTGAGATAATGTCTCTATCTGTTGCCCAGGATGGAGTGCAGTGGTAGGATCACCATCACAGCTTACTGCAGCCTTGACTTCCCACCTCAGCCTCCCAAGTAGCTGGGACTACAGGTGCGCACCGCCATGCCTGGCTAACTTTTGTATTATTTTGTAGAGACAAGGTCTCGCCATGTTGTCCAGGCTGGTCTCAAACTCCTGGGCTCAAGTGATCTGCCGGCCTCCCAAAGTGCTGGGATCAAAGGCGTAAGCAACCCCTCCTGGCCACAATGTTACTTTTTAAAATGTGTTCTGGCTGGGCATGGTGGCTCATGCCTGTGAGCCCAGCACTTTGGGAGGCCAATGCAGGAGAACTGCCTGAGCCCAGGAGGTCAGTCAGCCATGATGGCACCACTGCACTCCAGCCTGGGCCACAAAGCAAGACCAGCCATTAATTAAATAAATGTATTTTATTGTTCACATCCAACTTATACCAAAATTAAAGAGAACTTCCCCAAAACTAAAGATAAGGTAAAATTAAATAATATTAAATATTAACAGAAATTTAGGGAATATCATGATTTTAACAAATGCTTGCATTTTTCTCTGTACAAATTTGAATATTTGAACATTTTCTTCTCTATAAAGGGAATTTTCATTTAAATTAAATGTGTAAAACAGTGCAGTATACACATAATCATTTCAAGTGACCCAAAAAGTAATTCCATAATCTCCAAGTTATTCCCCTAGTCTACAGTCTTACTCCCCAGAAGCAGCCACTAATAAAGATGCCTTGTTCAAAATGGTTCTAGTTCATAAACGTCAGCATCAATCTGTGTACATGCATTTTAACCCTAACATAATCACAGTAGAGATCTTTGTATTTGGGCACTAATACATCTTTCTTTGTTAACAATTCACAGTATTTCATTCTATATGCTATGATTTAACTAACATGAATAAAGGTGTTTTTCAATAAAATTTATATACATTCCCTTTCAGGCAGCTGACATTGAGAATGTTTAAATAACTGGTTTTCCAACTAACTGATTCCTCATTTTCCTCTACAAGGCCAAAAAGGATACCAGCTTTCCTAAATTATTAACTTAATCATAAAGTAGCAAAACATCCTTTCTATACTTGTAAAGGTAATTTTTCATCTCTACGGCTAGGATATCCCTTCTGATGTCTTGATGAAACCAGCTGTTTAAATGATTTCCATTTCCGTTGTGGGTTTTTAAAAAACCCAATAACAAATAAATTTAAGTTCTGTGAATGAACTGTTTAAGAATCATATAATTATCACTATGGATGTATATCAGAGTAAAGAACTCAGGGGTTAAAGGCTGACCACAGAAGAAATGAAAATCGTGGAAAGAAAATGAACGTAGTACTAAGAGACTTCCATGATTTACACATAAAAAACTTCCCTCAATGGGTTAAATGAATATCCATCTCCAATATACTACGTGCTCATTTTAAGTTCCCACCCATAACTCAGAATATCTTTTGGAGTTATCCTAAGTTATATCTGTGTTTTTAAAACTGACATCTTAACCAAAAAAAAGTCCATTTTTAGTTTTTAAAATTAAAACTTCTGTTTTTAAAAAACTCACTGTTTTCCAACATACATGGGCAAAGTGCATGGTTACACAGAGAAGTAAATATGAGGAGGGGCTTTATACCCCGTCTTGAAATGAGGCGCCCAGCAGGTTCTTCCAAAACCTTAAGAAGCAAGTCATGGTTTCTTCTTGCTAACTGTGTAAAGGACAAGTGCTTCAGGGTTCATTCTCAATAGTGACCTGAAGAAGAGGCGAGGATGCAGGAAGAGGACAAAGGGCATCTCTTCACTTCGTCCTATATTCTCAGTGGGAGAATTAATTACATTATCACTATATATCCTTAAACTAAGCCATTCCCAGACTCCATGCCTTTAACTGGAGAAGTAACTTCTGTAGTCCAGCCAAATTCCTAGTGCCCTTCTGGAGAGGGAATTCATGGAAATTCATCTTAACGGCAGGGCCAGTGCAATGCTCCTGATTTTCATTCAAATGGGCCAACCTGTGTCCTTCACTACCACCACTAATTTAGGTAAACACTGCTAGTTTAAATAGCACAAAGGAGTATAATCAAAAATCACACAACAGAATCAAATAGCAAGTCTAAGCAATCACTAGGAGTCAGTAAAATTCAGACTGGAGTACGGTAGAAAGCAATGAAACAAACACCATCAGGACAAAAGGAGTCTTTAAGAATGAAGTAAAGTGTTGTCAGGGGAGGATGAGAGACAGGATTACAAAAAAAAAAAAAGTTGAGATATTTCAGATAAATCATGACCCTTCTATGCAAACCACTACACACAGCTTCTTTTTGGTCACAATAGTAAACCCGGTCAGACAACTGGCTAAAAGGACTCAACGCTTGGCTACTTGGCTGCAGCCCCATAATGTCTTTCCTCATTTGAATAGCATTTTAGGAATGTTTTGTCAATGTGTCTGATGATTATTCACTTCTACTGCATTCCTCCCTTCACCACGATAATTATGGTCACAGTAACAATTTATTTTATAGACAGAACACTCACAATGCTAAATGATGACTTTTTAAAAATCTGTTAAGATTCATGTATTTGTCCACATTTTCTAAAAAAGTTAATTTTAACAATTGTTGCTCATAGCAACACAGGACAAAAGATTTTTCACATGCATAATCTAGGCATTTAATCAAAATTCACAAACTTGATCTCAAACCAAGTCAAATGTAGAAATGTAGGAAAACATAGAATCAGATACACAATATATTTCTAGCTACCATAAAGACAGAAAAAAAAAGTGCAGCAACCTGTAACAGGGATAAGGAATGTACAAATGAAAAGATTCCTCTTTAACCATAGTTTAGTGACTGCCTGTACACTTCTAGGTAAGTTTCACAGCATAAGTAAATCCAACAAAAACATGCCACACTCCCTCTGAATTTCTATCACTTCCTATTTATGAAGGCTCTTTACCCTGAATCCAAATCTAAGTAGTTTAAAGCAAACTATAACGTGGCAATCGACTGAAAGAAACTATTTTTCCTCTAAGACTGAGGCTCGACTATAAGAGTAGAGGTAAAAAAAATATCCATAACCGGCCAGGCGCAGTGGCTCACTCCTGTAATCCCAGCACTTTGGGAGGCCAAGGTGGGTGGATCACGAAGTCAGCAGTTCAAGACCAGCCTGGCCAACATGGCGAAACCCCGTCTCTACTAAAATACAAAAATTAGCCGAGCATGGTGGCACGAGCCTATAGTCCCAGCTACTTGGGGGGCAGAGGCAGGAGAATCGCTTGAACCCGGGAAGCGGCAGTTGCAGTGAGCCAAGATCGCACCATTGCATTCCAGCCTGGCACTCCAGCCTGGGCGACAGAGCGAGACTCCACCTCAAAAAAAAAAAAAAAGATCCCCAATCAAGGTCTGCGGGCTGGGCATGGTGGCTCACGCCTGTAATCCCAGCACTCTGGGAGGCTGAGGCAGGAGGATCCCTTAAGCGCAAGAGTTCAAGACCAGCCTGGGCAACACAGGGAGATGAGACCTTGTCTCAGTGTTTTAAACAAAAAAAAAAAAAGCTTTGTAATTTACATGTTTGTGGTAAAATCAAGGCTTTCTTGGATTATAGTAGACACCCAACAGGGTTTAAATTAATGAAAAAGCACTATAGAAAAGAACGTGGCCGGGCACAGTGGCTCATGCCTGTAATCCCAGCACTTTGGGAGGCTGAGGCGGGCAGATCACCTGAGGTCAGGAGTTCGAGACCAGCCTGACCAATATGGTGAAACCCCATCTTTACTAAAAATACAAAAATTAGCTGGGCATGGTGGCGGGCACCTGTAATCTCAGCTACCCAGGAGGCTGAGGCAGGAGAATCGCTTAAACCCAGGAGGCAGAGGTTGCAGTGAGCCAAGATCACGCCATTGCACTCCAGCCTGGGGGACAGAGCAAGACTCCATCAAAAAAAAAAAAAAAAAAAAAAAAAGAAGAAGAATGTGGAAGAGCTGGAACTCCACTTTATCACTTTGAAAATTCTCTATCCTTCATGATCAGTTCAACTTGTCTCGAAAAGGGAGGGGATATGCAGAAGTGTAGGTGGTGTAAGTGGCACATTTGAAAAGGAGATGGTTCCACAGAAGCCTAGATTGGGAGAAGCTGTGGGACAACACTGAACCGTTTTTAGAACCAGAGACAGGACAGGAATGAAGAGGATTTATAGCATATAGATCTCAGCCTCTAAAAGAACTGAAAACACTGGAACAAGGCAGAAATGACAGAATCAAATTAGGATTTATTTGAGCAACTAATATCCACAAGACATTGTACTGGGTATCTTGCAAGGCAGGATAAATAAATAATATTGTGCATGATTTAACTAAACAGAGCCTATAACCTAATTTGAGAAAATAATAAATTCTGAAAAAGTAATAGTTTAATTCAAGGAGTCAAAATACAGTACACATGTAGTTTTAATACAGATGCTAAAAACAGGTAGCATAAGAATTAAGCACTGGAAGATTATGTGTGGCTAAGTTGTTAAGGCAAACTTTAAGTGATGAAACTTCAGCTAAATCCTGAAGGAGGCTCTATCTTCCAAAGCCAGGGAGGCGGCCAAAGGCCTTTCCTAGCAGGAATCGAAGGCAGTATCTTGTTAGATGTACAGCTTGGAAGTCAGACAGACACGCTTGAGTTCTGCCACCACTTAACAGCTTTGTGCCCTTAGACAAGTCACTTAAACCTCTTCAGTCTCAGTTTCCTAAAATGGAAATAATAATGGTACCTATCAAAGTTTCTTTTATTCAATAGTTACTAAGAGCTTGCACAAAGCTGAGCATTGGAATACAGTAGTGAACAAGACAGACACAATACCTGCCCTCATGAAGCTTGAGATAAATATGTGAAGGGCTCTTCACATAACTTATGGTACTTGTCATCATCATCATCTTTAGCACAGTGGTGAAAAGTATAAGATATGTTCCAGTGAATGGTGCAAAAACAGACACACACACCAATGGAACATGTTAGAAAAACCAGAAATAAAGTCACACACTTACCACCATCTGGTCTTTGACAAAGTTGACAAAAATGAGCAATGGGGAGAGTACTTCCTATTCAATAAAAGGTGCTGGGATAACTGGCCAGTCATATGCAGAAGACTGAAACTGGACCCCTTCCTACACCATATACAAAAGTCAACTAGAGCTGGATTAAAGACTTAAGTGTAAAACCTAAAACTATAAAAACCCTAGAAGAAAACCTAGGAAATACCATTCTGGACGTAGGCCCTGGCAAAGATTTCATGACAAAGAGGCCAAAAGCAACTGCAACAAAAAAGAAAACCAACAAATGGGACCTAATTAAACTAAAGAGCTTCTGCACAGCAAAAGAAACTATCAACAGAGTAACCTACAGAATTGGAGAAAATATATGCAAACTATGCATCTGACAAAGGTCTGAAATCCAGAATCTATAAGGAACATAAACAAACCAACAAGCAAAAAACAAACAACCCCATAAAAAATGAGCAACGGACACGAACAGACATTTCTCAAAAGAAGGCATATGAAAAAATTCTCAACATCACTGATCATTAGAGAAATGCAAATCAAAACCACAATGAGATACCATCTCACACCAGTCAAAATGGCTATTAGATAAAAGTCAAAAGATGCTGTCCAGGTTACAGAGGAAAGGGAATGCTTAAACACTGCTGGTAGGAATGTAAACTAGTTCAGCCACTGTGGAAAGCAGTTTGGAGATTTCTCAAAGAACTTAAAACAGAACTGCCATCCAACCGAGCAATCCCTTTACTGGGTATATACCCACAGGAATACAAATCATTCTGCCACAAAGACACATGCACATTTATGTTCACTGCAGCACTAATCACAATAGCAAAGACATAGAATCAACCTAAAGGCCCATCAAGGGTAGACTGGATAAAGAAAATGTGGTACATATACACCATGGAACACTATGCACCACAAAAAAGAATGAAATCATGATCTCTGCAACAACATGGATGGAACTGTAGGCCATTATCCTAAGCAAATTAACACAGGAATAGAAAACCAAATACCGCATGTTCTCACTTATAAGTGGGAACTAAACACTGAGTACACATGGAAGCTAAAAGGGAACAACAGACATCACAGCCTATTTGAGAGTGGAAGGTGGGAGGAGGGTGAAGATCAAAAAACTACCTATGGGGATTAGCTGGGTGTGGTGGTGCACGCCTCTATTCCCAGCTACTTAGGAGGCTGAGGCATGACAATCGCTTGAACCCGGGAGGCAGAGGTTGCAGTGAGCACAGATCTTGCCACTGCACTCTAGCCTAGGCGATAGAATGAGACTGGCTCAAAAATAAATAAACAAAAACAAACAAACAAACAACCTACGGGGTACTATGTTTATTACCTGGGTGATGAAATAATTTGTACACCAAACCCCCGCAACACACTATCTACCCACATTAACAAATCCACGTGTGTACTCTGTGAACCTGAAATAAACGTTGGAAGAAAAAAAAAAAGGTATGTTCCAGTGAAAACAAATAAACCATCTTAGCTGAAACAAGGTTTCACAAAAAATATTGCCATGTCTCAAGGCTCAATCTTGGAACCTCTCCTTTTCCTCTCTTCCAGTAATCTCATCCCATCCCACAACTTCAAATACTACCTATGTATAAACCAAATTTAGTATCTCTAGCTCTGAGCTGTCTCCTGAACAAAAGATTCTATATCTGGGTGTCTACTAGATTTCTCTATTTGTATGTCTTCATAGGGGTCTCACACCTTGTATTTCTTGCATTGCTATAAGCACCTGAAATGGGGTAATTTATAAGGAAAAGAGGTTTAATTGGACCTATGACTTCTGCAGGCTACACAGAAAGCATGGCCCCAGTCACCTGCTCAGCTCCTGGGAAGAGCTTCAGGAAGCTTACAATTAAGGTAGAAGGCAAAAGAGGAGCAGGCACATCATATGGCCAGAGCAGGAACAAGAGAGAGGATGGCGGGGGGAGGAGGTGGTGCCGTACACTTAAACAACCAGATACTGCAAGAACTCACCCACTACCCGACCTCCTACCAGGCCCTACCTCCAACTAGGAATTACAAATTACAATAGTGGGGACACATATTCAAACTCTATCACACCTATACATCGGAAACAGAACTTTGGATTAGCAATCCAAATGGATACCAACCAACCACATTCTCCCTCGGTCTTTCCCTAATGGTAACTCTTTTATTCTCTCTTTTCCTCAAGCCTCATGTACCCACATCATGAGCAAGTTCTTTCATTTTTACCAAAAAAACATAGGTTTTTTAGGTAAAAGCAAATC
Organism: Homo sapiens; assembly: GCF_000001405.40. Taxonomy (NCBI): domain Eukaryota; kingdom Metazoa; phylum Chordata; class Mammalia; order Primates; family Hominidae; genus Homo; species Homo sapiens. The sequence continues at coordinate 183,113,858 of NC_000004.12, read as the reverse complement.
CACTCACTGCTTCCCACTGCCAAAGCCATCATTCTAGTGCAAGCTCTGATTGTTTCTCATCCAGATTATCTCACTAAAAAAAAAAAAAAAATCTGTAATTCCTTCTCCATAGAGTAGTGATCTCTTTTTTAAAATAAGATCTTTAAAAAGAAAAAAAGAAAGGCCAGGCACAGTGGCTCACACCTGTAAATTTCAGCACTTTGGGAGGCTGCAGAGGGAGGACTGCTTGAAGCCAGGAGTTTGAGACCAGCCTGGCAACATACTGAGGCTCTGTCTCTACCAACAAACAAAAATGAGTAAGATCATCTTGCATGCACGTGCATGTGCGCGCGCACGCGCGCGCACACACACACACACACACACACACACACACACACAGGCCCCACCTTACCTCAGTTCAATTGAAAACTCTCCAATAGCTCCCAAACAACCTTAAAATCTTGATGGTCTACAAGGCATACATGATAGGACCCCTTTCTATAGGTTGGTGCAAAAGTAATTGTGGTTTTTGCATTGAAAGCAATTACTTTTGCACCAACCTAATACTTCTCTGCCTCATTTCATAAGACCCTCCTCCCTCTGTTTCTACATCAATCTGTGCTGATGGAAACGTTCTGTATTTGCAGTGGTGCAATCTCAGCTCACTGCAACCTCCGCCTTCCAGGTTCAAGTGATTCTGCTGCCTCAACCTCTCAAGTAGCTGAGATTACAAGTATGCACCCCACGCCTGGCTAATTTTTGTATTTTTAGTAGAGATGGGGTTTTGCCATGTTGGCTAGGCTGGTCTCGAACTCCTGACCTCAGGTGATCCACCTGCCTCGGCCTCCCAAAGTGCTGGGATTACACGCATGAGCCACCGTGCCCGGCGGAACTAAATTTCTAACTTAATTTTAACTAGTTTAAATTTAAATAGCCACATACTCCTAGAAGGTATCATAGTGGAAAGCACAGGGCTAGTACTTCTGTTTAGTCTTTTCTTCTGCCTAGACCACTCTTCCCCCCAGATCTTCACATGAATGGCTCCTTCTTATCCTCATAGCTCAGCTAAATGCCAGCTCCTCAGAAAGGCCTTTCCTGATCACCTAACCCAAAGCAGCTCCCACCGACACTATTATCACTTCATCTTGTTTATTTTAATCAAAGCAAATTCACTACTATCTTTAGAATCTGTTTGCCTTCCCCAAAGTAGAATATAAAATCCATGAAAACAGAGATCTCACCTATTTCATTCAACACCGTGTCCCCGAAATGTATGTGCTAGGCATATAGTGTTTCCAATAAATGTGTGACGAATAGTTTGATTGAATGAATGAATGAGTGACTGAGTGAATGACTAGGTGGTGAAGTCAGTAAAGTAAGCTGGGGACAAATTATGGAGGTTACTGGAAGAAGGAAAAGGTCCTTCAAATGCATACATTTCATTTCTATGGGTACAGGCCTCCGCCGTGTTAAGTGTCCCTGTGGGGACAGGCAATCTAAGCACAGAGCATGAAGGGGCACACACAAAGCAGGTCTCTATTCTCAAATAACTTAGAATCAATTTTATGAAAACATTAGTGATGCAGACACACACAAGCTCCTTACACATGAGACACTAGGAAATCTCTCAAGAATGCATCTACATACGTTCTACAGGCATACCTTCAGGGGTAAATGAAGGACTGAAAGTAGAGTTAGACAATCAAGTTAGTTTTGTAGTCTTTCAATCTACAATAGCAAACCAGGGCACTGATGTTATGTTAAACATTCTGCCAAGTTAAATACTGGTTTCTAGTCATGCTGTCCTATGAGAAATATCATTAGCTATGTCATTTAGCAGAAAAGGGGAAGGGAGACAAAGAAGGAAAAAAGTAAATGATCTGGCTGGGCGTGGTGGCTCACGCCTGTAATCCCAGCACTTTGGGAGGCCACGATGGGAGAAATGCTTGAGGCCAGGAGTTGGAGACCAGCCTGGGCAACATGGCGAAACCCTGACTCTACAAAAAGTACAAAAAAACTTAGCCAGGTGTTGTGCCGCACCCCTGTAGTCCCAGCTACTCCAGAGGCTGAGGTGGGAGGATCACCTGAGCCCAGGGAGATTGAGGCTGCAACGAGCCATGATCACGCCACTGCACTCCAGCCTGGGCAACAGAGTGAGACCCGGTATCAAAAAAAAAAAAACAAAACAGAAAGTAAATGATCTGTTTTTATCAAACTCAAACACTGATAAGCAGCAGATAAGAAAAGAACATATGGTATGGACAGAATTACCAACCAGCCCAAAATTACACCTAGACCAGTAAGTCAACAAAGCTGATAACCCAGTGATACTATGTACAAAGCAGATTCCACACATTCATTCACTGTCACAGTTTCAAAGAAAAAAAAAGACTGGAATTCTAATGTATCTCTATTAAAAACCATAATGCTAAGGAAAACTGCAGAGTAGATTCAAGTTTCACACTAAATGAAACTACATGCTCCTCAAATCTTGTGCAAAGTTGTCTACCACATTTTAAACTTAACTGAATATCACTGCCACTTCATACCAATTATGCAATTATAAAATGCACAACTGTCAATAAAGTATGCAACGTATTCTACAGTCCATTAGTAAGTCAGAATTTTATTTTATTTTTTGAGATGGAGTCTGGCTCTGTCGCCCAGGCTGGAGTGCAGTAGTGCAATCTCCGCTCACTGCAAGCTCCGCCTCCTGGATTCACGCCATTCTCCTGCCTCAGCCTCCCGAAGAGCTGGGACTACCAGCGCCTGCCACGACGCCCGGCTAATTATTTTATATTTTTAGTAGAGATGGGGTTTCACCATGTTAGCCAGGATGGTCTCAATCTCCTGACCTCGTGATCCGCCCGCCTCAGCCTCCCAAAGTGCTAGGATTACAGGCGTGAGCCACCGAGCCCAGCCCTGTAAATCAGGATTTTAATCAGGGGTTTGTAGCACCAATCTCTATAATTCAACGTTTACCTCTGTTGTTCACATTCAGAACTGGTGACCAACACAACCCAGGCCACACCAGAAAACAACACTGCACATGCAGCAGGAGCAAAGTTCACACCAAAGGAAAGCCTCTTTGCCTTCCAAATGTTGACATACTCATTTTCACAAAAATACCAGGGACACTTACTTAGTTAAAAGTGATTATTGTCATAACACAATGTCTATGCTTCTTTAAAATTAAATTTCCTACCTCCACTCCTAGTGAAACCAAAGTACATTAAATGTACACCTTTATTCAAATGCTCTATTGGAACTATTGTAATTCCTCATGAGCTACAGGAGTGAAAAAACAGCTCCCAATACATAACTCTGTTAGTGCATGACTACCTCACTTCTGAGCTGGCTCCATTTTGGAACCATGATTTGTTTACTGACATCAGGGCAAAAAGTATAGGAAAAATTACTGACAAAGCAAAAAAAAAAAAAAAAAAATAGCTCTACAGAGCAGTCTTTGGGACATGCTTCAAAGTGACAGGCATCACAAGGATAATATATGGAATAATTTTTTGCTTGATCATCACCTAGTAATTTTATAAATATTATCAATATGCCACAAGAAAGTCAGTATTTCTAACTACCAAAGCATAATACTATATACTTCCAACAGTCAAGTATAAACAAACAACTATGGTACTTCCAAAAATTCATTTTGCCTGTTTTTCTCATGTCCTATGTACAACTCTTCTTAAGAATTATATAGCAGCGCCTGGTATCTGGTAACTTTATTGAGTGACTGGGGTTGAGCTGTCTCTACACCACAAAAGCAATCTCTACTTTAGGCCCTGCCATGGCAAAGCCAGGTGCCCAGAGATGTCTCTTGATTTTCCATCAAAATAATCATGAGGTATACAGAATCCACAGGCTGCTACATTTGAACAGGGACCCATGAAATCATTCTTACCTTAAGAGTAACAGACCTATTTCCACTACCATTAGGTCCAGCTAATTCAAAGAACCAGTTTGGGAAACTAAGTAACATGCTGCATTTCCTTGTTTTAAAAACAAAAAAAAAAGTAACATGAGATACAAGACAGCTCCTCAAATTCAGCACCCATGTCTGACTCACCTTTGTCCCACACAGTACCTAGAGTCCAAATCCCTTGTGGAATAAATCAGGGGTTCCCAACCCCTAGCCACAGACTGGTACCGGTCAATGGCCTGTTAGGAACTGGGCCGCACAGAAGGAGGTGTGTGGTGCGAGCAAGCATGACCGCCTGAGCTCCGCCTCCTGTCAGATCAGTGGTGGCATTAGATTCTCATAGGAGAGCGAACCCTATAATGAACTGCACATGTGAGGGATCCAGGCTGTGCGCTCCTATGAGAATCTAACTAATCCCTGATGATCTGAGATCCAACAGTTTCAGCCTGAAACCATCCCTCGCAACTCCTCCAATCCCATTCTGTGGAAAAATTGTCTTCCACAAAACCAGTCCCTGGTACCTGAAAGGTTGGGGACTGCTGGCATAAAAGAATGTGCAATGATCACTAATAAATGTGCCATTTTATCATAAAAGGTTAATATTTATAGAAACATTTAAAAATATTGCTATAAAATTTTTAAAGACAATGGCAAACTCTTTCTGTAAAGGGCCAAAGTAAACATTCCAGGCTTTGTGAACCACATTTAGTCTCTGTCACATATTCTTCTTTATTTTTGTTTGTTTGTTTACAGCTTTTCATGATTTAAAACCCATTCTTAGCTGGAGGGCTAAAATGAGGCCTACAAAGCAGAATTTTCATATAAACAACAAACATGGTTATGCTTCCACCAAAGAAAATCACTTCGTTTTGTGTGACTTTTAAGAGGTCTTTTAAAATTTTATTTTTTAGAACAGTCTTAGATTTATAGAAAAAAAACCACAAAATTAGTGTGGAAAGTTGCCATATATAGTCCACACTTACTTTTCCCTGTTGGTATGGTACATCTATTAACATTAATAAAATTAACTACAATCGGGCCGGGTGTGGTGTCTCACACCTGTAATCCCAGCACTTTGGGAGGCCGAGGCAGGCAGATCACTAGGTCAGGAGTTCAAGACTAGCCTGGCCAACATGGTGAAACCCTATCTCTACTAAAAATACAAAAATTAGCTGGGTGTGGTGGCACATGCCTGTAATCCCAGCTACTGGGGAGGCTGAGGCAGGAGAATTGCTTGAACCCGGGAGGCTGAGGCTGCAGTGAGCCGAGATCACAACACTGCACTCCAGCCTGGGTGAAAGAGTGAGGCTGTGTCTCAAAAAAAAAAAAAATTTTAACTACAATCCATACCTTATTCAGATTTCCTTAGTTTTCACCTAATGTCCTTTTTCCAGCCCAGGACTCCTCCACCCCTGGGACACATTACATTTAGTCTTGGTGTCTCCTTACGCTCCTCATGGCTGTGAGGGTTTCTCAGACTTTCCTTATTGGTGAGGATCTTGACGGTTTTGAGGGGTACTGGTCAGGTATTTTATAGGATACCCCTCTACTGGGATCCAGTAGGTGTTTTTCTCAAGATTAGACTGGAGTTACTACGGTTTTGGGGGAGAAAGACCACAAAGATAAAATGCCATTGTCACCACATCACATCAAGGGTGTATCAGCAGGACTTAGTGCCCTGGATGTTCCCTTTGATCACCTGATGGAGGCAGCGCTTGTCAGGTTTGCTCCTGCCATTTTTTAAAAAAACAATGAACAAAAATAAATTTAATTCTTCACATATATAACGAGCTAAAAGGAAAAGCCTTTACATGTCAAATCATTTTGAATAAGCTGATGTATATACATTGCACATATGATTCATTACGTGACTCACACAAATGCCTCATAAAATACATCACATTTGAAATAAAGAAAAAAATTAATATATACTTTGCCAATATATTCTGCTTTTAATTCCTTTCAACTGTCTTCCCTCTGAGTGTTTAGGAAGAAGGTACCCTTAAACTGAAATATAGGAATATAGAGAAAATTTAACAGATAATACTCAAAATTTTCTTTCACTTTTTAAATGATGATTATGCACACTAGATTGTAGGCAAGCTGAGCTGGGACCAAATCTTATCCATCTTTATCTCCCAGAGTCCAGGGTACCTGGCTGGTTGATACAATAAAAACTGTTAATTAATGCATATCTACAATGTCAGTATTAAATAATCACTCAAAGCAATCAGATAGGGAGAAAAGGGAAGAGCAATGTGAGACTAAAAAAACCCTCTAACTTCTCTTACCTAACTTTTTATTGATCAAGTAAGAGTGAGAGTACACAAACAAAAAGGGGGCAGAATAGCAACAGCTATAAAAGGCTAGAATAAGGGGAGGCTTGGGCCCAACTAAGGCCATCAAAACACTACGAAGAGGGAAATACAAATCAACACCACAGTAAGATCCTACCTCACACCCACTAAAATAACTTTTTAAAAAAAAGAAAGAAGTGAGGCCAGTTGTGGTGGCTCACATCTGTAATCCTAGCACTTTGGAAGGCCAAGGTAGGCAGATCACTTGAGGTCAAAAGTTCGAGACCGGCCCAACCCCGTCTCTACTAAAAATACAAAAATTGCCCAGGCATGGTGGCTTGTGCCTATAATCCCAGCTACTCAGGAGGCTGAGGTGGGAGGATCTGTTGAACCCTGGAGGTGGAGGTGGAAGCCGCAGTGAGCCGAGATCACCACTGCACTCCAGCCTGGGCAAGAGAGACCGGCTCCGTCTCAAAAGAAGAAAGAAAAGAAAAAAAGAAAAGAGAGAAGAGAAGAGAAGGAAAGAGAAGAGAGAGACAGAAAGAGGAGAGAAGGAGAGAAAGAGAGAGAAGTGTTGGTGAGGATGTGGAGGAATTTGCACACTCATACCCTGCTGGTGGGAATGTAAAATGGTGGTAAACAGTCTAGCAGTCCCCTCAAAAAGTTAAACATAGAACTGCCATATGACCCAGCAACTCCACTTTTAGACATGTATATACTGAAGAGAACTGAAGACACACATTCATACAAAAATTGTACAGGGATATTCATAGCAGCATCATTCATAACAGCCAAAGAGTGGAAATGACCCAAATGCACATCAGCTAATGAAAGTACAAAATATGGTATATCTACACAATCGAATATTATTAAGTCATGAAAATGATGCAGTAGTACAATAAATGCTACAAAATGAACCCTGAATGCATTACACTAAGAAAAAAAGAAGCCAGATACAAAGGGATACAAATTTTACTATTCCATTTATATAAAATGTCCAGAATAGGCAAATTCAGAGACACAAAGTAGATCAGTTTTTGCAAAAAGCTGTAGAGACGGGAGATGAATGAGAAGTGAGTTCTTAATAGGTAAGGGGTCGTTTGTTTTGGGGGTGATTAAAATGTTCAGGAATTATACAGTGTTTATGGTTTCATAACAATGAATATACTAAAAACTACTAAGGTGTAGTCTTCAAAATGGTTAAAATGAATAATTTTATGCTGAGGAATTTTTTTAATCTAATAAAGATAAAATAATTGGAAAAAATCACTGAAGACATTGAAAACATTGTGAACCTATATTTTGATAAATCATTTGTATCTCACAACTTACATACACACTGTGCCTTTAAAAATCCCTTTCCTCAGCCGGGCGTGGTGGCTCATGCCTGTAATCCCAGCATTTTGGGAGGCTGAGATGGGCAGATCACCTGAGGTCAGAAGTTCGAGACTAGCCTGGCCAACATGGTGAAACCCCATCTCTATTAAAAATACAAAAACTAGCTGGGCGTGGTGGCGAGAGCCTATAATCCCAGCTACTCGGGAGGCTGAGGCAGAATTGCTTGAACCTTGAACCCAGGAGGCGGAGGCTGTAGTGAGCCGAAATCACACCACTGCACCCCAGCCTGGGCAACAAGAATAAAACTCTTGTCAAAAAAAAAAAATCCCTTTCCTCTTCTACATTATTCTGTGGTAACTTTTTCAGTAACAGGAGTTTAGAAATGCATAAAGAAGTCCAAAATTCTTTTTTTTTTTTTTTTAAGACAGAGTCCCGTTCTGTCACCCAGGCTGGAGTGCATTGGCGCAATGTCTGCTCACTGCAAGCTCCGCTTCCCGGGTTCACGCCATTCTCCTGCCTCAGCCACCCAAGTAGCTGGGACTACAGGCACCCGCCACCACGCCTGGCAAATTTTTTGTATTTTTAGTAGAGACAGGGTTTCACTGTGTTAGCCAGGATGGTCTGCATCTCCTGACCTCGTGATCCACCCGCCTTGGCCTCCCAAAGTGCTGGGATTACAGGCGTGAGCCACAGCGCCCGGCAAGTCCAAAATTCTAACACAAGATCAGTTTAACCAATTTCAATCAAGTTCATAGGAACCAGGGCATACATACAGACTCAAGCCCTATCATAAGGAATTCACAGTGTATTAGGGCTAACACTGTTTCCTGCTAATTTAGTAACTCCTGCATCGGCAAGAAGAAGCTGGCCATGCCCCTCTAAAGTGATAATCTCATTTTCCTACAGACAATTACTGAAAATAAGTAAGCAAGAGCCATTTACAAGGCAATGCAGGGCCCGGCAGTGTGGGCCAACAGACAACTTCCACGCTTTTCCTGGTGCACCTGGGCTTCCTCTGGTTAAATTTAAATACCAACTTGTTGAAGGCCACATGTCACAATGGCTGACTATGTAGATGAAGCTTAGGGATTTGCAGCTCAAAACAAATAACATATTTAAAGATAATAGTATGCCAGCACTTTGGTAGGCTAAGGCGGGCAGGTAACTTGAGGTCAGGAGTTTGAGACCAGCCTGGCCAACATGGTGATACCGCATCTCTACTAAAAATACAAAAATTAGCCGGGTACAGGGTGGCGTGCACCTGTAATCCCAGCTACTCAGGAAGCTGAGGCAGGAGAATCACTTGAACTCAGGAGGCACAGGTTGTAGTAAGACGAGATTGTGTCACTGCACTCCCGCCTGGGCGACAGAGCCAACTCTGTCTCAAAAAATAAATAAATAAAATATTTATTTTATTTAAAAAGCAATTATTGTCCTGAGTCTTCCAACAAAATTACACTGCAAGCTATGGACTATTAATGTCACTGGAGAACTCTTAGACCCTCCAATATACTAAGCAACTATAGTACTGTTCACTCCAGCAAGCATTATACCAAACTGTGTTAAAAAGAATATTTCTTTTGGAATTTTTGGAAGACAGCATACTTTAAATTAGTGCTTCCTAGAGTGATTTTTTTAATCCTCTTTTAACAACCTCTCCACACTTCAAATACTATAATCACTCAAATAATTCACAGTAACCACTTGGCACCCAGACTCAGGGCCTGCTGGAGAGGAACAATTCCAGCAGTCTATGACAATGGCAGTTGTGATTAAGACTATCAAGGTTCATTTTGTTTTCTTTGCTCTTATAAGTAATTCTCATATTTATACTATTACTCAAAATGTAGCAGCTCAATTCTCTTATTATTTTAAATATAACTGGAAAGTCAGTTGTCTCTGTTGGTGGCTATGGGTTTATTTTTTGAAAGCCCAACAGTAAGAATCTGGAAATAAGAGAGTAGCTCAATTAATATTCTTTCATTAATTTAACAAACTGTCTTCATTAACTAAATTAACCAACATTTATTTAACATACCATGTATAAAGGATTCAAAAAGCAGTAATAAGCAATCGGGGACTCCAGGAGTTTACAGTCTAGCAGTGGGTTCATAGAAATTACTTAATTTGCCAGCCTGGCCAACATGATGAAACGCCACCTCTACTAAAAAAAACTACGAAAAATTAGCTGGGCGTGGTGGCAGGTGCCTGTAATCCCAGCTACTCGGGAGGCTGAGGCAGGAGAATCACTTGAACCCAGGAGGTGGAGGCTGCAGTGAGCCAACATCGCGCCATTGCACTCTAGCCTGGGCGACAATGTGAGACTCTGTCTCAAAAAAAAAGAAATTACTTAGACTTTGAAAGAAAGACAAGGCCAGGCCGGGCGTGGTGGCTCATGCCTGTAATCCCAGCACTTTGGGAGGCCAAGGTGGGCGCATCACAAGGTCAGGAGATGGAGATCATCCTGGCCAACATGGTGAAACCCCATCTCTACCAAAAATACAAAAAAATTATCTGGGTATGGTGGTGCCTGTAATCCCAGCTACTCATGAGGCTGAGGCATGAGAATCACTTGAACCCAGGCGGCGGAGGTTGCAGTGAGGCGAGATGGCACCACTGCACTCCAGTCTGGCGACACAGCAAGACTCCGTCTCAAAAAAAAAAAAAAAAAAGAGAAACACAAGTCCAGGTGCGGTGGTTCATGCCTGTAATCCCAGCACTTTGGGAGGCCGAGGCAGACAGATCACCTGAGGTCAGGAGTTCGAGACCAGCCTGGCCAACATGGTGAAACCCCATTTCTACTAAAAATACAAAAAATTAGCCGGGCGTGGTGGCAGGCGCCTGGAATCCCAGCTACTCGGGAGGCTGAGACAGGAGAATCGCTTGAACCCGGGAGCCGCAGTAAGCCGAGATCACGTCATTGCTCTCCAACTTGGGCAACAGAACGAAAACACCGTCTCAAAAAAAAAAAAAAAAAAAGACAATACAGAGTTCCTCTGATCCTAGTCATATGCCTCAAACGGGTGTGGAGAGCCAAAAGTTAACTGTGACATCAATGATATACCCAGCTGGCACCCCCTTCCTCCCTTTTCACCCTCCCCACCCCCCAAGATTATTTTTATTCAGTTAGAAGGTACAGGTTGCTCAACATCTGACCCTTGCCATAAGCCACAGATTAGTGTCTATCAGTGGGTTTTAATGGAAAGTCACTTTGCATGGTGTGAAATCTTTCAGTTCAACTAGACAAAGTCATTGTATCTCTGGGTAACATTCAATCCAAGGATAGAAAATGAGCAAAATTCTACTGGGAGTTGGTAAAGCCAACCCACCCTATCTCTGAGGCCTGCCCACTTAAGCTCCCTACTCCTCCAAAAGGCAATGAAGCCAATCCATCCCACCTTTTTCTCCTTTGTTGAATGTAATTAAAAAAAAAAAAAAAAAAGCACCAGGCCATTTGGCCAAGACCTATGGCCTACCATAAACACCAACTGGTATGTTCAAAAGGGTCCATGGTGAGCAAAAGAAGAGGGGGTAAACCTACAAAATAACACTCGGGGAGTGGGCCCATGCAGGCAGGGTAGGGGGACAAGGAATTAATCACAAACAGGGAGATTTCCCCAGGATTAGCCTAGTCACTCAGCCTGAAAAATAAACACTGGGCAAAAAGGTTCTGCCCCTCTGTGCACTCCACCCAAAGACCCCTGAACATGCGCAAGCGTCGAGACAATTTAAAGGAATGATTAAGGACACATGCTGTAGAGTCAAGCTGTCTGGCTTTAAATCCTAGCTCCACACTTAACAAGGGCTACTTCTCTGTGACTCAATTTCCTCATCTGTAACTGGAAGATGACAGTAGTACCTACCTCACAGGACCAACGGGAGAATGAAATGAGATCACAGTTAAAGAGCTTAGCAGAGTGCCTAGCACACAATACACACTGAGTAAATACTGTCCATGCTAGTATTTCTACTATTTCCAGGGTCACTCAGTTCCTAAACTGGAATGTCAACACTACACTAATACAATTAGGCTGGGCCCTAATGGTGAGCCCACAAACACCCCTATGAAGAAGATGATATTATCCTCATTTTAGAGCTGAAAAATGGAGGTTTAGAGGGATTCAGAAACTCACGTAAACTTAGTCAATAAAAGTAAGAAGTGGAGCAATAAAAGCTTTGATCACATCCCAGCAAAGTTTGAATGACGTCATTCACCTCCAAAAGCTTAAAAGCATTTTAGAATAATGCTTCAGCATTCTGGCATGACTACCTGTTGAATGAAATTATGTTCTTATAAAATGCCCTAGCCTCCCCTACTAAATCGGCATAATTATCTGTATAATCAGAAATATTCAACAAATTCTGATAGACTATCAAAAACACAAAATTCTTTTCCTTAACAGAATAACATAAAAAATATGCAAGGTAAATCATCGTGACCATTCTAATTAAATGGCTTAAACAGTTCAAAAGTACTGCAGACCCATAGTATATCAAGTTGTTTTTCTTTCAGAATTTGTAAGTTGATCCTGCAGAAGAATCCACACACTCCTATTGGCCTGTGTAACATCTCTCTTTCCATATGTTTGGTAAGTGTGTAACAAAACTGACAGGAGTTAATAGTTACTCCAAATATACGTTCCCATCAGCTCTTACTCTATTTAGTAAGATTTAGTCACTTAATTGCCCTAAAAGAAAATATAATCAAATTTAAACTGAGTATATAATGGTGACTCTGATCTCAACAGAGTATCTTTTAAAACTCTGAGATCCAGAAATATTTGTAAGTCGTCAAATTTATGTCTCTGAATATTTAAGACCTAACAGCTGCAAGGAAAATTGGAAAAATAAAAAGCTATCTTAGTCAAAACTATTTGTCCCTATCCAATGAATTGTTTATCCAGTTTCCTGAAAATAGTTCATAATAATTACTAATCCATTAAGAGTTTAAAATAAAGGACATGCTTGACTTGTGAAAAAAGTAGTGATATGGATAGCCAAGTCATATAATTTCACTCCACTTTCTATTTACTTTACCCAGACATTACATATTCTTGTAATCCTTTCCGGTAAACACAACTGAGATAATATAGTAAAGCATGTAAACCGAAGAAGAGAACCTAGAATGCCTAAATATTTCAAGAATTTATTGTTATTTCAATTACCTGAAACTCCAAGTATCAGAAAGCAGAAAGAATTACCACACAACTGTAAAAGTCAAATATTTATACAGGTGCCTTAAAAGCCGCAGTTGGGTGCACACCATCAGCACTGACATTTACTATCTGTTAAGTAGTTTCAAAGTGCAATAGCATAAGTCAAATAACTGGCTTGGAGCGTGAAGTTTATGACAACAACTAGCACGTCTGGAGACACTGGGAAGGTGTGATGCCTGTCACAATTTTCATCAGGCCAGCAACAGGCAGCCAGGCTGCGGCAAGACCGAACCTCAGCACAGGTGCCTTTTCTCATTTCAGGAGGGAAACCTAGGCCCGTAGCTTCACGGATAATTGAACAAGGATTGTTCCATAAATTTATAATGTTATTTATAACTTTCTTGTAATTGCCTTTTAGTAGCTTTCAAAAACAACATTTTTAGGGCAAAAGTAACTGAGATTATAAAGTAGTTAGGTATTTCAGCTTCAAATTGAGAAAAGGGAAAATGTTAAATAGGAGAAGCACCTAAAAAGTATATAAAGCCCAAAGGGCCACATTCAATAAAGTTATAATTTTCAGAAATGACAAAAGTCCAAATGTCGAAGTTATCCCTGGTGGCACGTTATTTAAATTTACAATTAGGAATATCTCCTTAATGGATAATTTACAAATTTATAATTAGGAATACCTCCTATTATTCTTACAATAATTCTAAGAAATTTTAAGGGTAAAAAAAATATGGGACACAGAAACATTTGTGAACCTTCAGTTCCTGAACCAATTTAAAAAACAAAAAACAAAGAAACCAGGCTAAGCTCAAATCAGAGTGCCTCAATACCCAACGTTAATTTCACTACATCTCCCTTCCAAACACAATATGCCTGTTCCCGATCTGGGAGTCGGTTCAAGTTTTCAGGTGAAGACTAACGACAGACAGCGAAACCCCCAAACGCGCGTTTTTAAACTCTGAGGGGCAAAGTCAGTCACACCCACTAGCAGGGCCCGGCGGGGGGCGGGAGCCCCTTCCCAGCTCGGGACCTCCGGCCAGTCTGGGCGCCCCCGCCAAGAGCTCGCAGCCCAGGCTCCCGCGCCAAGGACGGCCTGAGGGATGCCACAGGTGGCCCGGAGGGCTCGTTCCCCAACTGGCAGTGAGGCCCTAGCCCACCCCCGCCGCCCAGAGGCCGAAGGTGTCCTGCAGCCTCCACGTGGGCACCTCGAAGCCTAGGGAAGTTCCTAACAGGGCTCAGGTGGCCCCTCGGGTCCGTTAGCCTGGCGCGCGGCGTCGGCCCGGGGCAGCGACTCCAGCCTTGCCTCGGGGCCGGGTCCCCGGAGGGGCGTCGGGAAGCCGGTGGGCGGAGGAGCCCGGGTACGGGCGGCTCCTCGGCCCCGCCGGAGCAGCCAGCCCCACATCCCTCCCGGGACCCCTCGGGGCACCGCGGGCCGGCGCCGCCCCAGCCCCCCGCGCGGCCGGGTCTCCGGGACAACAGCCGCCGTGTCCGAACGGGCCCGCGCCCCCGCGGCCGGCGCCCACCTGTCCCGGGGGTCGATCCAGCTGGTCCTCCTGGTGTTGTGGTCAATGTAGAAGACCTTGCCGTCGTAGTCCCTGGCCTCCTCCCAGCCCCGGGGCAGCGGCAGCTGACCGCTCCCGGCCCTCCTAGGCATGGTCGGCGGCCTCGCCGGCGAGCGGCGCCTCCATAGGTACCGGGCGCGGGACGCGGCGGGAACGCGGCTGCCGGGCTAGGCTGCCAACCCGCGACGCGGGCGCCGGCGAGGGGCTGAGGGGCGCAGGGCGCGGGGCGCGGCGGAACCACGCGCGGGAGGTGCCTCAGGAAACGCTGTTCGCGGCCCCGCTGCGGATCAGTCCACCATGTCTGCGTCGGAGCCGGCGAGCGAACCCTCCTCCCCCTCGCCGCCGCTGCCTCCGCCTCTTCCTCCTCCTCCGCCCCGTCCCCCTCTGGCCGCCGAGGGTCGCGGCGCCCAGGCTGCCGGAGCCGCCGCCGTCTGGGCTCGGATCCGGGAAGCTGCGGCGCTGCCGCGGCAGCGGCGGGCCCCTCATTTGCATGCGATTAGCATGCGCCCGCCCGCCTCATCTGCATGCGCATTCCTCGCGCCGCATTCCTGAGCTTAACCCCGCCGCTGCCGGCGTCGCCGCACCAGCTCGGACGCACTGCCCCGCGGGGCCGCGGCTCCAGGTGGGAGGAAGGCGGGCGAAGGAATGTGCGGCCAGCTCCCTCCCCTTGACCCCAGATAGCTCCCCTGGGCCAAACGCCGAGAGGTTTTAGAGTTTCTGGACGGGGAAGATTGCAAAAGTCTCCGCAACCTTCTCAACCTCTTTCGTCTTCTAGGGAAACCACAAAACTTTCGAGAGGAAAGGGGTGGCGGGCGGGGAGCTCTCCTCCGGAGAAAAAACCTCAACAAGCGGAGAGGGCACAAAGGCTCCCCACGCCGCGCCCCGAGCCCCTCCGGCACCCCAAGGGCGGTCCGGGGTGGTGGGAAAGCGCCAAGCCCTGGGAGTGCGTCGGTGGGTCCGGGACGGCGGGGCCTCCGCCAGGGCTCCTGGCCCTCGATGACCTCGGCTGAGACCGCGAGCCGCGCGGCGGAAAGCGGAGGAACTCCCGTCCGGCCCTGTAGCCGCCCGCACCGCGCCCCGTCACCCGCCGCCCCTTCGCGTCCGGGCGCTCCAGCCGCGGGGCCCCGGAAGCTCCTGGTCCCTGGCCTCCCCTGCTTGGTTCGGGGCGGTTGGCCGTGGACGCGCCCCGACTCTAGTCCCTTCCGTCCAGCCGCCCGCCCCAGGATGTCCCCCCACCGCAGCCCCGCCGTGGCCAGGAGGTGTGGGCGGCCACGCCGGAGGGACCCACGGCGGCGCCGGACGCCCGCCCTTCCTAGGCCCTGGCCCGGCCGGGGTGGGCCGGGACGTTCCCTGTTGCATAGGCATTTATTTATTCAGCAGCTACTACGTACGTGCTGGCCCGCACTGCCGAGGGACCGGACGCCTGCCCCAGGCGGGACAATGCCGGGTGCAGCGCTGGCGGGGCCTGGACGCCAAGCTTCAGGGTCCCCAGCCCCTCAGTCAGAGGGGGCGCCTCCCAGGCCCTGGACTCCTCTCCAGCCGGGTCTACACCACCGTCCCCCGTCATCTTCTTCTGGGTTACTGAGCAGCTTCTTTTAAAATAGCAACACCGAGGAAGGCCCCGAAGCCCAGTCTTGCACCTCGTGGTGTGAAGTCGTTTAATCCTGCCCGCTAATGCGTAAGGACTTTCCACCGTGTGCAGGACTCCGCGCTGGGCAGGGGCTCTCGCAGGGTTTGAACCGACCTCCGCCTCCCCTGCGGGTTCACAGGCCTGCGAGGAAGTCGCGTGAAGGAGATTCGCTACTGTGTGAGGCTGGCCTGCGCGGCGTGGGCAGTAGCTGTCCGGGGCTGGGGACAGCTTTCGGCTCCCCAGGCCATCCCGTCGGGGCATCTGCGGCCAATCTCGAAGGTGGAGAGGCTCAGGGTTGGAACAGACTTCACGGAAGGGGTCCTAGAAGAGGAAAGGGGTCGTGTTTGCCCTTAGAGCAGTCTGGGCGTGAAGCGGAAACTTTAAACCACCAGAAACTCTGGAGAGCTTGGAGCACCTGGGAAGGAGCAACCAGAGTGGGCCGGAGGTAGGGAAGGAAGGCACCCACGGCGAATTTGCCCGCTTTGACCGCATTTAGGGCGGCCGCTTGTGCAGCCAGCCTTCTGGAAGGTAGGCTTTGCGCTTGGTGAAGAGAAGCCCCCACCTCCGGATCTGTGTTCCGCCCCAGTCCATTCATCAGGAGGTGATCACACAAGTCAAGCTTCTCTAGTTCCCGGTGGAATGAGACGCCCTGGTGGGGTCTTAAGGTTGAACGTTTGAATACTGTAAAAAAGATGGGACCTGCCTACAATTAATCTCTCACACTACTGAGCGAATGTGCGTTGTTTTGGACTTCCCTAAATTGGCCCAAATGCATAGCCAACACTTGAATTGCGGTGTACTAACAACATCATTCAGCACCAAACCAAACCATTCTTATTTAAACCTTGCTTCCTAGCTTATTTATTTCCCAAACAACTTGAAAACATTTGTTATACTAAAATGTCTACATCTTACTATTAAAAAAAAAAAACCAAAGTAACACACTTTGCTGCTGCCGTAATTTTATGTCACTGAGATGAACTATTCTACAATACTTGTAATTTCAAATTTGTTAAACTTTCAGCTAAGTAGTTTTACCCAAATTCTAAAACCAGTGAGGAATCCAAAATAGCACGCAGCATTAAATGACGTTTATTGTTCCATAAATCTTCAGACTTCAAAAAGAAACGCTAAATAGACAAACAGAACTCTAAAGCAATTAAGAGACAAGCTCGCTGCTTCTTCCCCACTGACTGGCAAGGAAACATTTGGTCATACAAAAGCCATTAAAATGACGGAAAGGAGAGTTGCCACTCTCTAGCCTTTTTTGTTCTGATCAAGTTTGAACTCTGCTGTTCGGAGTTCACACAATTTACGTAGTAACAGACCTTCAGAGAATTCCTAACGGTCAAGACAATGAAATTGCATTTATATCTGTAAAAGGAAAAGAAACATGAAGATTATCCCCATTTTAGAGGTGGACACATTTAGATTTGATTTGAGCTCCAGATGATCCTTGGCAAAGAAAGATGATGCAATCCGGTGTACAGGACGCCATATTGCCCTAGCCTGGAACCGTGTTCTAGCCGCTGAAGAGCCTATTCTGTGGCTTTCAAAATGTTCTTTTCTCCTAGCTTTACGTTTTCTCTCCAGCGCTAAATCCGTGGGGATAAGCCACCATAAACAAAGCTCCCACTGTCAATGTCCTAATCTTGAGTGGCAGGAAAATTGGTAATATCAAAAATGGGAGTAGACAGTGAAAATTATTTTAAAAGATAATTCTATTATGTACAAATTTAAAAGATATCAGGTGGGCCGGGCGTGGTGGTTCACGCCTGTAATCTCAGCACTTTGGGAGGCTGAGGTGGGCGGATCACCTGAGGTCAGGGGTTCGAGACCAGCCCGGCCAACATGGCAAAACCCCGTCTGTGCTAAAAAATACAAAAATTAGTCAGGTGTGGTGGCAGGCAGCTGTAATCCCAGCTACTCGGGAGGCTGAGGCAGGAGAATCGCTTGAACCTGGGAGGCGGAGGTTGCAGTGGGCCGAGATCCTGCCACTGCACTCCAGCCTGGGCAACAGAGCAATACTCCATCTAAAAAAAATAAAATAAAAATAAAATATATCAAGCACACCTATAGTCCCAGCTGCTCAGGAGGCTGAGGCAAGAAGATCACTTGAGGCTAGGAGTTCAAGGCACTATAACCGTGCCTTTGAATAGCCACTGCATTCCAGCCTGGGCAACATAAGGAGACCCTACCTCTTAAAAAAAATGTTTATATGTAAACACACACACACACACACACACACACACACACACCCCTTTAATCCAGCAATCCCAGTACAATTATTTTCCTGTGACATTAAAGTTGCTCAAGATATACAAGGATATTCACTGAAGCATGTTTGATAATAACAAAGCCAGAAAAACCACCAGTAGCCATCGGTAAGGGACTAATTAAATAAATTATGAATTATCCATAGTTAGCAAGCATTTTAAAAGCATTAGATAAACATATATGTGCTGGTAAGGAGAGATCTCCAGTATATGTTAAGTGAAAAAAAGCAAGGTGCAAAAAGACACTTGGCTGGCTAAGTTCAGTGGCGTTACAATCTAGTCAGTTCTGGAGATGGGGCCAATCATAAAATGTAAAGAACACAGCCTCCTGTACACTTCCTTCCTGTCAAAGGAAGAACACAGATAGTAAAGGAAGGAAATTCTTATAGAGGATTAGTGCTGTCAGGGAGATCCATCAGAGAAGTATCATGAGGTAAATAATCATTAAAGAAAAAGGATGGGGAGAGATGAGCATAGACATGAGTTTAAAATGGACAGGCGTGGCGGGGCATGTTTGAGGAAAGAAACGGGTGTGCAAAGTTCAAAGATGAAGCTAGCACGAAAGAGCCCAAGACTGGCTGGAGGCATCCAGTTAGGAGGCTGTTGTGATAGTACAGGTATGAGACAGATAAGGTCTGGATCAGAAATAAGGCAATGAAGGATGAAAAGAAATGGTTTGGCAAGAATTTGCAACTGATTAGATTAAGAAGAGAGAGGCAAATAAGCTAGAAGGAGGAATCTGAGGTGAATCCAAGATTTTAGACTGTCAAAGGGCTGGAAAAAATGAGGAAGTCCAAAGGGGGATCTGAGATGCAGTTGACTTTAGAAATTAGAGATACCCAGCAGAAAGTTAAAGGTCAGGACTAAAGCTCGAAGCAAAGGTCAGGACTGCAAATATATGGCTGAATGTCTATCATCTAAAAGTCTGTAGAGAACTGAGTATGCAGGAGTGAACCTTGGGAGGGAAACATCAGTGCAAGTCAAATAGAATTAAGTAAGCCATCTATAATCCTATTTTTGGCCTTCCACAATTTGATATAATTTTATTTCTTTGTACAATGTGGTCTACATTTTCAGTTATGTGTGTAAGAATTAGTTGTTAGTGTATGAACCGTCTTCACTATGCTAGTGAGTCAGCTCTGTGTAGGACAAGATGAACTGGTTTTCAATATTTTAATATCCCTTGTTTCTTCAAGGAGATCAGGGATTATACACTTTTCAAATTCTAAATAAAAGAATGTGCTTTGTTTCTTAATCAAACTAGTGGCATTTTTTTTCTTGGCAACTGAACTGGTTAAAACAAATATCTCTAATTATTGTGATTAGGTAACCCCAAGCCGCAATTCTAAATTTTATTGTCTAGACAGTCCTTAAGAAGAAAGGCATGTGATCTTTAAAAATTCCCACTGCTGGCCAAGCGTGGTGGCTCACTCCTGTAATCCCAGCACTTCAGGAGGCTGAGGCGGGTAGATCATTTGAGGTCAGGAATTCGAGACTAGCCTGGCCAACATAGTGAAACCCCATCTCTACTAAAAATACAAAAATTAGCCAGGTGTGGTGGCGCATGCCTGTAATCCCAGCTATTCGAGAGGCTGAGGCAGGAGAATTGCTTGAGCCTGGGAGGTGGATGTTGCAGTGAGCCAAGATTGCACCACTGCACTCCGGTCTGGGCAACACAGCGAGACCCTGTCTCAAAAAAAAAAAAAAAAGAACAAAAAAGAAAAAAAGAAAAAAAAATTCCCACAGCTGGGTCAAACCAGAATCCTCAATTACCATAACCACTTCCCTTGCAGTTAATGATTACACCAACACCTTAGGCAAAAAGTCATTCCCATTTAATAATAAGGAACATCAAACAGATTCTGTTTTACCTTATTTACTGCAGGTAGGAGACCGACATTGGGCAAATTTTGTGGTTGCTAGAAAAAAAAAAAAAGAAGTGAACATTTAAAGTATCTGTCTCATTAGCAAAAAGAAGCAGAAGCTCAAATACCACGTTTTTATACATATGAGGGTCTCAGAGGGCACCTCTTGTATTCTCTGTAGGGTAGGGCTTTAGGGTGAATAATTCATGTACTTTTTTTCTTTTATTTTTTTTAATTATATAAAAAATAGAGATGGGGATCTCACTATGTTGCCCAGGCTGGTCTCGAACTTCTTGCCTCAAGCAATCCTCCTGTCTCAGCCTCCCAAAGTGCTGGGATAACAGCATGAGCCACCGCATCCGGCTTACATTATTTCTTATGTAATGAAATAATATGAGATTCTGTTTTCCTTTGACCATCTTTAATTTGCATCCTTTTTTTCTGTTCCAACTTTATAGTCTGGAAAATACCTTCTTTAAAAGACAGGATTGGGCCGGGCATGGTGTCTCATGCCTGTAATCCCAGCACTTTGGAAGGCCAAGGTGGGAGGATCACTTGAGCTCACGAGTTCAAGTCCAGCCTGGGCAAGAGGGTGAAACCTCATGTTTACTAAAAATACAAAAATTAGCCAGGCGTGGTGGCAGGCTCATGTAGTCCCAGCTACTCCAGAGGCTGAGGCAGGAGAATGGTGTGAACCCAGGAGGCAGAGCTTGCAGTGAGCCGAGATCGTGCACTGCACTCCAGCCTGGGCAACAGAGCGAGATTCCGTCTCAAAAATAAATAAATAAATAAAATAAAATAAAAAATAAGTAAGAAATCTGACCTATGTATTTCTTGAGACACATCCCAGAGAGTTAGACTCTTTTTCATTTGAAAAATGTGAAAATTGTTGAAACTTTGAAACAATAATAAAATGAGTACCTATGTATCTGTGTTCCAGATTCACCAGGAGAGATTGCCATTTCACCACATTGCTTTTATTTCTCTCTATGGAGATGTAGGTTTTTTTGCTCAACAATTTGAAAATAAATTATAGACATCATGACACCTGACTTCTAAATACTTCAATACTGAAAATAAGGCCATTCTCCTATATAACCATAATTTTTTTTTTTAGATGGAGTCTCACTCTGTTACCCAGGCTGGAGTGCAATGGCATGATCTTGGCTCACTGCAACCTCTGCCTCCCGGGTTCAAGCGATTCTCCTGCCTCAGCTTCCTGAGTAGCTGGAATTACAGGCGCCTGCCACTATGCCCAGCTAATTTTTGTATTTTTAGTAGATAACGGGGTTTCACCATAATGGCCAGGCTGGTCTCAAACTCCTGACCTCAGGTGATCCACCCACCTCAGCCTCCGAAAGTGCTAGGATTACAAGCGTGAGCCACCGTGCCCGGCCTATAACTACAATATTATCAAACCTAAGAAATTAAAATTGATACAGCAAATATTATCTAGTATACAGCTGATTATGGTTTGGATTTGTGTCCCCGCCCATATCTGATGTTGAATTGTAATTTCCAGGAGCTGGGGCCTGGCAGGAGGTGACTGGATCATGGGGGCGCGTTTCCTCTGAGTACTGTTCTGGTGATAGTGAGTGAGCTGTCGTCATGAGATCTGGTCGTGTAAAGGTGTGTGGCACCCCTCCCTTCTCCCTCTCTTCTGTTCTGGCCACGTAAGACATGCCTGCCTCCCCTTCACCTTTTTCCATAATCAATAAGTTTCCTGAGGCCTCCCCAGCCATGCTTCCTATACAGCCTGCAGAACCATGAGCCGATTAAACCTGTTTGCTTTATAAATTACCCAGGCTATATATTCTTTATAGCAGTATGACAACAGACTAATATAGAGCTCATATTAAAATCTCCTCCATTGCCTCAAGACACCCCCTGTAACTATTTTTTGTCTGTTTGTGTAAAACAGGATCTGGGCAAGTTCATCACATTAAGCTTGGTTGTCATATCTCTTCAGTCTCCTTTAATCTTGATCATTCACCTCCTTAAAAAAAAATATTTCATGACAACGACATAGAATCTAGGCCAATATCCCACAATTTGGTTTTAGAGTATTTCCTCATTAGATTCAGGTTCGCATTTTTGTTAAGAAAACTTTATGGGGAGGTTGTATACTTCTCCCTCCATCACATTGAAAAGTACGTAATGTCAGTTTTGTCTCATCATTGGTGATACTAAATTTGATCATTAAGTGGTACCTGACAGGTGTATCTGACACCATTTTAAAGGCGTCTTTTCCCTCTGCAATTAATAACTAACTGTCTGTGGGGATGGTACGGTAAAACTATGGATATCCTCTTCCTCATCAAATCTTTCATTCATTGGATTTGACATCCATTGAAGATCCATGCTTGAATTAATTATTACATTGATAGCTCCAAAACGGCAGGATTTCTTCTACATTTTTGAGCCAGCATCTTTATGTGGGGAGACCTTTCCTATCCCTTCCTGCCATTATTACTATTTTTTTTAATCATTGGGGCACTGGGTGTGGTGGCTTATGCCTGTAATCCCAGCACTTTGGGAAGCTGAGGTTGGTGGATCACTTGAGGTCAGGAGTTCGAGGCCAGACTGGCCAACATGGAGAAACCCCACCTCTACTCAAAATACAAAAATTAGCAGGATGTGGTGGTGCATGCCCATAATCCCAGCCACTCGGGAGGCTGAAGGAGGAGAATTGCTTGAACCCGGCAGGTGGAGGTTGCAGTGAGCTGAGATCACGCCACTGCACTCCAGCCTGGGCAACAGAGTGAGACTCTGTCTCAAAACAAAAAAATCATTAGGGGCTTGTCTTAGCTTGGACTGACATAACAAAATACTGTTGACTGGGTGGCCTAAAAAGCAGAAATTTATGTTCTTGAAGTTCTGGAGACTGGGAAGCCCAAGATTGAGGTGCTGGCAGATTTAGTTCCTGTGAGGGCTCATTCCCTGGCTTTTAGACAGCCGCCTTCTCATTGTGTCTTCACATGACACAAAGAAAAAGAAAGCTCTCTGGTGTCTTCTCTTATAAGGATACTAATCCTATTAGATCAGGGCCCCACCGTTATGAGCTCATTCACCCTTAATTACTTTCTTATTCCAAATACCACCACACTGGGAGGTTATGGCTTCAACATATAAATTGCAGGGGGGTGGCACACAATTCAGTCCACAGCAGGACTCATGGATTATTCTTTTATTTAGTATGTTATACTCTATTGCCATCATTTAAAAAATTCTCATAACATGTGCATAACAAAATTATTTTTTAAACCATTTTTAAGTGTACAATTCAGGGGCATTAAGTACATTCACACTGTTGTACAATGATCATCATCATCCATTTCCAGAACTTTTTCATCTTCTGCAACTGAAACTCTATACCTATCAATACTAACTGCATTCCTCTCTCTCCCCAGCTCCTGAAAACTACACTATCACTGTTTAATCATGCTCAAATGGTCTTAGATTTGGCCAGTGGGAACTCCTTTGGCCACAAGCTGGCTCCTATG
The DNA here is from genome assembly GCF_000001405.40 of Homo sapiens. Classification (NCBI taxonomy): domain Eukaryota; kingdom Metazoa; phylum Chordata; class Mammalia; order Primates; family Hominidae; genus Homo; species Homo sapiens. Next base: position 183,090,309 of record NC_000004.12, on the reverse strand, counting down.
TCCTTTAACATGGCTCCCACATTCTTTGAGCACTTCCTTGTCTTCTGACATGAGAAGATGTTCTGGCCGTCTTATGATTTCCCTATTCCAGAGCTGGAGTAGGTCATCTCTCCAAGGGCCCCAGTTCCCTTTAGTGGGAAAAGGTAGTTAGATCTGGGCTTCCAGGAGAACTCATTGCTATTGGAGTGTCACCCTCTTAGTAGACGGAGTTTAGACACTGTCTAGGTACATAGTATCTATCTACCTATTGAAAACCACAAGTTCACCAAATTCCTTCCATTCAAATCCAACATCTTGGCATTCATTCTAGCTTTATGATGTGGTTTGGCTGTGTCCCCATCCAAATCTCATCTTAAATTGTAATTCCCACAATTCCCACGTGTCATGGAAGGAACCTGGTGGGAGGTGATTGAATTATGGGGGCAGGTCTTCCCTGTACTGTTCTTGTGATAGTGAATGAGTCTCACAAGATCTGATGGCTTTAAAAACAAGAGTTTCCCTGCACAAGCTCTCTTCCTTTGTCTGCCACCATGTGAGATGTGCCTTTCACCTTATGCCATGATTGTGAGGCCTCCCCAGCCAGGTGGAATTGTAAGTTCAATAAGCCTCTTCCTTTAGTAAATTGCTCAGTCTTGGGTATGTCTTTATCAGCAGCATTTAAACAAAGTAATACAGTTTCCCTTCCATATTCAGAACTCTCTTCTACAACAGTGAGAAACCTGACTCTCCTTAAATTTAAAATACTTATGTATTTAGTCAACACCCTGAACATAGCCAATCTCCTGAGGCTGCCACTGCCCCCTCCCCAAGGAGATGCCCTTCTTGTACCTTCAGGCCTCCACACCTCACACCTGGCCAACCCCCTCAGTAGGCTCCCATACCTCGTACAGGCCACCCGCTTGCACAGGCACCCTCTCTTAGCACCCATACCGGGCCCCCCTGTCCTCTCATATACATGATCTCCTCATCTTCTGGGGCTCTGACACCCCACACAGGTACAAGGTACACTCCTCTATGGGGACACCATCTTCACCCTGCTTGTCTTACTCCCCATCCCTGTGGACATTTTTCGGATCCCTCTTGGGCTCTAATACCCCATGCCCAGCTGCCCCTCTGTGTAGCCCTTTTTGCCCTGTGCTGTGGTTTAAACATCCCCTCCAAAACTCATGTCAATGGTACTGAGGTGGGCCCTTTAAGAAGTGATTAGGTCATGAGGGCCCTGCTCCATGAATGAATTAATGCCGTTATAGTCAGGGTGGGTTAATTATCATGGGATTTCAGCCCAGTTTTCCTCTGTCTCCTGTGCATGCTTCTTTGTGATGCCATATATTCTGCCATGTGATGATGCAGCAGGAAGGCCCTTATCAGCTGCAGCCTCCCAATCTTGGACTTTCCAGCCTCCAGAACCATGAGCCAAATAAGTTTTTGTTCATTATAAATTATCCAGACTGGGTGCAGTGGCTCACATCTGTAATCTCACTACTTTGGGAGGCTGAGGTGGAAGGATCCCAGGAGTTTGCGACCAGCCTGGGCAACATAGTGAGACCTCTTCTCCATAAAAAATAAAAAATTAGGCCGGGCGCGGTGGCTCACGCCTGTAATCCCAGCACTTTGGGAGGCCAAGGCAGGCGGATCACGAGGTCAGGAGATCGAGACCATCCTGGCTAACACAGTGAAACCCCGTCTCTACTAAAAATACAAAAAAAATTAGCTGGGCATGGTGGCGGACACCTGTAGTCCTGGCTACTCGGGAGGCTGAGGCAGGAGAATGGCATGAACCCAGGAGGCGGAGCTTGCAGTGAGCCGAGATCGTGCCACTGCACTCCAGCCTGGGGGGCAGAGTGAGACTCCTTCTCAAAAAAATAAAATAAAATAAAAAATAAAAAAATAAAAATAAAAAATTGGCTGGGCATGTTGGCGAATACCTATAGTCCCAGCTATTCAGGAAGCTGAAGTAGGAAGATCGCTTGAGCTCAGGACTCTCCCTCTGCTTCCCTTTGTTAGGGAAGCATTTCTTACAAATTAGTGAACATAAGTCTCTCCTTTAGTTTGGTGGGGTTTTTTTGTTTTTTTGTTTTTTTGTTTTTTTTTTTTGAGACAGGGTCTCACTGTATCATCCAGGCTGGAGAGCAGTGACATGATCAATGCTCACTGTATCCTCAAACTCCTGGGCTCAAGTGATCCTCCTGCCTCAGCCTCCAGAGAAGCTGGGACTACAAGCATGTGCCACCATGCCTGGCTAATTTTTCTTATTAAAAAAAAGGGGTCTTATTATGTTGACCAGGTTGGTCTCAAATTCCTGACCTCAAGTGATTCTCCCACCTCGACTTCTCAAAGGGCTGAGATAATAATGATGAGCCACCACACCCAGCCAGAATTTCTTGATGAACTTGTTAAAATGCAGAATGCCAGGTCCCACTCCCAGAGATTCTAGTTCAGTTGATCTGAGACATTGAAATCTACATCCTCAGCAGGAACCCTGGGTGGTTCTGATTCAGGTGGTCTGAATGAAAACTCTAAGAAATATTTTCTTCTGGAATTACTGGGTCAAAGGATAAGCACACTTAATATTTTGATACATATCGCCCAACTGTCTGCCCAAAAGATTGTACCAATTTATAGTCCACCAGAAATGCATCGCAATGCATTGTCCCAAACCTTTTGATGTATTCCCATTGTACTTCCGTAATGCCCTATAGAAGTAGATGCTTAATGAACATTGGAGAGGTAGATTGTCTTTCCTCTGGGCCTCAGTTTTCTCATATTAATCAGGATCTGGATTAAATCAGTTTTTCGGAATTTGCCTGATGGGCATTACTTGGAACTCTTGTTTAAAATTTTGATTCAGGCCAGGCACAGTGGCTCATACTTGTAATCCCAGCACTTTGGGAGGCCGAGGAAGTTGGATCACTTGAGCCCAAGAGCTTGAGACCAGGCTGGGCAACATGGTGATACCCTGTCTCTAAAAAAATATACAAAAATTAGCCAGGGGTGGGAACACACACCTGTGTTTCCAGCTATTTGAGAGGCTGAGGTGGGAGTATCACTTGAGCTCAGGGGGTTGAGGTTGCAGTGAGCTGTGATCATACCACTGCACTCCAGCATGGGCAACAGAAACAGACCCTGCCTCAAAATAAATACATAAAAATAAAATTCTGATTCATGGCCAGGCACAGTGGCTCACACCTGTAATCCCACACTTTGGGAGGCTGAGGCAGGAGGATTGCTTCAGGTCCAGAGTTTAAGACCAGCCTGGGCAACAAAGCAAGACCCCTTCTCTAAAAAATGAAATAAAATAAGGCCGGGCGTGGTGGCTCACACCTGTAATCGCAGCACTTTGGGAGGCCGAGGTGGGTGGATCAAGAGGGCAGGAGTTCGAGACCAGCCTGACCAATATAGTGAAACCCCGTCTCTACTAAAAATACAAAAATTAGCCGGGCGTGGTGGCGGGCGCCTATAGTCCCAGCTACTCGGGAGGCTGAGGCAGGAGAATGGCGTGAACCTGGGAGGCAGAGGTTGCAGTGAGCCAAGTTGCACCACTGCACTCCAGCCTGGGTGACAGAATGAGACTCCATCTCAAAAAAATAAATAAATAAATAAAATGAAATAAAATAAAATAAAAAATAAAATTCTTATTCCCAGGCTCAGATTTATTACCTCAGACTCTCCAAGGAAAGGAATGAGAGTCTGTGTGTTTAACAATGACCTTGAGCTTCTCTTGAGCAAGTTCCACATTACTGATTAAATGGGTTTTATACATTTAATGTATAAAAAACTGCCCTGATTGACTCTGAATATTCTCTTCCATTCTACAATATTTTGATTTTGCCCAACTTTACAAACTTTATTTAATTAGGGACCTATAGCCATGAAACTTTAAAGAAAATAGTGCAATAACCCTGGACTTTAAAGAAAATAGTGCAGGCTGGATACAGACAAACAGAGTAGCTATAACACTCAAATGACATATGTGTGAATGATAGATTCAGAACATAACTTTTGTACCTTTGTCAAGGCTGTTTCAGATATTTTTACTTTTTTAATTTAATTTTATTTTTTGAGACTGTTTCTCTCTGTCACCCAGGCTAGAGTACAGTGGCATGATCTCGGCTCACGGCAACCTCCACTTCTTGGGCTCATAAGATCCTCCCACTTCGGGCTCCCAAGTAGCTGGGACTACAGGTGCAGGCTACCACGCCTGGCTGTTTTGTTTATTTATTTATTTATTTCTATTTTTTGGTAGAAATGGGGTCTCGCCATGTTGCCCCGACTGGTCTCAAACTTCTGGGCTAAAGTAATCCTCCCACCTTGGCCTCCCAAAGTGCTGAGATTACAGGCGTGAGCCACTGAGCCTGGTCTATTTTTCTTTATTTATTATATTGATTTATAAATAATATATACAAACACTCTTAAAATTTTAATTTGTCAGGCCCCTGTTGGCTGTTGATATTTCAGTCAAATAAATCTTTTGGTATAAACTTGTTTCTAAAGTTAATTCTTGAGCACTTAGCATGAGACGGGCACTGCTCTGAAGTGTTTACTTGTGTAAACTTCTTCAATTCTCCCTTCAGCCCTATGGGATATTCATTATTATGACTCTTTTTTGAGAGGAGAAGAAACTGAGGCACAGATAGTTTAAGTCATTTACCGAAGATCACACAGCCATTAAATGACAATGCCGGGATGAAACCCAAGGGACGAGCTTCAGTGTCTGTGTTCCTAGCCATATCGCAGTGGAGCAGTGGTTAATATGCACGATTATGAAGAGGGCACATTGTCTCCTTACTTTCTGTCTCCATTCAAAACCTAGTGATTATTACTGGCAAAAGTTTAGGTAGACCTGAGCCAGGGTTCTCACTAACACAGAAAGAAAGTACAAATAAGCGGCCGGGCGCGGTGGCTCACGCTTGTAATCCCAGCACTTTGGGAGGCTGAGGCGGGCGGATCACGAGGTCAGGAGATCGAGACCATCCTGGCTAACACAGTGAAACCCTGTCTCTACTAAAAATACAAAAAATTAGCCGGGCGTGGTGGCAGGCGCCTGTAGTCCCAGCTACTCAGGAGGCTGAGGCAGGAGAATGGCGTGAACCCTGGGGGCCAAGATCGCGCCACTGCACTCCAGCCTGGGCGACAGCGAGACTCCGTCTCAAAAAAAAAAAATACAAATAAGCAAGAGGGAAGTGTCCTGTCATACAGGATTAGGTTGGAGACATGGGTATGAACTCATGCATGGATGGATAGATAGATAGATAGATAGATAGATAGACAGACAGACAGACAGACAGAAAATGAGATATGTGTGTATATGCTTGGGTTAGCATAGACACATGAGTTTCTGAGCTTGTGTTCCTAGGTTTAGAAGCAATGCCACTCCAGTCATAAGGAGGATACCCAGCACCCAGATCTTGGTTGCTAAATACCATTCTCTAATAAAAGAAATCAGGGGTCCTTGGAAAAATGGCTGATTTGATTCTAGAGATAGAGGAGGGAAAATACAAGGTGAGCCTGGGAATCTTGCAGGCTCAGAGTAAGGAAGTGCCCAAGAAACAAAACAAGGAGGGTGCATCAAAGTCACACAGGAGTCATCTTTAAAAAGTCTATAATGATCAAAGCTGACACAATTTTGAGCAACAAAATAAATACACAGAATTGGATTATGTATTAATCAGGGTTCTGTAGAAGAACAGGACTAATAGGATAGATGTATATATAAAGGGGAGTTTATTAAGGAGTATTAACTCATATAGTTACAAGGCGAAGCCCCACAATAGGCCATCTGCAAGCTGAGGAGCAAGGAAGCCAGTTGGAATCCCAAAACCTCAAAAGTAGAGAAGCTGACAGTGCAGCCTTCAGTCTGTGGCCGAAGGCCTGAGAGCCCCTGGCAAATCACTGGTGTAGGTCAAAGAGTCCAAAAGCTGAAGAACTTGGAGTCTGATGTTTGAGGGTGGGAAGCATCCAGCATGGGAAAAAGATGAAGGCTGGAAGACTCAGCCAATCAAGTCCTCCCAACTTCTCCTGCCTGCTTTGTTCTACCAGTGCTGGCAGCTGATTAGATGGTGCACACTCAGATTGAGGGTGGGTCCGCCTCTCCAAGTCCACTGACTCAAATGTTAATCTCCTTTGGCAACACCCTCACAGACACACCCAGAAACAATACTTTGCATCCCTCAATCCAATCAAGTTGACGCTCAATAATAACCATCATAGATTATAACCCAAAACAAAATAAATGTACGTGAGTCCAAACGCATTACATAAATGAATGAATAAATAAATAAATGGGGAGAAAGGACAAATCTTCCCCACATATTTCTAAATGATACATGTAGATACTTCTCCCTCCATGAAACAAAGCCTAATCCCTTCCCTCTTGGTTGTGGGCTGGAGTTAGTGACCCATGTTTTAAAAATAGAGTAGGAGCCGGGCTCAGCGTCTCATGCCTGTAATCCCAGCACTTTGGAAGGCTAAGGCAGGCGAATCATCTGAGGTCAGGAGTTTGAGACCAGCCAGGCCAACATGGTGAAACCTCGTCTCTACTAAAATTACAAAAATTAGCTGGGCATGGTTGTGGGTGCCTGTAATCCCAGATACTCGGGAGGCTGAGGCAGGAGAATTGCTTGAACCCGGGAGGTGGAGGTGGCAGTGAGCCGAGATTGCGCCACTGCACTCCAGCTTGGGTGACAACAGCAAAACTCCATCTCAAAAAAAAAAAATTGAGTAGGGAAAAATAACTTTACGGTGGAGTAATCTGGCAAACACTACCTAATTAAGCGACGAGGTTGATATTACTAGTGATAAGTCACGTTGGTAGCATGTACCCCTGGTATGATGTGATGAGAAGGGCATTTCATCCTGATATAGGCTTCCCCTGAAGTCCCTAACTCCAGCCTAATCCTCAGAAAACATTAGACAAACCCAGAGTGAGGAACATTCTATAAAACAAGTCATGGAAGACAAGGAAAGACTGAAAAACGGTCACAGAACAGAGCAGACTAAGGAGATATGATGACTAAATGCTTTTTGGATTGGATGCTAAAACAGAACAAGATATTGATGAAATCCAAATACAGTGTGGAATTTAGTAAACAGTAATGTGCTAGTGTTAATTTCTTACTTTGACAAATGTACCATAGATTTGTAAGATTTTAGCATTAGGGAAGACTGGAGAAAGTATGCATGTGAATGGTTCATCCTACAACTTTTCTGTAAGTCCAGAATATTCCAAAGTAAAGAATTAAAAACAGAAAAATAGCTTAGATAGAGCTAAGACAAATGCTTTTTTTTTTTTTTGAGACAGACTCTCGCTCTGTCACCCAGGCTGGAGTGCAGTGGCACAATCTCGGCTCACTGCAACCTCCGCCTCCCAGGTTCAAGCAATTCTCCTGCCTCAGCCTCCAGAGTAGCTGGGATTACATGCGTGCACCACCATGCTGGGCTAATTTTTGTATTTTTAGTAGATACAGGGTTTCACCATTTTGGCCACCTGCCTCCCAAAGTGTTGGGATTACAGGTGTGAGCCACTGTGAGCGGCTTTTTTTTTTTTTTTTTTTTTGAGACAGGGTCTTGCTCTGGTGCTCAGGCTAAAGTGCAGTGGTGTGATCTCAGGTGACTGCAGCCTCAACTCTCAACCTCCTGGGCTCAAGCGATCCTTCCACCTCAGCCTCTTGAGTAGCTAGGCCTACAGGCATGTGCCACCACACCCAGCTAATTTTTGAGTTTTTTTGTAGAGACGGGGTCTCCCTATGTTGCTTAGGCTGGTCTCAAACTCCTGGGCCAAGTGCTGGGATTACAGGAGTGAGCCACTGTGCCCAGCCAGCAACAACTGCTTTTCTGTAAGATCAAATATCGTACTGGAACAAGAAATCAAATGATGTGAAATACCCCTTTCTAAAGATATTGTTGTTTTTTGTTTTTGTTTTGTTGTTGTTGTTGAGACAGGCTCTCACTCTGTCCCTTAGACTGGAGTGCAGTGGCACGATCATAGCTTACCGTTGCCTCAAATTCCTGACCTCAAATGATCTCCCACCTCAGCCTCCCAAAGCTCTGTAATTACAGGTGTGAGTCACCTCACCTGGCCCTGGCAATATCTTGAAATGTGCAAAGGCAATCATTATTTTTTATAGCAGGTAAGTTGGTCTACTACTAGGGGAGGAGGCTGCATCATTTGCTGTCTTGAGATTTCTTCCAGATCTATGATTCCAACTTAATAGGAATTTGATTTAATTCAATTTATGTGGCCAGGCGTGTGGTGGCTCACACTTGTAATCCCAGCACTTTGGGAGGCCGAGACGGGCTGATCACAAGGTCAAGAGATTGAGACCATCCTGGCTAACACAATGAAACCCCGTCTCTACTAAAAATACAAAAAATTAGCCAGGAGTGGTGCTGGGCGCCTATAGTCCTAGCTCCTTGGGAGGCTGAGGCAGGAGAATGGTGTGAACCCAGAAGGCAGAGGTTGCAGTGAGTCAAGATCGCGCCACTATACTCCAGCCTGGGCAACAGAGCGAGACTCCGTCTCAAAAAAAAAAAATTCAATTTATGCAACAGCGGCTAGTAATCTATGAATGCTAAGAAATATATGTCATATAGACTATTCTGAAATAGAGTATACTTAGTAATAATAACTTTTATTGTATTATATAATCAAACCTCATGAAATTACACTTTTTGGTACAAATAAGAGTAATGAAAAAAATTTTAACACACATAAAAATCTTTTACTAGTACTGATTCTAAATAATTTTGCTTGCTTTCCTAGTTTATTTGGACTAACAATGTCTTTTAAACATCCAACATTCTTGAGTGGCTGTTTTGCGTAAGACATTTTGTAGTATGTTAGTTGAACTGGTGAGAGTCATGGATTAAATGCTAAAAAAGATAAAAAAGAAACATTCACCGAATTATTTCAGATATAAAAACGAGGTGCATATAAATGCCTATTTAAGTATGTAACACAACACATCTGTGTACTATCCTCAGATAAAAGTCTTTTGTTTGTTCTTAAAAGTTCAGTATGATGTAGAGGAAATAAAATCCAACCGTTCAGACAGCCAAATAGCAGATGAAACAGATGGACTCTGACCAGCCATAAAGGCCAGAAAATTCTCCTGTTTTGGCTCTTAAATTTTAACAGGCATGAAAAGACCATTTTTCTCCCATTGTGATTATGATTTGCATAGCTGTATGCTTTTTCATTCTTATATACAGACCCATTAAAGTCTATATTATGAATAGCAGAATAATAATTTATAAACACTTAAAATAAATATGAGAGAGTGAGCACCACAATTAATTTGGGCTCGATGCCTAGAGAAGTCACACATTCAGATGTTCTTGACTGAGACATACACACTAGAGCCACATATTAACCAAACCTCTTGGTGGATTTCTGTTCAACTCAATGAAGGCACACAAATGTACCACAGCACTAATATTGATTCATACTGAACCGTAGAAAGATTGTCCAACTAAAATGATTTTGTAGGCCAGTATACACAAGACAATATACATGTGTGTTTGCAAACATGCAGTTAAAAGGCATAGCCATCTGATCACTGTTAGCTTTTAAACAATTTGGCCAGTGTTTGATTTTTTAGTGAAACAGCTACAAAGTTCACTTCAGCGTTTTGCTCTGGTTGCTCAATAAAAAAAAAAAGTGTTGACAAGAGATATGGTAGAGATACAACAGGGTCTTTTCCTTTTGGCAGAGGACATTCTTGGACTGTTTTGAAAAGTCCAAGGTGCAAGCTGGAAGACTCTTCTTACAAAGCTGCAAAGGGGTGATGCAGCCTCCTACCTGTCAGCCTAGTTGAGCTTTTGTTTCCATTTAAGGGTTCCTGGGGTGTGAATGTCTTTGCTACCCTGGCTTCATTGGGAATCAGTAACTCCCCTGCCTGAATGTCTCTGCAAGTGTCCAGAACCAGGACCCTTCACGTGCAGGTATAAAGAGCTGTTGAACTATGAAGAATAGGAATGGGTGGAACCCTGAATCCCACAACCCTGGTACATGGAAAGATGCAGCTAGAGAGCTGAACTATTATTCCAGAATCTACAGAATTCTCTCCCTTCTCACTTCTTTTTCTTTGAATGACACGGAGACAGCAATATCCCCAGGCATAAATTTGGAGATATGTATAAATGTGTGTGTTGTATTCCCTTTTCTCATTTCTCTTCTGGTTGTATTTCTTCTAGTGTATGTGTGCCCCACAACTTTTCTTAGGAGCACTAGGCGAAACTATAGTAGCCTAGGGAAAAAGCCTGGGCTTTGGGGTCAGACAGATCTTGCGGGATTCCTGGCTGCACTGCTTACTAGTGGGTGACCCTCACAGTCATTTTACTTTGCGTTCCCATCTTCTTATGCGTTGCATAGGAGCAAAAGCGCCCACCTCACAGAATCGCAGTGAGCACTGAGACAATGTGTCTGACATCAGGTGACAGTCAGAATTAGTTCACTTTCCTGGCTCCTGCTGCTTCTCCATCTTCTGCCCTCTAACAGTCTTGTCTGTCTTTGCCATCTCTTTCTGTTTATCTCCTTCCCCAACATGAAATTTGCATTTTCATGGCCAAAAAAAAAAAGTATGCTTTTGGCCGGGCGCGGTGGCTCATGCCTGTAATCCCAGCACTTTGGGAGGCCGAGGTGGGCAGATCACCTGAGGTCAGGAGTTCGAGACCAGCCTGGCTAACATGGTGAAACCCCGTCTCTACTAAAAACACAAAAATTAGCTGGGCATGGTGGCACGCACCTGTAATCCCAGCTACTCAGGAGGCTGAGGCAGGAGAGCTGCTTGAACCCAGGAGGCGAAGGTTGCAGTGGGTGGAGATTGCAGCATTATACTCCAGCTTGGGTGACAGAGTGAGACTCAGACTCAAAAAAAGAAGACAAGAGGCTGGGCATGGTGGCTCACGCCTGTAATCCCAGCACTTTGGGAGGCCGAGGCGGGCGGATCACAAGGTCAGGAGATCGAGACCATCCTGGCTAACATGGTGAAACCCCGTCTCTACTAAAAATACAAAAAAGTTAGTTGGGCGTGGTGGCGGGCGCCTGTGGTTCCAGCTACTCGGGAGGCTGAGGCAGGAGAATGGCGTGAACACGGGAGGCGGAGCTTGCAGTGAGCCGACATCGTGCCACTGCACTCCAGCCTGGGCGACAGAGCGAGACTCTGTCTCAAAAAGAAAAAAAAAAAAAAGGATGTTTTTAAGTAGTTTGACCTTACCAAATAAATGGAAACTTTTAAAGTTTCTAATTTAGAAATCTTGTGCCTTCAGATGTTTCAGTGTCTCTGAAAATACATGCTTAAAATGTGTAATGAACTTCCTTTTTCCGGTAACATCTCAACCCTTTTCCTAAGTTTGGGTACCGCCTGGCGCAGGAGCCTTGGTGGAAGGCGGGGAATGTCTCCAGCTAGAGGACTAGAAAGGGGATGCAGGTAGTAAGTGACTTAGCCCAGCAAATCAGAGGCTCCCAATGTGCTTCTGAACTGGACTCAGCCAATCAGATGCTCCCAACGGGAAGTGACGCAGAGACGAGTGGTTCAAAGCTGGGAGAGCGAAGGCGGCAGCAACACCCATCTGCAGGTACTGCAGGGGTCGGGTGCAGGGGTACGCCGGCCTAGCCCAAGAGGGGGGCCCTCACTCAGTCTTTTCGGAAGAGCCCCACTCACCCTCAGGCAGTTTCTTTCAGGCTTTTGTGGCTTCCTGCGCCATGCAGTTACGCTGGAGAGGGATTTAAGAAGTGAAGATAGAGACATTTTAGAGCCATTTCCCAGCTTTTGTGCCATTGTCCTGGGAATTCTTCTCTCTTAGATAAAAGTGACAGGCTACCTACCTTCTCGCAGGAATTCTCACCAGAGGGTCCTGTTTGAATTTTAATTTTAGTAACCTGATTTTTATTTCTTTTCCTCTCACTTCATTTCCGTGTATCCATGTTTGAAGGTGTGTGTGTGTGTGTGTGCGTGCATGCATCTCTGTGTGTACCTGTGTGTGTTTCTTTCTCCTCACTTTTCTCATGTTAAAGGCTAACCTGAAGTTAAAATAGTTCAAAAAGTCATCTCTGGTTAAAAACCAATAAAGCCAAAACGATAGAAAATCTAGAATTTAACAGATGCTTTTACATATTGCAAATCAAAAAACCTTTCAGTGGGCCGGGCATGGTGGCTCACGCCTGTAATCCCAGCACTTTGGGAGGCCGAGGCAGGTGGATCACCTGAGGTCAAGAGTTCGAGACCAGCCTGGCCAACATGGTGAAACCCCGTCTCTACTAAAAATACAAAAATTAGCCAGGTGTGGTGGTGTGCGCCTGTAATCCCAGGTGCTCAGGAGGCTAAGGCAGGAGAATCACTTGAATCTGGGAGGCAGAGGTTGTAGTGAGCTGAGGTAGTGCCACTGCACTCCAGCCTGGGTGACAGAGACTCCGTCTCCAAAAAACAAATCAAAACAAAAACAAACAAAAAAGGCTTTCAGTGTATAAATGCATTGTTAAATATTTTCTCATTGCATTGTTTTTTCTTTCTTTTGAGACAGGGCCTCACTCTGTCACCCAGGAGTACAGTGGCACGATCACAGCTCACTGCAGCCTTGAACTCCTGTGCTCAAGGGATCCTCCAGCCTCCACCACCACAGTAGCTGGGACTACAGGTGCGAGCCACCACACCTAGCTAATTTTTGTATTTTTACAAAACATGGTCTGGCTATGTTGCCCAGGCTGGTCTCAAGCTCCTGGGCTCAAGCGATCCTCCTGCCTTGGCCTCCCAAAGTGTTGGGATTACAGGGGTGAACCACTGCACCTGGCCTTCTCATTGCATTTTACAGTACTTTCCAGAATCACAACCCCAAATGTAAGAAACACAACTTAAATAAACACACATATTTGAAGTCATAATAGGGTTGCTCTCTTTGCTTTTTAAATCTGAGACACTTTAACCACCTATTAGTTATTGTTTATTTTCCTTTCTCTTCAAGCTGTCACATCTACCTGCGGAATTCACCTTATACCTTAGAGAGAGGCTGCAGTCAGTGACAGCTGATGGGAAATGCATCTGTTCCTTTGAGTAATTCAGCAACATCATTACTTCTCAGGTATCTGTTGAGGGTGGAGCAAGCTACAAATCGCTGATGAAATTCACTGTGTAGAAGCCGAGCTCGTGGGTTCTGCCACTTATTATCTTTGTGACTTTGGGCAAAGTGTCTCTTGGTGCCTCTGTTTCCTCCTCTGGAAAAAGACGTGCTGATGATAATAGTACCTACTTCATAGGGTGCTTGTGAATGTTAAACGGGCTAATACATGTGAAGCACTCTCCACGGAACCCAGCAGGTAGCATGTGCTGAGGACAGGCTCACCGTTGCCATTATAATGCGTATCCCTCAGTTGGCCAGTGGGGAACTTCCAGATCTAACAGCCTGGTATGGGCTGAACTGTGTCTCCCCCTACAAATTCATATGTTGAAAGCCTACTCTCCAGTACCTCAGAAAGTGACTGTGTTTTTGAATTTAGGGCCTTTAAGGTCAAACTGTCCAGGCGCCATGGCTCATGCCTGTAATCCCAGCACTTTGGTAGGCTGAGGCGGGCGGATCTCCTGAGGTCAGGAGTTCAAGACCAGCCTAACCAACATGGTAAAATCCCATCTCTACTAAAAACACAAAAATTAGCCGGGCATGGTGGCAGGCACCTGTAATCCTGGCTACTCGGGAGCCTGAGACAGGAGAATTGCTTGAACCTGGGGGGTGGAGGTTGCAGTGAGCTGAGATCATGCTACTGCACTCCAGCCTGGGCAACAGAGCCAGACTCTGAAAAAAAAAAAAGAGGTAATTAAGGTCAAATGAAGTCATGTGGGTGGGCCCTAATCCAGTATGATTGATGTCCTTACAAGAAGAGATCAGGACACAGACACACAGAAGAAAGGCCACATGAAAATATAGGGAGAAGATGGTCACCTACAAGCCAAGGAGAGAGGCCCTCAGAAGAAACTGACCCTGCTGACACCTTGATCTTGGACTGTTAGCCTCCAGAGTTGTGAGAGGATAGATTTCTGTTCTGTAAGCCCCCCCGCCTGTGGTGCTAATATCTTGGTACTTTGCTTTGGCAGCCCTAGCAAATGAATATGCTGTCCAGTCACAAGCTCTGTCCTTGCAACTGGCTCCAACCTGGGGTTCTCTGCCCTTGAACCTTTCTGATTCCCCCATCCCTCTAGATGCCCCTCATCTCCATCTCACAGCTTCCTTCGCCACTTTCTGTCCCCAGAGTGTAAAATTCCCCAGGCTCTTCCTCAACACTTTTTCTTTCTATATTTCCCCGTGAGGATGAACTGATGGCCCATTTTCATAGATCCAACTGCCACCTTTATGCCCAGGAGTCCCAAATCTATAGCTCTAGTTTTACTCCCCTGAAATCCACACAGACTTTCCAAATGCCTGCTAGACATCATGAGGATATCTTGCTAATATACCCCCCACCAAGCTCATTGTCTTTTCATCCAGATTTTTCCTCCTGCTTCTCCTCCCTCCCTTAATGCCTTTATCATTGCCTTAGTGACCCCTGCTATGAAATCAACCATTGTTTCCTTCTCTTATCACCCTCTTTCCCCTAAGCCCTATAACTCACTTCCCGAAGTTTCCTTTACTTTTCACTCTTTCCCCATTCCCCGCTACACAGACCCAGGATTCATCTCTTGCCTAATATTTTTCAATTTCTTCCTAATGATTTTCCCTACCTTGGGTTTCAGATCTCCATTTTTCAGGGATTTTTTCCCCTAAATTACAAATAATATTTTCCTCTTGAAATATCTTACTGATATTTTGTTGCCTAATTTAACAAATAAAGCCCCAAATTACTCCCACTGGCATTCGTGATTTCCATGATCTTTTAAACATCCTTTTCAGCTTGAGAGGATATATTTTGCACAAATTGTGGCTTCCACAAAATCACCTAGTACACTTTACACTGACTGCTGCCGTATCAGACTAGTGCAGAATCAGTGTAAATTGGTGATCCTACAAATAGTAATCAGAGTAATCATTTATCTTCTGCAAATATTAATAGGTCACCCTTGCCTTCTGTAGATTACAACACTTCCCTTCAAAGTAGACCCTATACAGTGAATGAAACAAAGGGGAATTCAGATTTTTTAGTAAGTGCTTTTTTTTTTTTTTTTGAGACGGGTTCTCATTATGTCCCCCCGGGCTGGAGTGCAGTGGGCAATGGGGCAATCATAGCTCACTGCAACCTTGAGCTCCGGGGCTCAAGCAGTCCTCCCACCTCAACATAAGCCACTGTCCCCGGCCAATAAATACTACTTTAAACTCCATGGAGCTTCAGCACATCTTATCCAGATCACTCTGTAGGGCTGAGGATAATGGTTTGGGGGAATGCATCCCTCATGTATCTTAGGCATATTTCTAAAACTGCATAATCACCATGGCCATTTCTGATGGCCAATGCCCAGTGCCACTCCTTGGAAAATGTCAAGAATGTAAGACTCAGGTCTGTTGCAATGAAATGCATTTCCAGTGAGGCTAATGATCCTTATGTAAATTGTTGGAATTCTTGCGTGAATAACCCTTAGCAGTAATGGCAATGAAATGGAATCTCACTTTACTTTTCTTCCTGGGGGCTTCCAGACCCTCAGGTTCACCATTGCAAATGTTCAGTAAACAGAGTGCTGAGCGTAGGTGGAAAAGAGATCTGGGTGAGGAGTGCAATTTTGGGGTTTTCCACATCCAGGAGAGAAGCAGAACTGTACCAGTGGATCCATTGTCAACCATGGAGTTCAGGAGGGGAGGGCCTGACCCTGCAAGACGCACTCGGAGAAAGAATTCATGAAAAGTGATCCCGACCTTGCAGAGCAAGCATTGTAGTTAATCACACTTAGATAAAGGAGAACAGCGTATTTCTCAGTTACGTTTCCTGTCTTCTCAAGGGTTTAGCCAGATCTCCATCAACATAGCCTAAGAACATTTTGTTTTACTTTCTAATTATTTGCTTTAAACTTTCAAACTATTTTGGTATCATTCTTCAGTATGGGCAGAGAGAAGATTTTTTTTAAGGGTTTCTTTGGGGACCATTAAATATAGTTTTTAATCTGTTTTACTTGGTTTTTATTTTAGTAATGCTCAGAGGAATATTCATGTATGAATAAGCCTGAAATAATAAAGCTTGGACTAATTGTATTTTTGGGAAATAGGTCAATTCACAGCTATAAAAAGCAAAAGGCAACATGTAGTAGCAATAGTTCTATCTGAATGTCGGTCATCTAGATTATTGCTAGCTCACACATTCCATGTGTTTTTAACTTGATATTAATGGTTAGAAATGTAGCAATGTAGTTTTTTGGGTAATTTTTGAAGAATAATGACTTCAGGTTAAAATAGGTAGGGAGTTTGGGACCCAAATTCCATCAGTAAGATTCCTTCAGCCGTCCTTCACCTGATTTGAGAAAAGTCATACAAATTCTTACCAAATTATGAACATTTGACTAATGAACATCTATCCACAAAAATCTCCTGGTGGTAGATGGGCTTCTTTCCCATCCGGGTTTTACCTGGGACAATTGAGGGGTCACGAGATCATGCTGCCACCTGGTGGTCCACATGGGTAACTAACATCTACCCTCAAACGATTTTCTCGGGGGCAGTTCAGTTCTGCTCTGTTCAATAAATCTTCATTGAGCTTTCACGAAGGCCAGGCATTGTGATCCTTACCCAGGGGACAGACCTGTCTCTAGCTACTTTTCCTTTGTGTTTTTCCATTTATAATTCAGTTTATTTAGTCTCATGCAGTTGCTTTGTTGGCACTCATATTCTCTTAAACCCTCCTCTTCCTCCTTGCCTCTCTTAACCCGTTTGGCTTCCTTAGAAATGATAATTTCTCGCCGGGCGCAGTGCTCACGTCTGTAATCCCAGCACTTTGGGAGGCCAAGGCGGGCGGATCACGAGGTCAAGAAATCGAGACCAGCCTGGCCAACATGGTGAAACCCCATCTCTACTAAAAATACAAAAATTAGCTGGGCGTGGTGGCGCATGCCTGTAATGTCAGCTACCCAGGAGGCTGAGGCAGGAGAATTGCTTGAACCCGGAAGGTGGAGGCTACAGTGAGCAAAGATCTCGCACCACTGTACTGCAGCCTGGCGGCAGAGCCAGACTCTGTCTCGCAAAAAAAAATAAAAAATAATAATAAAAAAAAGATGATTTCTCTTCTTCTTTCTCGAGTTCTGTTTGTGCAGCAGTAGTGACACTAATCACAACTTTAAAGCAAACGTGTTATGGTCTTAGATATTTTTTTCCAAGGAAAAGGAAAAGGAAAATAATACATTTCATGATTTCTCCATAAACTCGTAAAGGCCTCAAAAAGGGCCCAGAGTTCTACAGAAGGCTCTTGTCGTCTTCTCATCTGATTGTGTGTCTACATTGCTTTTACCCACTTTTCCTGAGGCACCGACATTGAACAAAAAGATTGATTCTTGTTCTTATCCATTTTCAATTTTCTGGAAATAACAAATGTTGCTTTTTACTATTTTTCATCACAAGTGTGGACCATTTCAACTCATTGTGGGTTAAACCAACTTTCTTAAGATTATTTGTGAATACAATCATTTTTAATAAAATGGTTTTTAGGGAAAATTTATTCAGAGTTCACACGAGCAGCTTAAAAGCTTTTGCAATGCAGTCCACTTCAACATGACGATTTTCTGCACTTGAAAAACAGATAAATTAGAGGCTATTTTCTTTATAATAGAAAAAAAGTGTTATTTTATAGAATAATTAATCATGGAGTTTTAAATATGATCTTCTCATTACATTTAATTGTGATTCAATTGTAAAGCATTTAGAAACAGAAGTAGTCATAAATTTAGTGGGGGTAAACACAGATTGAACCAGGAATTATCAAAGAATTTGGAAGAATTATACAACTTAAGAATTTCGTTGGTTCCAGTAAGCGCTCACATATCTGAAATATCCTTGCCTGCAGTCAAAACAATGTGAAGACTAATTACAATAAGAAATACTCAACCTTCAAATAAATTCCTACAATTCTTTGTGGAATTGCTAAATCAAAGGATATGTACATTTGTAATTTTGATAAGTACAGTAATGCTAAATTTCCCTCCATAGAGATTAAACTAATTACATTTCTATCATTTATTTTTTAATCCCCAAAGACATCATTATTTTTGTTTTATACAGTCAATGTTTGTTAGATTTATCAACACATTTAGAGCTTCCTGTGTTCTTCATTCCTTCATCATTTCTGGCTCTCCATATGGGATCATTTTTCTTTTTTTAAAATATGCCCCTTAGAATTCCCTTTAGCAAGCTTCTCCTGGTCGTAAACTCTTTGTCTTCTTTGTCTGAAAATGTCTTTCTTTGTTTCCTTCCTGAAATAATTTCAAATTGACAATTATTTTCTCTTAGCACATTGAAAATCTCATTCTTTGTCTTCCGGTTTCCACTGTGGCTGTTAAAGAATTAGGTCTCACACAGTCTGACTGTTTTAACTCCCTCTAAGGTAATTAGTTTTTTCCCCCTCTGGCTGCTTTGAAAATTTGTCTTTGCACCTTTAAAATAATTGTATTGTTTCATGTTTTTGTTTGTTTTGTTTTGTTTTAGTTCCACTGCATGTATCTAGTTGTAGATTTTCTCCCCTGCTTAGGATTTGATAAGTTTCTTAAATCTGTGGATTTGTCTTTCTTGTAAGTTATTAGTTATTATCATTTCAAATATTGTCTTTTAGTTATTTTTTCTCCTCTCTTTTTAGGACACTTATTAAATGTATATTAGACCTTCTTATTTTATCATCAATGTTTTTTAACCTCTTTTCTATATTTTTTGTCCTCTGTGCTACATTCTACATAATTTCTTCTGACCAACATCCAGTTCACCAATTTTCTCTTTAGCTCTGTCTAGCCTGCTGTTAAACTATATTTGAGTAATTAATTTTAGTTATAGGGTTGTTTGCTTTTTGGAGTTCTATTTGTTTGTTAGGGTAATTTTATAGTTCCTGATTCCCCAAAGACATTTTCTTTTCTTTTCTTTTCTTTTCTTTTTCTTTTTTGAGATAGGGTCTTGCTCTGCTGCCCAGGCTGGAAGGCAGTGGTGAGATCATAGTTTACTGCATCCTCGACCTCCTGAGCTCAAGCAATCCTCCCACCTCAGCTTCCCAAGTAGCTTGGACTATAGGCACATGCCACTGTACCTGGCTAATTTTATTTATGTTTGTGTGTGTGTGTGTGTGTGTGTGTGTGAAGACAGAGTCTCATTATGTTGCCCAGGCTGGTCTCAAACTTCTGGCCTCAAGCAATCCTCTCCCCTCAGCCTCCTAAGTGCTGGGATTACAGGCATGAACCACAGGGCCTGGCTCCCAGAGATATTTTTCAAGGTAGTCTTTTATTTCTTAATACGTAAAAACAGGTGGCTGGGCACAGCAAGGACTCTGAGGAAGGCCTGTTTCTTTTGTTTCTTTGTTTGTTTTTGTTTATTTTTGCCCAGGCTGGAATGCAGTGGTGTGATCATAGATCACTGCAGTCTCAACCTCCTCCCTCAGCCTCCCAAGTAGCTGTAACTACAGGTGCATGACACCATGCCCAGCTGATATGGTTTGGATTTGTGTCCCTGCTCAAATCTCATGTCAAATGTAATCCCCAGTGTTGGAGGAAGGGCCTGGTGGGAGGTGATTGCATCATGGGGGCAGATTTTCCCCTTGATGATCTCGTGATAGTGTGATAGTGAGTGAGATCTGTTTGTCTAAAAGTGTGTAGCACCTCCCCCTTCACTTTCTTTGTCCCACTGCAGCCATGTGGGACATGCCTCCTTCCCCTTCACCTTCCACCATGATCGTGTATCTCCTGAAGCCTCCCCAGCCATGCTTCCTGTACAGCCTGTGGAACCATGAGCCAATCGAACTTCTTTTCTTTATAAATTACCCAGTCTCAGGTAGTTCTTTATAGCACTGCAAGAACAGACTAATATACCAGCTAATTAAAACACGATTTTTTTTTTTGTAAAGATGGTGGCTTGCTGTGTTGCCCAGGCTGGTCTAGAAGGCCTAGCCTCAAGTGATCTTCCTGCCTGAGCCTCCCAAAGTGCTGGGATTACAGGTGTGAGCCACTGTGCCCAAAGCCTGTTTCTGGGAGACGTGGGATTCTTCTGATAGGTGTTTTGGCTCAAGGACTCACCATCAGTCTTACTGAACTTCCTTAGAACTGCATTGCAGCTCAAGATTCTTCCTCCTGGCCTTCCTTGTTCCCTCTCTGCTGCACAGGGACCACAACGGCAGTGTAATATAACTCTCCACTATTCCACAATTCCCTTGGCTGCCTACCCACTTTCCGGGACAGGCATTCCCCTAATAAATTCTTGCATGTCTAATTCTGTCTTGGTGTCTGCCTCTTGTAGAACCTGGACCAACATAAAGGGTACAAGGAATAATTGAAGAAAACAGATGATAAATGGGGATTTGAGGTTGCTTCACACACTGCCAGGTGGGCAAAGACGATGCTATCCTGGTTGGTAGGTGGGGTGTGAATAGTCCCTGGCACAAAGTGAGGCTTAATTACTAGAGATTTCACCAGTAATGATGTGAAAAAATGTCCCAGTGAAAGGGCCGTGGTAGAGACGCAGGCATTCAAAAGATTTGGAGGTGGGGGCAGGAAGCCATGCCTACCAAGACAGCAGAGTGGCTAGTTACTGCTACGTTGTATTGATGCCGTGCAGAGAGATAATGAGAAACTGGGACCCTTAACACATTATTCATGGTTAACTGTAGGAGGCTCAGTGGTAACTTACAAAGGGGCCCTGTCTCCTGCAGTGGAGCAGAATGAATGGAACCCACATGATCCGCTGGGGTGCATCCTGGTACGCCCTTGCCCTGCTGTAATTGTGAATGGACACATGCAACAAGCCCAGCCTTAGGAGAGTGTGATCATCAAGGGCTCACACCTCTCAGGAATGAAGAGTTGGTTCACACCACCAGGTGAGCCATCAAGAGCTGCTGAGATCATTGCTGAAGATGAGGCGAATCCCAACTGGGGAGAGGTGTAACAGCTGCAGCCCTGAAATCAGCTGCAGTGATAGAGGCGTCATTCCCCTGACACTCCTCTTTTAGGTTTCCGCTTGTTAAGAATAAATTCCCACAATAACCAAAGAGGAACTCCTCCCTGAACCCATATGGAGAAGTGCAGGACAGTACAAGGGGTGGTGGCTGGGAGATACTTCTCTCAGGTCTCCAGTTTCAGGGAGTATAACTGACCGACGGCCTCAGCTGCTCCCAGCTAATGCCCAAGCAGGGCAGGGATGCTAAGCTGGGTCTATCCCTGGGAAACACAAAACTCCTCTGATGGGCACCTTTGGCTCAGGGTTTCCCATCGGCCTTGACAAGCTCTTTTAGAACTGTACCTGCAGGGTAAGACTCTTCTATCCCCCGCTCCTTCCTTCCCTTTCTCCTTCACCTGCGTCACAGTCTGATGGCTCTCCCCATCTTCTCTGGCTTATGCCCATTTTCCTTCATTTCCTGCATTCGAGAAGTATTAGGTGTTTCCCGTAATAAATCTCTTTCTCATTTAACCCCATCGTGGTGTCTGCTTTTTTCAGCAGACTAACAGGTCTGTTATTTCTGTTGTTCTCATTCATGGTGCCTTATTTCCTTGTGTTCCTGGTTATCTTTGACTGTGTGTTCGTCACTATCATTAAACTATTAGTTAAGGGGTTTTCCCTGGGATCTGAGATGAAGGTTTTCTGCAAAAAAGATGTTCATTTGCTTCTTCTAGGCACCTGGAAATACCACTGGCCCAGGAGCACCTTACACCATGTTGTTGGCTTCAGGTCCTCTGGGATTTCTCAGGTAACATAAACCTGGGCTGCTCATCTCAGGGAGGATGAGCCCTCTCCTGAGAATATAACTCTCTTCTTAGCCTCCACCTTGTTCAGACCCAGGGCTTCCTTTCTTTTCCCTTTGTCCTCTTCAGCTTCAAAATGAAAATTCACAATTGTTAGGATCCACAGATAGCCTTTGGGCAAATGTAGCCTTCATACTCCACATACCATTCTGGGTTTCTGTTTCTCCTCCAACATTTGCAGGGTAATTCCTCATGATCAGATGAGGATTTTAAAAATATTTTATTTAGCATTTTTAGTTGTTTTCGGGTGGAAGGTTGGTGGAAATAGCACATCATTACCAGACAACAAAGGTCAGATGTGTTTGTTTTCTCCGTATGGATTTAGAATCAGTTTTGTCTGATTGCCAGAAAACAGTCTGTTGGATTTTTTAAAAACTCAAATATATTAATTATTTACAAATCAGTTACATTTACTGACATAGTCTATCAAATTTTGTGTTCACTTTTGTTTCTTGTAACTCACGTTTTTCTCCTGGGATCAGATTTCTTCCTGCTGAAGCACCTCTTTCAATGTTTCTTTTGGTACATGTCTGAAAATATCCTTAATTTGCCCTCATAATTGTGTGAAACTTAAGCTGGACACAAAATTGTGATTTGACAGTTATTTTCCTTCAGTCCTTTAAATATATGACTATTTTATTCTGGCATCTATCTATTCTTGCTGCCAATTTAATGATTAATCTTTTGTAAATAATCTGTCTTTTATCTTTGATAGCTTTTGAGACTTACTCCTTCTCTTCTTGTTGTTTAATTTCATCGAATGTGTCTCCATGGGAATTCATCCTAATCTTGCTTGTTGCTCAGAGTTCACTCTCAATGTGCAGTCACCTCACACTTGCAGTTTTTGGCTATTCAAATGTTGTTTCCCTGCCATTCTTTCCGTTTTCTTCTGGAAATGTTTGTTGGAGCTTCTGAACTATCTTTTAAAAATTTTTAATTTTGTAAAGACAGAGTCTTGGCATGTTGCCAAGGCTGGTCTTGAATCTTGGGCTTAAGCAATCACCTATCTCAGCCTCCCAAAGTGCTGGGATTACAGGCATGAGCCACTGCACCTGGCCATCAACTATCTTTTACATTTGTTAACTGATCGTTCTCTATCTTACTCAGATGTTTCCACTTGGCTTCAAGGCCCCCAATCCCCAACACAAAAGTGTTTCTAGTCTTTTTTTTTTTTTGAGTTGGCGTCTCACTCTGTCACCCAGGCTGGAGTACAATGGTGCGATCTTGGCTCACTGCAACCTCTGCCTCCCTGATTCAGGCAATTCTCCTGCCTCACCCTCCTGAGTAGCTGGGATTACAGGTGCCTGCAACCACATCTGGCTAATTTTTGTATTTTTAGTAGAGACGGGGTTTCACCATCTTGGCCAGGCTGGTGTCAAACTCCTGACCTTGTGATCCACCCACCTTGGCCTCCCAAAGTGCTGGGATTACAGGCATGAGCCACTGTGCCCAGCCTGTTTTTAGTCTTATAGTGGCATTCTGGGGCTCTTGTGTTGTAGTGATATTGAGTTGCACATTGTCTTAGTTTCCTAGGCTACCTTAACGAAGTACCACAGACTGAGTTACTTAAACAACAGAAACTTATTTTTGTACAATTCTGGAGACTGGAAGTCCAAGATCAAGGTGCTGGAGGGATTGGTTTCTCTCGAGGTCTCCTTGGCTTGTAGATGCTGTCTTTTTCCTGTGTCTACACAATGCCTTCCTCTGTGCATGTCTGTGACCTGATTTCCATTTTTTTCTGGGTGGGGGATGTTTTTGAGATGGAGTCTTGCTCTTTCACCAGGCTGGAGTGCAGTGGTGTGATCTTGGCTCACTGCAACCTCCACCTCCCAGGTTCAAGCGATTCTCCTGCCTCAGCCTCCCGAGTAGCTGGGACTACAGGCACGCGCCACCACGCCCAGCTAATTTTTGTATTTTTAGTAGAGGCAGGGTTTCACCATATTGGCCAGGATGGTCTCGATCTCTTGGCCTCGTGATCTGCCTGCCTGGGCCTCCCAAAGTGCTGGGATTACAGGTGTGAATGACCACGCCTGGCCCTGATTTCCACTTTTTTAAGGACATCAGTCATATTGGATTAGGACCCAACCTAATGTCCTGATTTTAATTTAATTATCTCTTTAAAGGCCCTATCTCCAAATACAGTCCCATTCTGAGGTACTGGGGAGTAGAACTTCAATGTATTAATTTTGGGGAGATACAATTCAAACCATAATGCACATCTAATCCTTCTGCTTGGTCAATGCTTGGTGCATTCATTTTTTTTGAGCTACTGTAACAAATTACCACAAACTGAGTGGTTTAAAACAACAAAAATTTATTGTCTCACAGGTCTGGAGGCCAGAAGTCTGAAATTAAGGTGTCTGCAGGGCCACGCTTCCTCAGAATGCTCCAGGGGAGGATCTGTCCTGGCCTTTCTAGGAACTGCCTTCCGTTATTTCAGTGTTCTGTAAACTGGCCTCTGGGGTCCCCAGGCTTTCCTTAGTTTATGGCAGCATCTCTCCAATCTCTGCCTTTATCTTCACATGGCTGTCTTTCTCAGTGTGTCTGTGTCTCTTCCCTTTTTTTTTTTTTTTTTTTGGTAAAGATGGGGTCTTTTTATGTTGCTCAAGCTGGTCTGGAACTCCTGGGCTCAAGCAATCCTCCTGCCTTGGCCACCCAAAATGCTGGGATTACCAGCATGAGCCACCTCACCTGGCCTCTCTTCTCTTCTTATAAGGACACTAGTCATACTGGATTAGGACCTATCCTAACAACTTCATATTAACTTCATTACATCTGCAAAGACCATTAACAGTCTTTGACTGTTAAGGGGTTAAGACTTCAAGGCATCTTTTTGGAGGACACAACTCAAGCCATAATACTTGGTCATGAAGGGTTTCCGTGACCATCCATGCCTTAGGTCTGCTATTTGCTAAAATATTTAGCCCTAGGTTGTGTTTGTTTTAAAATATAGTCTATTAGTAGAAAATTCGAGGTATTGTAAGGCCAACATATCAGGAGAGGACTGACATTGCAAAGAGAGCTTGTTACTTACAGTTCCCAGGAGAAAAAGGGCACACCATGCCAGGCAGGGCTATAAGGGAAACCAAGTTGCTCAGGAGGAAGAGGAAGAGAGTGGGAACTGTGGGCAGAGTCTTTTTTTTTTTTTTTTTTTTTTTTTTTTTGAGTTGGAGTCTCGCTCTGTGGCCAGGCTGGAGTGCAGTGGCACAATCTCGGCTTACTGCAACCTCTGCCTCCCGGGTTCAAACAATTCTCCTGCCTCAGCCTCCTGAGTAACTGGGATTACAGGCACCCGCCACCACGCCTGGCTAATTTTTGTATTTTTAGTAGAGACGGGGTTTCACCATGTTGGCCAGGTTGGTCTCGATCTCTTGACATCGTGATCTGCCTGCCTCGGCCTCCCAAAGTGCTGGGATTATAGGCGTGAGCCACCGCGCTTAGCTGGGCAGAGTCTTTACTGTAGTTTCCACAGGAACAAACAGGCAAGGCCGAGTAAACAGGCTTAGGATGGCTGGCTTGAATCATCTCAGTGGACTCTGGACACAGTGACTGGCCCTAGTTGCCTGGCACCTGGTCCTGTGGTGATTAGAGCAAGGGGATACTAGCTCAGAGTATGTGAGCCCAATACAGGAGGTGGTTGGGCTCTGGACTGGTTCGTTGGTATTTGAAAAACATGCTTGTGGATGAGTTGTTTACTATCTCTAAAAACTGGCTTACCCTGGGAGGAGCAGTCCCTCCAGGGTCAACCAGGCCCTGGATGTCCAAAGCATCAGAATACAGAAAATGAAAGATGTGGTTAATACAGTGTGCAGGAACAGTTTTTTCCACCCCTTTTCACATGCTAGGGAAGCTCCACCTCAGGTCCTGGCCTTGTTATTGAGCCTGGCTTCACCCCTTTATCACACCGGAATCAATCCCAACCATACTGTTCTCCTCTGGAGCTGGAGCCCATCTGGCCTTGCTTTGCAGTTCTGTTCTATTTCCAGTGCAAAGAGATAGAGATTTTTGTTTTGTTTTCTTTTTGAGTCTGGTTTCTATTTTTATATTTTATCTCTCATGACTGAGTTTTAAGAAGAGGAGTGCTTTAAAGCATAAATTCATTGCACCATCTTGACCAGATGTCTGATTTGTTGTTTGGATACTTGTGCTTGTGTTTACTTGTTTGTTTGTTTGCTAAGGTGGGAGCTGTCAGAGCATGATTATGTGATTCTGGGAAAGGCCAAATTGAGAGGAGGAGTACAGGGGATAATTGGTGCACTGAACTTCCTGAGACAGGGTGCAGAGATGGGGTTGAGGGCTCATGGGACGACACTATCAGGAGGGACACTCCCTCTAAGGGAAGGAGAAGGGCTTGGCCTTGGATCTGGGTGGCTTCTGGTTTCGGTGACAGAAAGTTGGGGTGGGCTTCACACGGTGGTTACTGCCTGTCTCTATGAAACAGGACACGAGGCTATCAGCTGAGGGGAAGAGGTGATAGGGCAAGAGGAGTGGACATTTGCAGAGAAAGATATTCTAAAATAGGAACTGACTCTTTAAAATTCTAAAAACTACCAAATCCTGGAGTTGATTGAAAATACATAAATACATTTTGAGTATTCTGCAAGCAAAATGGATTTTGAATGGCTATGTGTCATGTATGAGGAATATAGATATTTCTGTCAATATTTCAACTTTTAGTAGGTCTTTTAATGACCTAGCACTTTTGACTGTGCCTCAGAAGAGTGACCATGGGAAAAATTCTGTATTTCTTTTTCTGAAATCCAGTCTAAAGAAATCCACAAAATTTCATATGAAGGTTAGATAGCTTTAAGACTAACAGGATTTGCCTAGTTCTGGTTTTCTTGATTATTTTTATGTCATTTCTAAATTTTATTTTGGACCATTTAATAATAGCTACAGAATCAGCTTGGCTGGGTTTTAATCCTGACTGTTCTATTTATCAGCTATGTGAAGTTGAGGAAGTAATTTTTTTTTTTTTTGAGATGGAGTCTCGCTCTGTCGCCCAGGCTGGAGTGCAGTGGTGCGATCTTGGCTCACTGCAACCTCTGCCTCCCGGGTTCGAGCAATTTTCCTGCCTCAGCCTCCTGAGTAGCTGGGACTACAGGCATGCACCACCATGCCTGGCTAATTTTTTGTATTTTTAGTAGAGATGGGGTTTCACCATGCTGGCCAGGCTTGTCTCAAACTCCTGACTTCGTGATCCACCCCCCTCGGCCCCCCAAAGTGCTGAGATTACAGGCATGTGCCACTGCACCCCACCCAATGAAGTAGTTTAATATCTTTGTGTCTCAGTTTCTTCACCTGTAACATGGGCAGAATAGTAACATTTACCTCATGGAGTCATTGTAAGAATCAAACTAGATGATATATGGAAAGCACTTAGAACAGAGCCTGGTGCCTAGATAATAAAGGTTAGCTGTTCTTGTCACTTTTAATGGCTGTAAAATATTCTGCTGTATGGCTCTGTAATAATTTATTTAGCTAACTGCCCATTGATAGCTATTTGAGTTGCTTCTAATATTTTTTATTGTGATAAAAAACAAAATTTGGTGATGCCTTAGTCTGTTTTCTGCTGCTATCACAGAATACCACAGATTGGGTAATTTTTAAAGAAAAGAGATTTACTTGGCTTATGGTTCTGGAGGCTGGAAAGTCCAAGTTCAAGGGGTCATGTCTGGTGAAGGAGTTCCAGATGCATCGTAAGATGGCAGAAGGGAAGAAGGGCAAGTGAGCATACGAGGCAAAGAGAAAGGGGGCTGAACTCCCACCATAACTAACCCACTTCCATGATAATGGCATTAATCCATTCCCCGCCATTGTGACCTAATCAATTCTTAAAGGTTCTAGCTCCCAACACTGTTACAATGGCAATTAAACTTCAAGGTGAGCTTTGGAGGGAACATTTAAACCATAGCAGGTGAATACATAAAAAGGTGGAGCAATGGAATCTTATATGCCATAAACAGGTATCAACCATTTGGAAAATAGTAGGGGAATATTCTATAGAGTTGCAGATAAACATACAAATTCGACTCTTATGGATATACCCTAGAGAAACTGTTACACAACCATGCCGGAAAATATATGTAGGGATGTATATAGCAGCACTGTTCTTAGTAGCCCCAGTGGAAAGGTTCCAAATGTTCAACAAGAGTAGACTGGATAAATATGACTGTGGAAATAAATGAACTACCACAATGTGCAACTTGGGAGAAACTCACAAGCTTAATTTGAGAAAAAGAAGCAGGTTACATTCTTATAGCCCTCAAATTCATATAGAATCTCAAGGACCTCCAAATAGCCAAAACAATGGTGAAAAAGAAGAACAAAGTTGGAGGTCTCAAACATCCTAATTTCAAAACTTACCACAAAGCTATCATAATCAAAACAGTGTGGTAACTGGCATAAAGACACACATGTAGGCCAATGGAATAGAATAGAGAATCCAGAAATAAACCCTCCCATATATGGTCAGATGTTTTTCAACAGGGTGCCAATACCTGGGGAAAAGACAGTCTCTTCAACAAATAGTATTGGAAGAATTGGATATTGTCATGCCAAAAAAAAAAAAATGAAGATGAATCCTTACCTTACACTGTATATAAAAATTAATTTGAAACTTAAGTATAAGACCTAAAACTATAAAATTCCTAGATGAAAATATAGGAGAAAAGCTCCATGACACTGGATTTGGCAATGACTTTTTGTATTAACACTAAAAGCATAGACAACAAAACAAAAATTAGCTAGGTGAACTACACCAAACACTTAAAACTTCTGTGCATCAAAGGACATAGTTAACAAAGTGAAAAGGCCACCTATGGAATGAAAGAATTATTTGCAAATCATATGTCTGATAAGGGGTTCACTTCCAGAATATATAAAGAATGAAAACACAGCAACAAAAAGCAAACAAACAACCAGTTTTAAAAATGAGTGAATAGACATTTCCCCAAAGAAAACATATAAACCACCAATAAGCACACAAAAAGATGGTCAACATCACTAATCATTAAGGAAATGCAAATCAAAGCTGGGCATGCTGCCATGAGCCTGTACTCCCAGCTACTCAGGAGACTGAGGCAGGAGGATCCCTTGAGGCCCAGAGCTTGAGACTGCAGTGCACTATGATTGTGCCTGTGAATAGCTACTGCACTCCAGCCTGGGCAACATAGCAAAACCTCATCTCTAAAAAAGAAAGAAAGAAAAAAGAAAATGCAACTCAAAACCACAATGAGATACATACACATCACATCCATTAGGTTGGCTACTATTAAAAAAAAAAAACAGCTAATAACAAGCGTTGGCAGATATGTGGAGAGATTGAAATCCTTGTGCCTGTTAATGGGAATGTAAAATGGCGTGGCTACTGTAGAAAACATGGCAGTTCCTCAAAAAATTAAAAATAGAACTATCATATGATCCAACAATTCCACTTCTGGGTATATATCCAAAAGAACTGAAAGCAGATATTCAAAGAGATATCTGTACGCCAAGGTTCATAGCAGCTTTGTTCACAATAGCCAAAAGGAGGAAGCAACCAAGCACCGAGGGATGGATGGATAAAGAAAATGTGAGCGGGGTGCGGTGGCTCACCCTTGCAATCCCAGCACTTCGGTAGGCTGAAGCAGGCGGATCGCTTGAGGCCCAGAGTTTGAGGCCAGCCTGGGCAGCATGGCGAAACCCCATCTGTACAAAAACTACAAAAATTAGCCCGGCATGGTGGCACACACCTGTGGTCCCAACTACTCAAGGGGCTGAGGAGGGAGGATTGCTTGAATTCAGGAGGTGGAGGCTGCAGTGAGCCGAGATCGTGCCACTTCACTCCAGCCTGGGCGTCAGAATGAGACCCCTATCTCAAAAAAAAAAAAAAAAAAAAGTAATAAAATGTGGGCCGGGTGTGGTGGCTCACACCTGTAATCCCAGCACTTTGGGAGGCAAGGTGGGCAGATCACCTGTCGGGAGTTTGAGAACAGCCTGACCAGCATGGAGAAACCCCATCTCTACTAAACATACAAAATTAGCAGGACGTGGTGGCGCATGCCTGTAATCCCAGCTACTTGTGAGGCTGAGGCAGGAGAATCGCTTGAACCTGGAAGGTGGAGGTTGCGGTGAGCCGAGATCACGCCATAGCACTCCAGCCTGGGCGACAAGAGTGAAACTCTGTCTCAAAAAAAAAAAAAAAAGAGAAAAGAAAATGTGACACACACACATATATATATATATACATACAATGGAATATGTTTCTTCTTTAAAAAGGAAATACATTCTGACATATGCTACAACATGGATGAACTCTGAGGACATTATGCTAAGTGAAATAAGCCAGTCACAAAAGGACATATACTTTAATTCCACTAATTTGAGGTACCTAGAAATAGGCAAATTCAGAGACAGAAAGTAGAATTGTGGTTGCTCGGGGCTGTGGAGGGGAGTTGTGTAATGGTCACAAAGTTTCAGTTTTGCAAAAGACAAAAAGAGTTCTGTGGCTGGATGGTGGTGATAAGTCCATAATAAGGTGATTGCACTTAATGTAACTGGACTGTACATTTTAAAATGGTTCAGAGGGTAACCACTTTGTTGTATATATTTTACCATAATTAAAAAGAAAAAAGCAGGTCACAAAATAATACATACAATAAAATTCTACTTACATAAAATTCAAAAGTGAGCAAAGCTTGCATTCATGGATGGTAGAACTGCAAAGAAAAGCAAGGAAATTATTCTTGTAAAAGTCAAGATGAATGGTTATTCTCTCTAGTGGGAGAGGGAGTCGGGGGACTTTTGGGTGCTGGCCAAGTTCTATATCTTGATTTGGGTTGTTAGGTGGATGTTCACTTTATGACTCTTTTTAGCTGCACATATATTTCACGTATTCTTCTCTGTCCTTGATGTATTTCACAGTTAAAAAAGAAAAGCAGACCGGCGCAGTGGCTCACGCCTGTAATCCCAGCACTTTGGGAGGCTGAGGTGAGCAGATCACCTGAGGTCAGGAGTTTGAGACCAGCCTGGCCAATATGGTGAAACCCCATCTGTACTAAAAATACAAAAACTCCTGGGCGTGGTGGTGCGCACCTGTAATCCCAGCTACTTGGGAGGCTGAGGCAGGAGAATTGCTTGAACCCTGGAGGCAGAGGTTGCAGTGAGCCAAGATCGCACCACTGCACTCCAGCCTGGGTGACAGAGCAAGATTCTGTCTCAAAATAAATAAATAAATAAATAAATAAATAAATAAATAAATAAGTGTAAAGCATGCTACTGCTCTATGGTTATTCAATCAGACGATACTGTGGCAAAAGCAACTAACAGTTTTAAGGAAACCACTTCACAGCCTTCCAGTGAAACAACTCTAGGATTTCCCGTTCATTCTCCCTGGTGGGTCTGGAATTGATAGCTCTCCAGCCACCAGCATCACAGGAGCCCGGCCTGGCACTGTGGCAAGAGGTGGGAGAAGTTAAAGGAATACACGTGCAAGGCTGGTCTCTGAATTGGATCTGGGGCTTGAATTTTACTTTTTAACTATTCATGACACTTCATTTAATTCGTGAGTCAAAATCATCACGTGATGAAAGGAGCCAGTCACAAAAGGCAAGATATTGTACGACTGCCTGTATATGAGGTACCTAGAATTGTCAAATCCATAGAGACAGGAAGGAGAACAGTGGTTTCCAGGAGCTAGAGGGGAGGGAGGAATGGGAATTAGTGCTTAAAAGGAACTAATAGTGCTTAAAAAGAACAGTTCCTGTTTGGGATGATGAAAAAGTTCTGGAAATGGATAGTAGTAATTGTTGCAGAAAAAATGTGAATATACTTAATGCCACTGGATTGTATACCTAAAAATTGTTCAAATGGTAACTTTTCTGTTATGTATATTTTATCACTTTTAAAAAAAGAACAAGTGAATTTCTTTAATCTTGATTATTCAATTCAATGGGGAAAAGAAAGATGTGCTTTAACTATGTCTAACTCAAAACTCTGGTTTGGGCTGGGTGAGGTGGCTCATGCCTGTAATCCCAGCACTTTGGGAGGCCAAGGTGGGCGGATCACCTGAGGTCAGGAGTTCAAGACCAGCCTGACCAACATGGAGAAACCCCGTCTCTACTAAAAATAACAAAATTAGCCGGGCGTGGTGGCGCATGCCTGTAATCCCAGCTACTCGGGAGGCTGAGGCAGGAGAATGGCTTGAACCCGGGAGGCAGAGGTTGCGGTGAGCTGAGATCGCGCCATTGCACTCCAGCCTCAGCAACAAGAGTGAAACTTCGTGAGTGAAACTCTTTCTCAAGAAACAAAACAAACCAAACAAACAAACAAACAAAAAAACAAAAAACCTCTGCTTTGAAGTGTTTCTGGTGACCAGCCAGGCATCATCAATATTATCATACACAAGAATTTGCTGACTGCTCACTGTGGGCCTTGTCTGAGATAAATGCTGTGATTGAAGGTAAAAAAAAATGACTTTAAGAATATTATTTATTACTAATGAAGCAACTCTTGGCATTCCAAGAATTTCAAGAAAAGTATAAACAACTGTAGATTCTCTTGAGTGCCAAAGACAAAAGTTATATATCATGTCCAAAGTATGTAAAGAGCTAGATGTTCACCCTTTGGGTGCAGAGGATGGGAGGCACAGTGGTAAATACAGAGGACTTGGAGGAGGTTATTGTCATAAAATATAGCAGAGCAACAAGAGAATCAATCAATCAATCATGGTATGGTCATAGAGCGATTACTATATAGCAACCCTAATGAATGAATTAAGCTACTCACGACCAGGATGAACCAATGCCAAGGAGAAAACAAATCACAAAGCAATATAAACATCATGGTTTTATTTAAAGTTCCTTAAAAAGTTCATAAATAGACAAAGCGATTCTCTGTTGTTTAGAGTGCACACATGGAGGAGATAAAGAGCAAATAAATTACTACCACAAAAGTCAGGCGAGTGGTGACTTCTGCAGGGAGCGAGGGAGGAGGCATCAGGAGTGGCTCTGGGACAACTGCCACAGCTTTCCTTCACTCTGGTCACGGTTACACCGGCTGGCTTTATAACTAATGGCTAAACTCTACATGTATAGCTATTCTATCGCCCAAAGCAATAGTGAAAAGCACAGAGGAGCAGCTCTGTCTGCACAGGGCTGCTTTACTGAGTGTGGGAAACATGAAGGGGGATCCCATCATGTTTGCTATGGTGATTTTTCCACACAGCTACCCGGAAACTTCTATCTAAATTTTTTTTTCTTATTGTGTGTACTTAAGGCATACAACATGATGTTATAAAAATACATATATAGGCTGGGCACAGTGGCTCACGCCTGTAATCCCAGCACTTTGGGAGACCAAGGTGGGAGGATCCCTTGAGGCCAGGAGTTGGAGACCAGCCTGGCCAACATGGTGAAACCGTATCTCTACTAAAAATACAAAAATTAGCCAGGCATGGTGGTGCGCGCTTGTAGTTCTAGCTACCTGGTAGGCTGAGGCAGGAGAATCCCTTGAACCCAGGAGGCAGAGGTTGCAGTGAACCGAGATTGTGTGACTGCACTCCAACCTAGGCAACAGAGTGGGATTCTGTCTCAAAAAAACAACAATAAAAACCCACAAAATACATATATAGTAAAATAGTTACTATGATGGAAAAAATTAATAAACATATTCATCATCTCACATAGTTACCCATTCCTCAGCCCCACACTATCCTTGGCCCCATCTGGTGACAAGTACAACTATAATCTGCCCATTTAGCAAAAATCCTGAATATAACACACTTTTTTTTTTTTTTTGAGACAGAGTCTTGCTTTGTCACCAGGCTGGAGTGCAGTGGCATGATCTCAGCTCACTGCCACCTCTGCCTCCCGGGTTCAAGCAATCCTCCTGCCTCAGCCTCCTGAGTAGCTGGGACTACAGGTGCGTGCCACCACGCCCAGCTAATTTTTTGTATTTTTAGTAGAGACAGGGTTTCACCATGTTGGCTCGATCTCTTGACCTCATGATCCACCCTCCTTGGCTTCCCAAATTGCTGGGATTACAGGCGTGAGCCACCACACCCAGCCTGACAAGGGATTCTTAACCAGAATATTTAAAAAGTTGAAACAACTCAATAGAAGAAAATCCCAAGTAATCCAATTAAAAATGGGCAATCAATCTGACTAGACATTTCTCAAAGGAAGACATGCAAATGGCCAACAGGTATATGAAAAAATGTCTAATATCACTAATCATCAGAGAAATGCAAATCAAAACTACAATAAGATATTAACTCACCCCAGTTAAAATAGCTTTTATTCAAAAGACAGGCAATAATAAATGCTGGAGAGGATGTGGAGAAAGGGGAACACCTGTACACTGTTGGTTGGAATGTAAATTAGTATAGCCACTATGGACAACAGTATGGAGGTTCCTCAAAAAACTAAACATAGAATGACCATGTGATCTAGCAATCTCACTGATAGGTATATATTCAAAAGAAAGGAGATCAGTATGTCAAAGAGATATGTGTACTCCCAGGTTTATTGCAGCACTATTCACAACAGACAAGACATGGAGTCGACCTAAGTGCCCACTAATGGATGAATGGATAAAGAAAATGTGGGGTATATACACAATGGAATATTATTCAGCCACAAAAGAGAATGAAATCCTGTCATTTGCAACAACATGGATGGAGCTAGAGGATACTATGTCAAGTGAAAAAAAGTGAGGCACAGAAAAACAAATATCTCATGTTCTTACTTATCTGTGGGAGTTTGGAAGAAAAAGTAAACTCATGGAAATAGAGAGTAGAATGATGGTTACCAGAAGCTAGGAAGGGTAGTTGGTCGGGAGGGGAAGGGTGGACAGAAAAAGGGAATAGTTAATGGATACAAAAATACAGTTAGATAGAAGGAATAAGACCTAGTATTTGGGAGCATAATAGGGTGACTATAGTTAATAATAATTTATTGTATATCTCAAAATGACTAAAACAGTGGAATTATAATGTTTCTAATACAAAGAAATGATAAATATTTGAGGTTTTGGATATTCTAATTACCCTAATTTGATTACTACACATTGCTTGTTTGTTTTAAAATATCACATGTACCCCATAAATATGTATAACTGTTATGTATTCATGTTAATTAAACATAAAAGATAATATATTTACTAGTCTTTAAGTGGAAGTTGGTCACCATAAAGGTCTTCATCCTTCTCATTTTCACATTGAGTAGGCTGAGAGGAAGAAAGAGGAGGGGTTGGTCTTGCTGTCTCAGGGTTGGCAGATACGGAAGAGGTGGAGGAGGTGGAAGAGGAGGCAGGAGAGGCAGGCACAGTAGGTGTAATTTTATGGAAATGCATTGTAACTTCTGCCTGACATTTTTGCTTTTTCGTTTCTCTAAAAATATTTGCATATGATGCCAATCATTTTTCCATCATGTGTTTTAGTGTCATTGCCTATATCATGGAAGGGTCTATGTTGTAAAAGAAGTCAAAAGCAGTCTTGAATAATCAAAACCCTTCTGCCAGATCATCTAATGCCAACTTGTTTTCTGGCACTGCCTCATTGTCTGGCGCTGGTTTGGAAGCACTCACTCCATCGTCGTTGTCTGTTGATTCCTCTAGGGTGGTGTCTGTTCACTCTTGAATTTCTCCTACATCAATATCTTAAAACTTTTTTTGGAGAGGCCAAAGTGGGCGGATCACCTGAGGTCAGGAGTTTGAGACCAGCCTGGCCAACATGGTGAAACCCCATCTCTATGAAAAATACAAAAAAATTAGCTGGGCATGGTGGTGCATACCTGTAATCTCAGCTCTGGAGGCTGAGGCAGGAGAATTGCTTAAACCTGGGAGGCGAAGGTTGCAGTGAGCCGAGATCGTGTCATGCCACTGCACTCTAGCCTGGGTGACAGAGTGAGACGCCATCTCAAAAAAAAAAAAAAAAAAAAAAAACCATAACACATTTTTTGTGTTTTTTTTTGTGTGTGTGTATTTTGTTTTTATTTTCCAAGATGCATATCTTGCAACCCTTTACTCTCCAGCTTTTTTTTTTTCATATCCACAATCTCTGTCTTGATTTCCTTGATTGGCTCTGTTGTAAATTCTGTGAAGTCATGCACAACATCTGGACACAGTTTTCTTCAGCAGGAATTTCTTGTTGTGGGCTTGATGGCTTTCATGGCTCCGTCCCTAACAATGATGGCATCTTCAATGGTGTGACCCTTCCAGACTTTCATGATGTTCTCTTTTGGGGTTCTCTTCCATAGCATTGACAATCCTTTCCGTAGAGTTGCAGTGTGTAATGAGCCTTATGGTTCTTATGACCCCCTGATCTGGAGACTGAATTGGAGAAACTGTGTTTGGGGGCAAGTAGACAACTTTGACTCCTTTGGTGTTGAACTCATGAGGTTCTGGGTGTCCAGGGAGCATTGTCCAAAAGACCTTTAAAAAACAATCCCTTACTGCAAAGGTACTTCTTGACTTTGGGGACAAAGCATTGATGGAAGTAATCCAAAAAAAGTGTTCTTCTTGTCCAGGCCTTCTTATTATATAACCAAAAAACTGGCAGCTGTGTTTATCTTTTCCCTTCAAGGCTTGGGGTTTGCAGTTTTATAGATAAGGGCAGTCCTGTTTTCATAAACTCAACTATATTTGCCTAAAACAATAGAGTTAGCCTATCCCTTCTTGCCTTAAATCCTGTGCTTGCTTCTCTTCCTTACTAATGAATATCCTTTGTGGCATTTTTTTTCTTGCAGAATAGAGCACTTTTGTCGGCATTAAAAACTGATTCAGGGCGGATGTGGTGTCTCATGCCTGTAATCTCAGCACTTTGGGAGGCTAAGGCGGGCGGATCACTTGAAGCCAGGAGTTCCAGACCAGCCCCCAACATGGTGAAACCCTGTCTCTGCCAGAAAGTACAAAAATTAGCCAGGTGTGGTGTCATGCACCTGTAGCTGGGACTCCAGCTACTCGGGAGGCTTAGGCACGAGAATCACTTGAACCCAGGAGACAGAGGCTGCAGTGAGCTGAGATCACCACTGCACTTCAGCCTGGGTGACAGAGTGAGCTCTGTCTCAAAACAACAACAACAGAAAATCAACAAGAAAACTGATTCGTTCAGGTATCTCTTCTCCTCAGTGATTATCTTAATGGCATCTGGGAACTCATCTGCTGCCTGTTGGTCAATACAAGCTGCTTCTCCTGTTATGTTGACATTTTAAAAGCTAAACCTCTCTCCAAAATTATCAAACCATCCTTTGCTGGCATTTAATTCCCCACTTTTATTTATTATTATTTTTTTTGAGATGGAGTCTCACTCTGT
This sequence comes from Homo sapiens, assembly GCF_000001405.40. NCBI lineage: Eukaryota > Metazoa > Chordata > Mammalia > Primates > Hominidae > Homo > Homo sapiens. The sequence continues at coordinate 183,053,136 of NC_000004.12, read as the reverse complement.
CACCCAGGCTGGAGTGCAAGGGTGTGATCTTGGCTCACTTCAACCTCCACCTCCCGGGTTCAAGCGATTCTCCTGCTTCAGGCTCCTGAGTAGCTGGGATTACAGGCACCTGCCACCACGCCCAGTTAATTGGTGTGTTTTTAGTAGAGATGGGGTTTCACTATGTTGGCCAGGCTGGTCTTGAACTCCTGGCCTCAGGTGATCTGCCCACCTCGGCCTCCCAAACTGCTGGGATTACAGGCGTGAGCCACTATGCCCGACCAAATTCTCCACCTTTGGATCCTTCACCTTCCTTGTCATTTAACTCATCATCTAATGACTTTGCTTTTCCCCCAGTTATATTAGAGCCTATAGTCATGCCAATTTTATAGCAATCCTGCACCCACATAAAAGCTGCATTTTCTATATGAGACAAATAGGCAGTTCATAAAAAGTGCAAGTTTTTCATGCCTTCTGGTGTAGCTGTAGGGACAACTTCACAATTTCCTTCCCATTTTTTTTTTTTTAAACATGGTCTGAATGCTGGATTCATTTATCTTGAAATGGTGGCAACCACAGCTGAATCTACAGTACATATCAAAAAAATTCAAGTTTTTCTTATAATGTCATGATTTTTAATTGCTCCTTGGGAGAACTTCCAGCATTACTAGTGGCACTTCGTATGAGTCCCATGGTCTTATTCGAGGTTTATGGTATTGCATTAAACACAACAAAATATACATGAGAACCACAAGAGATCACTTTTTACTGCAACGCACAATTTACTGGCAAGATGAGCTGCCCACTTAGAGATGATCAGTGTCACACAGCATTTTAAGCGGACTTTCACAACACTTGAGCTCTGCCACAACAGCAATAGGAGGTAGCTACAAGATTATCACAGTAGTACAGTATTACTGCAGGTAATTTTATGCAGTTATGATTTAATACTGCATCTTTACATTGGTTTACATTTCTCTTGACCATGAATGGTGCCAAGTACAGTCTGTGTTTGTCCGTTTAACTTTTTATAATATATTTGTGTATACTTAAAGGTAGTAAATGATAAAATAGACTATTACACGTGCTTTATGCATTCATGACATTCCTAACTTTTTCTTATTTTTAAGACATTTCTAGGCTACACAGTTTGTCTGCAAGTTTTTTTGAACTGTCACAAATCTCCAAACATGTTTTCAATATGTTTACTGTAAAAAATTCACATAGAAGTGGAGCCAAACAGTTCAAACTTGTGTTGTTCAAGGGTCAACGCTACATTCCCGCCAACAGCATGCAAGTGTTCCTTTTCCTTCATACCCTCCCCAAACTTGTTATTTCTTGTCTTTTTGATAATGGCTATTCTAACAGGTGTGAGGTGATATGTCATAATGGTTTTGATCTCCATAATCATTAGTGTTGCTGAGAAGCTTTTCATATAGCTGTTGTCCACTTTTATGTCATCTTTGGAGAAATTTATAAATCGGGTTATATGGGATTTTTTGCTATTAAGTTGTACAAGTTCTTTATAAATCTTGGACCTTAACCCCTCATCTGTTATATAGTTAGCAAATATATTTTTTTCTAATCTGTAAATTGCCTTTTTATTTTGTTGATTGTATCCTTTGCTATGCAGAAGTCTTTTTGTTTGATATAGTCCCTTTATTCATTTTTACTTTTGTAGCCTGGATTTTACTGTGGTATTCAAGAAATCATTGCCAAGGCTTTTACTCTATGCACACTTCTGGGAGTTTTATGGTTTCATGCCTTACCTTTAGGTCTTTTATCCATTTTGAGTTTTTTTGTGTATGGTGTGAGATGAGTCCAATTTCATTCTCTTGAATGTGGAAATTCGGTTTTCCCAGCACTATTTATTGAAGAGATTATAGTTTCCCTACTGTGTCTTTTTGGTACCCTTTTTGAAAATTAGTTGGCCATATGTGTTTAGATTTATTTCTGGGCTCTCCATTCTGTTCCACTGGTCTATGTGTTCGTTTTTATGCCAGTACCATACTGTGTTGGTTACTATAGCTTTGTAATATAAATTTAAATCAGGAAGTGTGATGTCTCCACATTTTTTTTTTTTTTTCAGAATGGCTTTGGCTATTAGGAGTTTTTTTGCAGTTCTATATGAATTTTAGGATTGTTTTTTCTATTTCTATGAGGAATGTTGTTGGGATTTTGGTCAAGATGCATTGAATCCACATGTTGCTGTGGGTAGCATAGACATTTAACAACATCAGTTCTTCTGGTCCATGAGCATGGAATATGTTTCCATTTATTTGTGTCCTTTTCCATTTCTTTCATCATTATTTCATAGGTCTCATTGTACAGATTTATCGCCTCCTGGGTTAATTTATTCCTATTTTTTATGATATTGTAAATGGGATGGTTTTTAAATTTCTTTAAAAAAATTTTAATTAACTACTTTCCTTTCATCTTTCTTTTTCCTCTTTAGATGAGCATCATGATCTATGGTTTTTAAATTTTTCAGCTAAGTTGTTACTTGTGTATAGAAAAGCCACATATTTCTCCATGCTGATTTTATATTTTGCAACTTTATTGAATTTATTCATTATATTTAACAGTTTTTGGTGGAATCTTTGGGATTTTCTACATATAGAATCATGTAATCTGCAGATAGAGATAATTTTACTTCTTCCTTTCCAATTCAGATAGATTTTGTCTCTTTTCCTTGTCTAATTGCTCTTGATAGGACTTTCAGTACTATGTTGAATAGGGTGGTAAGAATGGGCATCCCTGCCTTGTACCAGGTCTTAGAGGAAAAGTTTTCAGTTTCTCCCCTTATTATGATGTTAGCTGTGGGTTTTTGTAAATGGTATTTCTTATGTTGAGGAACTTTCTTTCTATACCTAAACTGTTAAGAATTTTTTATCAAGAAGGAATGTTAAACTTTGTCAAATGCTTTTTCTGTGTCAATTGATCTGATTGTGTGGTTTTCATGTTTTAGTCTATTAATGTGATGTATCTCATTGATTGATTTGCATGTGTTAAACCAGCCTTGCCTGCCAGCAATCAATCCCACTTGATCATAATGTTTAATCTTTTTGATGTGTTGTTGAATTTGATTTGCTAATATTTTATTGAGTTCCTGGACACTAATAAGATGCTGACTTTTATGATCTAGAAAAATCTTTTCTTTATCTTAATCACAGTACAGGGCACATCAACAGGGGAGCTTTTTTTTTTTCTTTCTTTCTCCATTACTGTTTTTCTTTGGCCATAAGGGGAGACATGAACCCAATATTATCCTTTTCCAGATATGTCGATTTAGAAAACAAACAAATATGTGTGTGTGTGTGTGTGTGTGTGTGTGTGTCTGACACATAAAATTAGGACCTTTTGAGGCTGCCACTAACATATCACCAAAGAACTTATTGCTAAAGATATTCTGAAAAGCAATTTATATATTTAGTGTGTTCAGGAGTTTGTAATGTGCATTCCTCACAGGGTTACCTGGTTCATAAGGTTCTTGGGAAAGGGATTTGCCAGAACTTATACTAGGAAACTATTGGCAGCCTGCCTGTCTAGTGCAGAAACATTTTATTTCTATGAACCATTTAGTATTCTAAATGTCTATACTGAGTCCATATTTTATAATAGCAGCAACAAACTTGAAATTGAATTGTCTCTGAAACTGTGTCTACCTAAGAAAATGAAAGCTGCAATAGAAACTCATAAATGAAAAAATTATCTCCTGACCATTTTTGAGAGAATGAGAGACATATTCTGCTCAGTGTAAAAGTGGTTATTAAAGTTATTTTGAAAAATTTCATTTATACAATGTATTTTAGAATTTACTGAAGCCTTTTGGGAGAGAGAAAAGTTATACATGACGGTGTCACAGAAAAATATGATCCAAATCCAGAAAGGAAATTTTTGTAAAATAAACTGTAGATCTAAGACTTCTGGCTTGTCAATACTGTGGACCTAATGTTTTGAAAATTCTCCCCTAAAGAACTACAAATGCTAGTAAAAATAGAACAAATATTTTCTAAAATGTAAACCTGAGTGCTCAAGAAAGCATTGCCCAGAGAAATATCCAGAAATGACAACCAGAGCTGCTAGCACATGGTCTGAAGCAGCCGTAGGCGAGCGTCCCTGGAGAACAGGGACCTGGGTTTAACTTTCATGCAGGCGCAAGGAATGGGGCCTTAGGCCTACTGTTGACGGAAGGTAAGAACTGAGATCCCTGCATAAATCTGAGAACTGTGAAAGGCAATAACCTCGAAGAGAAAGATCAGCATAAATCCACAGTCCCAGCTCAAGGATACCAGTTTATGTGCATTTCTTGGCTTGGGAACACCACTACCATGTATTTGCCTTCACAGACTCACTGACAGAACCATTTGATTTTCCTCCTCAGGAATAAGATAACTGTGCTCAGAAGGAAAGACCAAGTTACAAAAATAAATAGAAAGCAAGGAAATTTATAAACTTTCGGCAAAGTCTAAAAAGCACTAACTATGTCAAAGAACAAACTCAATAATAGCTAATTTGAGGGTGTAAAAACAATGTTGTAACTAAACTACTGGAAAAATGACACATAAGGTTTTGGGAGTTTTAAAATGTGTTTTTAAATCCTAATGATGTTTGGGAAATGAGTAAGCATATTGATTAACTTTGGTTTTAAGTCAAAATACATCAAGAAAATGTAAGGGTAATTCCTAAAAGAATAAAGAGAACATAGAACTTTAAAATGAGTTGAAAATAAAAGGGAGGGATGATGAAAATGGTTAATTTACTAGGGGATGAGAAAGGAAAAATAAGAAGCAAAGTATGGAAAGAAGCACAAAAACAAGATTGCAGAAATAAATCCAATATATCAGTAATTCTAACAAATATAAATAGATAAAGTATCAGTTAAAACTTGTGTTTTAAAGATTCTTGCTGTATTCTGTTATAAGAGATATACCTACTGATATGGAAAAGTCAAAAGTAAACAATCAAAAAAGGGCAACCAAACATCTACTATCCGAAAACAAAACAAAACAAAACAAAACAAAACAAAAAATGGAACAAAACTTGTGGGCTATAACAATATTGGGCATCTTGGTGTTGAAGGCAAAAAGTATTATTGGGGATTTAAAAAATAGTTAAATGGAGGCCTGGTGTGGTGGCTTACGCCTGTAATCCTAGTACTTTGGAAAGCTGAGGCGGGCCGATCACTTGAGGTCAGGAGTTGGAGACCAGCCTGGGCAACATGGCGAAACCCTGTCTCTACTAAAAATAAAAAAAAAATTTAAAAAAAAATTAGCCAGGCTTGGTGGCATGGGCCTGTAATCCCAGCTACTTAGGAGGCTGCAAGGAGAATCCTTTGAACCAGGGAGGCAGAGGTTGTGCTGAGAGAAGATAGTGCCATTGCACTCCAGCCTGGGCAACAAAAGCGAAACTTCATCTCAAAAAAAACCAAAAAAAAACCCAAAAACTAAACAAACAGAAAACTTCTATGGCTCACAAGCAGAGAACACACATAATGTTTAGGCATACATGTAACATGTTAGGGTCACAAAGGAAATACCAATACAAAAACTTTTTAAAATTAATATTACTTTATTTGATAAATCATAATTGTATTATATTTATAGAATACAATGATACTTTGGTATATGCATACAATGTAGAATGATTGAATCAAGCTAGTTAACAAATACATCATCTCACTCAACATTTTTTGTGTTAATACAATTGAACTTTCCTCTCTTAGATATTTTGAAATATACATTATTATTGACTATAGTCACTCTGCTGTACAGTAGATCTGAAAACTTATTCCTCCTGTCTAGCTAAAACTTCGTACCCTTTGACCAGCAACACCCCATTCTCTCTCCCACTCAGCCTCTAGTAAACCATTCAGCCTCTGGTAACCACCATTCTACTCTCTGCTTCTACGAGTTCAACTATTTTTAGATCCTACATGTAAGAAAGAACATGCAATATTTGTTTTTCTGTGCCTGGCTTATGCCACTTAGCATATTGTCCTCTAAATTAATCCATGTTGTCCCAAATGACAGAATTTCATTCTTTTTTTTTTTTGTTTTGAGATGGAGTCTCGCTCCGTCACCCAGGGTGGAGTGCAGTGGTGCGATCTTGGCTCACTGCAAGCTCCGCCTCCCGGGTTCACACCATTCTCCTGCCTCAGCCTCCCGAGCAGCTGGGTCTACAGGTGCCTGCCACCACGCCCAGCTAAATTTTTTATATTTGTAATAGAGATAGGGTTTCACCATGTTAGCCAGGATGGAGGAATTTCATTATTTTTTAAAGGTTGATTAGTATTCCATTGTGTATACATATGCTATATTTTCTTTATCCATTCATCTGTTCATGGACATTAGTTGATTCCTTATCTTGGCTATTGGGACTAATGTTGCAATGAATATAGATATTACTTTGACATATTGATTTCAATTTTTTTGGATATGCACCCAGAAATGAGATTGCTGGATGACACGGTAGTTCTGTGTCTGGAATTGGTGGGTTCTTGATCTCACTGACTTCAAGAATGAAGCCGTGGACCCTCACAGTGAGTGTTACAGTTCTTAAAAGTGATGTGTCCAGAGTTTGCTCCTTCTGATGTTTGGACATGTTCGGAGTTTCTTCCTTCTGGTGGGTTCATGGTCTTGCTGGCTTCAGGAGTGAAGCTGCAGACCTTCATGGTGAGTGTTACAGCTCTTAAGACAGTGCATCTGGAATTGTTCGTTCCTCTCGTCCAGAGTTGTTCATTCCTCCTGGTGGGTTCGTGGTCTTCCTGGCTTCAGGAGTGAAGCTGCAGACCTTCGCAGCGAGTGTTACACCTCATAAAGTCAGTGCGGACCCAAAAACTGAGCAGCAGCAAAACTTATTGCAAAGAACAAAAGAACAAAGCTTCCACAGCGTGGAAGAGGACGCGAGTGGGTTGCCACTGCTGGCTCATGCAGCCTCCTTTTATTCCCTTATCTGGCCCCACCCACATCCTGCTGATTAGTCCATTTTACAGAGAGCTGATTGGTTGGTTTTACAGAAAGCTGATTGGTCCATTTTGACAGGGTGCTGATTGGTGTGTTTACCATCCCTGAGCTAGACACACAAGTTCTCCAAGTCCACACTAGATTAGCTAGACACAGAGCACTGATTGGTGCATTTACAAACCTTGAGCTAGACACAGGGTGCTGATTGGTGTATTTACAATCCCTTAGCTAGACATAAAGGTTCTCCAAGTCCCCACAGATTAGCCAGATACCGAGTGCTGATTGGTGCATTCACAAACCTTGAGCTAGACACAGAGTGCTGATTGGTGCATTTACAAACCTTGAGCTAGACACAGGGTGCTGATTGGTGTATTTACAATCCCTTAGCTAGACATAAAGGTTCTCCAAGTCCCCACAGATTAGCCAGATACAGAGTGCTGATTGGTGCATTCACAAACCTTGAGCTAGACACAGAGTGCTGATTGGTGCATTTACAAACCTTGAGCTAGACACAGTGCTGATTGGTGTATTTACAAACCTTGAGCTAGACACAGGGTGCTGATTGGTGTATTTACAAACCTTGAGCTAGACACAGAGTGCTGATTGGTGTATCTACAATCCCTTAGCTAGACATAAAGGTTCTCCAAGTCCCCACTAGACTCAGGAGCCCAGCTGGCTTCACCTAGTGGATCCTGCACTGGGGCTGCAGGTGGAGCTGCCCGCCAGTCCCGTGCCGTGTGCCTGCACTCCTCAGCCCTTGGGTGGTCGATGGGACCGGGTACCGTGGAGCAGGGGGCAGCGCTTGTTGGGGAGGCTCCGCTGAGCAGGAGCCCACAGCGTGGGGGAGTCTGGCACGTGGCAGGCTGCAGGTCTGGAGCCCTGCCCTGCAGGGAGGCAGCTGAGGCCCAGCAAGAATTCGAGCGCAGGGCCGGCACTGCTGGGGGACCCAGCGCACCCTCTGCAGCTGCTGGCCTGGGTGCTAAGCTCCTCACTGCCTGGTGCCGGCGGTGCCGGCCGGCCACTCTGAGTGCGGGGCCTGCAGAGCCCACACCCACCCTGAACTCGCACTGGTCCGCAAGCACGGGCGCAGCCCCAGTTCCCGCCTGGGCGTCTCCCCATACACCTCCCTGCAAGCAGAGGGAGTCGGCTGCGACCTCAGCCAGCCCAGAGAGGGGCTCCCATAGTGCAGTGGAGGGGTGAAGGGCTCCTCAAGCACGGCCAGAGTGGGCCCCGAGGCGCAGGAGGCGCCGAGAGTGAGCAAGGGCTGCCGGCACGCTGTCACCTCTCAGTTCTATGTTCAGATTTTTGAGGAATCTCCATACCATTTTCCATAATGACAGTACTAATTTTTATTCCCACCAACAATGCGTTACAAAGGTTCCCTTTTCTCTACATCCTCACCAATACTTACCTTTCTTCTTTTTGATAAGAGCCATTCTAACAGGTGGGAGTGGTATCTCATTGCAGTTTTAATTTGCATTTCCCTGATGATTAGTAATGTTGAGCATTTTTTTTTTCATGAACCTGATGACCACTTTTATGTCTTCTTTTGAGAAGTGTCTGTTCAGGTTCTTTGTCCATTTTGTAATTGGGTTATTTGTTTTCATGCCATTGAGTAGTTTGAATTCCTTATATATTTTGGATACTAACCTTCATTACATATATAATTTGCAAATATTTTTTCCCACTCTGTGGGTTGTCTCATCACTTTGCTAGTTGTTTTCTTGTGCAGAAGCTTTTTAGTTTGATGCAATCTTGTCTGTCTTTGCTTTTGTTGCCTGAACATTTGGGGTCCTATCCAAAGAAATCCTTGCCCAGACCAATGTCATGAAGCCTTTCCCTTATGTTATTTTCTAGTAGTTTTACAGTTTCAGGTCTTATATTTTAAGTCTTTCATTCATTTTGAGTTGACTTCTATGCATGTGTAAGATAGGGATCTAATTTTATTCTTTTGCATGTGGAAATCCAGTTTTCCCAGCACCATTTACTGAAGAGATGATCCTTTGCCCATTGTATTTTTTTGATTCCCTTGTCAGAAATTAGTTGACCAGCTGGGTGCAGTGGCTCACACCCGTAATCCCACACTTTGGGAGGCTGAGGTGGGCAGATCACCTGAGGTCAGGAGTTTGAGATCAGCTTGGCCAACATGGTAAAATCTCATCCCTACTAAAAATACAAAAATTAGCCGGATGTGGTGGTGGGCACCTGTAATCCCAGCTACTCGGGAGGCTGAAGCATGAGAATCACTTGCACCAGGAGGCGGAGGTTGCAGTTAGCTGAGATCATGCCAATGCACTCCAGCCTGGGCGACAGAGCGAGACTCTGTCTCAAAAAAAAAAAAAAAGTTCGTTGATTATCTGTGTTTGGATTTATTTTGGGACTCTGTATTTGATTCCACTGGTCTATGTGTCTGTTTTTATGCCAGTATCAGACTGTGTTGGTTACTATAACTTTGTAATATAAATTTAAATCAGGAAGTTTCATGTTTCCAACTTTTTTTTTTCAGAATTGCTTTGGCTATTTGGGGTTTTTTTTGTGGTTCCATGTGAATTTTAGGATTTTTTTCCTATTTCTGTGAAAAATGATACTGGAATTTCAGTAGAGAGCAAAACATTTTTTATCATATTGACTGCATTCTCTTACCTCAGTACAATAATTCAAAATTAATAAAAAAATAGGCAACAAAGGATATATTTCTAGAGATTAAAAAACCTTCTAAAAACTTAAAAATCAAAAAATTATAACAATGATAATTACCAACAGTAGTTGAGCTTTTATGATGTGCCAGACATTCTTCCATGCATTTTACATGTTTAGCTCATTTAATCCTGATAGGACCCCAAGTAAGAACTGTCATTATTTCCACTTTACAGATAATGAAACTGAGGAACAGTGTGATTCTGCCCAGAGGCAGAACACATCCTTTTTAACACAATCCCAAACTGCTTCTTCACTTAGAAAATAATATGTAACTGAGGCCAGGGGTGTGGCTCATGCCTGTAATCCCAGCACTTTGGGAGGCTGAGGCGGGAGGATCATGAGGTCAGGAGTTTGAGATCAGCCTGACCAACATGGTGAAACCCCATCTCTACTAAAAATACAAAAATCAGCCGGGCGTGGTGGCGTGCACCTGTCATCCCAGCTACTCAGGAGGCTGAGGCAGGAGAATCGCTTGAACTTGGGAGGCGAAAGTTGCAGTGAGCCAAGATTGTGCCACTGCACTCCAGCCTGGGTGACAGAGCGAGACTCTGTCTCAAAAAAAAAAAATAAGTAACTGAATGATCATGAGAAGTATAATATGCAGAACACATCGAAAGTGTAGTAAGTACATAGCCATAAAAAAGAACAAAACCACATACTTTGCAGCAACATGGATATAGCTGGAGGCCATAATCCTAAGCGAATTAACGCAGGAACAGAAAACAAAATACCTCATGCTCTCATTTGTAAGTAGGAGCTAAACTTTGAGCACACATGGACATAAACGTGGGAACAACAGACACTGTGGACTACTAGAGCGGGGAGGGAAGTAGGGGAAGTGGACTGAAAAACTCTCTATTGGATACTATGCCACTACCTGGGTGGTGATGGGATCCACACCCCAAACCTCAGCATCATGCAATCTACCCACGTAACAAACCTGCCATGTACCCCTTGTATCTAAAATAAAAGTTGAAATTTTTCAAAAAGTGTAGTAAGTGGGAGGTGTATAATCTCAGATGCTTGTATCTTAGTAAAAAAGAAACGACTGAAAAGTAATGACATAAACACTCAACAGAGTAAACCCCAAAATAGTAGATACAAGGAATTAATAGAAAGCATAAGTTGATGAAATGATAGAGAAGATTGTAAAGCCTAAAGCTGATTGACTGTAAAAACAAATAAAATGGAATGACTTGCAAGCAAGATTGAGTAGAAAAAATGAGATAAAGCACACACACAAATACACTAGGACTAAAATGAGTCATTGCAAAGAGGGAATAGAGGTTTTGAAAACCCTACGAGAATGCTGTTCACAACTTAATGACAATTGAAAAAAAAAGATAAAATGGACATTTTCCTAAAATAAATGTAACATATCAAAAGAGACTTGAACAGAAAACTTGCATACATCAATAATCATGCTTCCATGATTTTATCAGCAGTTAAAAATCAAACCATCAAAAACGCAATCTTACAAAGAAATGTTACATGTATAACAAATGGTTTTCTGAATAATCTAATAACTTTTTAAACAGAAAAAGAGGAATGTTTCCCAACTTATCTTATGAACACATATAATTTTGAACAGAACAATACAAAAATAAATTATAAGCCAATTTCATTTGTGGATATAGTTACAAAATCCTAAATAAATTTTGGCCAACATAGTTCTAGCAATATATAAATAAGAATATATCATGAACAAGTTGGATTTATCTCAGAGTGCAAAGATAGTTTAAAATCAGAAAATTTTGCCCTCTCCCTCTCCCCACGGTCTCCCTCTCCCTCTCCCTCTCTTTCTACGGTCTCCCTCTCCCTTTCTTTCTACGGTCTCCCTCTCCCTCTCTTTCCACGGTCTCCCTCTGATGCCCAGCCGAAGCTGGACTGTACTGCTGCCATCTCGGCTCACTGCAACCTCCCTGCCTGATTCTCCTGCCTCAGCCTGCCGAGTGCCTGCGATTGCAGGCGCGCGCCACCACACCTGACTGGTTTTCGTATTTTTTTGGTGGAGACGGGGTTTTGCTGTGTTGGCCAGGCTGGTCTCCAGCTCCTAACCGCGAGTGATCCGCCAGCCTCGGCCTCCCGAGGTGCCGGGATTGCAGACGGAGTCTTGTTCACTCAGTGCTCAATGGTGCCCAGGCTGGAGTGCAGTGGCGTGATCTCGGCTCGCTACAACCTCCACCTCCCAGCCGCCTGCCTTGGCCTCCCAAAGTGCCGAGATTGCAGCCTCTGCCTGGCTGCCACCCCCTCTGGGAAGTGAGGAGCGTCTCTGCCTGGCCCCCCATCGTCTGGGATGTGAGGAGCCCCTCTGCCTGGCTGCCCAGTCTGGAAAGTGAGGAGCGTCTCTGCTCGGCCGCCATCCCATCTAGGAAGTGAGGAGCGCCTCTTCCCAGCCGCCATCCCATCTAGGAAGTGAGGAGCGTCTCTGCCTGGCCGCCCATCGTCTGAGATGTGGGGAGCGCCTCTGCCCCGCCACCCCGTCTGGGATATGAGGAGCGCCTCTGCCCGGCCGCGACCCCGTCTGGGAGGTGAGGAGCGTCTCTGCCCGGCCGCCCCGTCTGAGAAGTGAGGAGACCCTCTGCCTGGCAACCGCCCCGTCTGAGAAGTGAGGAGCCCCTCCGCCCGGCAGCTGCCCCGTCTGAGAAGTGAGGAGCCCCTCCGCCCGGCAGCCACCCCGTCTGGGAAGTGAGGAGCGTCTCCGCCCGGCAGCCGCCCCGTCCGGGAGGGAGGTGGGGGGGTCAGCCCCCCGCCCGGCCAGCCACCCCATTCTGGAGGTGAGGGGCGCCTCTGCCCGGCCGCCCCTACTGGGAAGTGAGGAGCCCCTCTGCCTGGCCACCACCCCGTCTGGGAGGTGTACCCAACAGCTCATTGAGAACGGGCCATGATGACAATGGCGGTTTTGTGGAATAGAAAGGGGGGAAAGGTGGGGAAAAGATTGAGAAATCGGATGGTTGCCGTGTCTGTGTAGAAAGAGGTAGACATGGGAGACTTTTCAGTTTGTTCTGTACTAAGAAAAATTCTTCTGCCTTGGGATCCTGTTGATCTGTGACCTTACCTCCAACCCTGTGCTCTCTGAAACATGTGCTGTGTCCACTCAGGGTTAAATGGATTAAGGGCGGTGCAAGATGTGCTTTGTTAAACAGATGCTTGAAGGCAGCATGCTCGTTAAGAGTCATCACCACTCCCTAATCTCAAGTACCCAGGGACACAAACACTGCGGAAGGCCGCAGGGTCCTCTGCCTAGGAAAACCAGAGACCTTTGTTCACTTGTTTACCTGCTGACCTTCCCTCCACTATTGTCGTATGACCCTGCCAAATCCCCCTCTGCGAGAAACACCCAAGAATGATCAATAAAAAAAATAAAATAAAATAAAATCAGAAAATTTTGTTTATTTTGTCATACCAACAAATTGAGAAAAAATGGGAGCATCATGGGAAATACAGAAATAGCTCTTGATAAAATTCAACATCACTTCATGATAACATTTTGTTTTTACCAAAACAGGAGTAGAAGAGGACTTTCTTAACCTATTTTTTATTTCCCAAGAAAACAAAAACCTGAAACAAATTTGGCAAAATTTCAGATAAAGCCGAATAGTGGGCCCACAGGTGTTTGTAATATAATTCTCTGAACTTGTTTTTTTGTTTGTTTGTTTGTTTTTGGATCACCTGGATGTTAAATGAAAAAATAATTGAAATAATGGAGGAAGTGATAATGTAGAAAATTCATAAAATGAGACACTGATGAAAGGACAGAAAATAAATGATACCAAAAAATTAAGTGAAAGGGAATAAGATGACTATTGTTCATACCACATTTTACATGGTTAGACAATAAATATATGAAGGGTTCAAAGAAACGGACAATAGCAAAGAAGAGATGAAAATTTACAAGAAATAGAGAAAGAAATGAGAACAAAAGAAGGCAATCTAAATGAAAAGTAGAATGAAACAAAAAGGCAATTTGAAGCTAATAGAATAGATTTTTGGAAACAAGGGGTGTTAATTTAAAAACGAAGAGGAGGAGGAGAAAAGAGACAACCCTCTTCCCAGTTCTGATAATATATTAAGCAAAACACTTCTTTTCAGGGTCAAGGGTTTCTTTCCCTCACCTGTAGTAGAGAACAAATTGCTACGCTCAAGTCATTTTTTTTTTTTTGGATGTTGAAATGACTGGTGTGTAATATTTTTTAAAGCCTTCATTTTTGGTCAGCGTAAGTTTCCTTTAATTATTTTTCCATTTCTAGTTGAATTTCATTTTGAGGCTTACCATATCAAAGTGAGTATAAAGTTCTACAATTTAGTCATTGTGGATTTCATGTCATTTATGATGAAAATGGAAATGTGTAGTTTACTTGAGAAAATTGTCTTCTTCTGTAACATCTGACTCTTCATCCTCATTATCATCTGCTTGCTGATCCTTTCTTAGTTGGTAGTGGATACCTGTCCTGTTCCAGATACACACTTAGCTGACATGATCTCTGGTGAGGTGACTTTGAATTTGCTCTTACCATATCTAAACGAGATGAATAATCTGGTGCATACAGGGAATTTAGGAAAACATGTAAATCTAAATCTTCATGCTTATCAATCTTTTGTATATTCTGGTAGGCAGCTGTGTAGACCTCTAAAGCTTTGCTGTGAAATAACATTTTGATTGTGATAAATTTGGAAAATATAGTCTTTATAGCCTTTATTTTCTGCCTTTCAAAGTTGTCAATAGTTTCCTCCAGATGATGACTTGTTCGGGTTGCATCCATTGCAGCTCTTTGTAATTCTGTGTCTGCCTTTGGTCCAAAGGAAGAAGGACCAAGCAATTGGCGCAGCCCCAAACCCCTGCTCCAGGGACTCCCTTCAGGAATGAGCCCCTCAGGCTCTCAAAGAGCCACTCCTCATGTGGTTTCTGGCTGAGCTGGGCAGTAACAACCTTAAAAAAACATTTTTTTTTTTTTGAGACAGAGTCTTGCACTGTCAGCCAGGCTGGAGTGTAATGGCGTGATCTTGGCTCACTGCAACCTCCACCACTGGATTCACACCATTCTCCTGCCTCAGCCTCCTGATTAGCTGGGATTACAGGCGCCCACCACCACGCCTGGCTAATTTTTTTTTTTTTTTTTTTTTGTATTTTTAGTAGAGATGGGATTTCACTATGTTGGCCAGACTGGTCTCGAACTTCTGACCTCGTGATCTGCCCGCCTCAGCCTCCCAAAGTGCTGGGATTACAGGCGTGAGCCACCATGCCTGGCCTAAAAAACGTTTTTTTTAAAGGTCGAAATTCAAAGGATACAATAACATGTCGATCAGATGAGGTGGGTTTCGCTGACCTGTTCCTTCTACCTGAGTTAATTGCTTAGCTTCTCGATTCCTTGCTGTGAATGTTGCTTTGGGGTCATCCCGTTTCATTTTTACAATGGTTACATAAGCTTTCCAGGGTTCAACTACTTTGGCTTCAAGTCTTTCAACCTCTGCTTGTCAATAATCCTGAAGTTTGGCAAACTCATCAGCAAAGTTCATCAGGCCCAGCCTTAGATGTGGGGCCTCTGTAGCGGCATATGAGTTGATTTCATTCATCCTCGGTCCACTTTGTCTCGCAGTCTGGCAGTTTTCCGCACATAGGCAGCAAAGACTTGGCACAGTTCTCCCAAATGCTTCTCCATATTTGAGACAGCTGCTTGCAGTTGCTTGGTTTGAGCGTTCCGGTTTTCCAGTGTGCATCTCAACATCTTGCCTGGCGCACAACCAGGGGACCCAGGGGAGCCAAAGCCGGGGACTCTAAGGTGCCTGGGTGCGCGCTGGGGTGCGAGCCGCCCTCACATCATGATTCTGTGGTTCTGTGATGACTGATGACCTCTTTGTGAAGTCAGAGAGCTGTCGGCCAGGCAACATCTCTAAGTGGGGATGGAGGCAGCCATCTGCTGGTTGTAATTTTGGGGCAAAAGAACAGATAGCTACACTGTCCCCAAAATATCACACGCATGGAAGGATGTTGGAAATTAATGTTGGTAAAAAGAAAGTATATGAAAATGTCTTTATAAATTATAACATGCTATATAAGTGGCATTACAGTGATCAAAGGTAAAGCAACACATATTATAAGGATAAGATAAAATTTGATTACATAAGCACCTTAGCAGGCCTTAGGACATAAGAGGCTTCATCCATTTCTTCCTCCTTCCTGAGTGCCTGCAGGAGATGAATGAGACACAGTTTCCGCTCCCACAGAGCTTGCAATCTTTTAGGGGCAACCGGGTACTTACGCATGACGCCAGGCAGACAGTGATGAGTGCCATGAGAGCAACGGCTGCCTCCTATAGGGACAGAAAACACTTTCTCTCTACTCTCTGAGTTTTCATAATTGACTCCAGGACAGTAGGCAGATGAACAGGAGAAAAAAACATGCACATTTATTACACGGATGGGAGCAGCACGAGAAACAAAAGTGAGTACCCAAAACCCAGTGAAATTGACAAGCTTATCTACTTCTTCATAAAGAAGAGGGGATCGGGCATGTAGGCTGCTTAGGGGAGAATAAGTGCTTTTTGGGGAAGACGAACAGGCGATAGCCTATGGCGATGTCTGTGAGTGGCCCGGACCCCCAGTCTCTTCTCCTATGATACAGTGAATCTTGTCTCTGGAGGAGAAACTGAGTTCCTTTTTAGATCTATCTTTAAGGAGACAAGGAAAGTTCAGGGACAGCCCCTCCCTGTGCTTAGGGGAGAAAGAGGAGCGAGACACAAGGGCAAGAGAAGGTCAGAGAGATCTTAGTGCTGAGGCCATTGCTGAAGCCTTCCAATCTCCTCCAGTTCAAAGTACTCTGCAGGCCAGAGCGCCATATGTTCAGGTAGCTTTTTCTGAGCCCCAGCAATGGTCGGCTGTGACATCCAGGAAGGCTCTGAAGAGGACGTGGCATTCACCTGGCTCTTGAAGGACAGGGAATACTTGAAAAGAAAAAGATAGACAAAGGACTCAGACAAAAGAAATAGTTCTCTTTCTCTCACGTAACACTTGGATAACTTTGCCAGTCATCCATCCCTGCCTTGAGGGAATTGAACAGAGAGCAGGCCAATTCGGAAGAAGAGATGAAAGTCTGTTGTGGAGAGCCCCTTAAGGGTCCTTGAACATGTAGGACCAGCCAGAGGATAACGGGGTGTGCAGGTGTCCATCTAAGCACCACAGCTTAGTTGGGAGCAATCTTGGAATTCCAAGCCTCAGATCCCCACAGCCCTTTCTTCTCATCCCGCCTCTGGCAATGCCTAAACAGGAAACAATCCAGGGGAGGCACCGGCCCAGCCCCTCCCACCCAGGGACAGGCGAGAGCTGGTGTGTCAGCCTGTATCTCCACACTGGTGCCCCTGCTCAGAGGAATTGATTTATTCATGTAAAACTATCTCCATAGCCCAAAGCAAGCTCATTTATTTATCAATAATTTGAAAAGGAAAGTAGAAATCTTTCATGGGACTACTTCAGAATATTTCATAATGTTACCTCCCAAAAACTGGGGCTTATTTGCCTGGTGAGTAACAAACGACTCTCCAGGAGAACTCAGATTTTGATCAATAGGCATTGTGTTACTTGGCACAAGTAAGACACACACGGGAAGTGTTCTCCAAAGCCGTATCTTCCCAAGGGAAAGTGACAGGAGGGTTTGATGGAGTGATAGAGAAGGGAGAGGTGCATCATGGCATGTGTATGGGGGGGGGGGTCCCAGTGGCCCAGACCCCCCCTCTACATGCCATGATGGGTCACAGGTTATGATAATAAAGCTATAGCTCCTCTAGGGGAGGAGGGCTTTAGCATGGCATGAAGAAACTTCACTGGGGTTCATCTATAAGTTGCTGGGGTCTGTCAGTTGCTGGTTCCAACCAGCAAGGCGACTGCATTCCACACAGGCTGCAGGGCAAGAGGCTGTAAAACAGGCTGCTTCCTCAGGTTGATTATTCATTTCCTAAAATCCCTGGAAACCCTGTCTGTCTGCTTACAAAAGTACAGTGAATCCTTCATTTATGTGATCAGAGTTCATAGTATCTCCAGTCTGCATGCTTCGGATGACCACTCTGAACAGTGATGTTGCTTATAGAGCCAAGGTACGGAGTTCTCCCAATCTGTGCTGCTTGGTCAATGATTGGCAGTAACTTCCCCCGCCAGGTTGATAGAGAACTGCAATGGGAAACTTGCCTTGAAGAACAGATTTCCCTAAGGGAATCAGTGCTAAAGAACTGGTACATTATGAACGTGTTCTTTAGCAAAGCTTGTAAAGTATTTCAGAGGCCAAGGTGTATCAGGGTGTCGACAGGTATGAAACATGTTAAAGGTCTTGAGTGGCTGATGGTCCAGATCTTGTTAGCATCTCTCCTTAGAAAGGCAAACTCAGGGCCCACCCTACACCTCGATTTCCAGGTGATGCATATGCAGGCTAAAGTTGAAGACGTCTTGGTTTAGATATCTTTGAGAGGAAGTCGTAAGTCACCCTCCTCAACCACCTAGGAATGTTTCCTAGGAGAAAGAAAGTTGAACATTGCTATTTTTTTTACTCTGATGTTAATGTTGATATCAAACAGGTCAAATATTAATAATTTTCCTTTAATATACTTGATTCTACTAGTTACACCATTTACTTATAATACCTAATGCAATGTAAACGTTATGTAAGTAGTTGTTACCCTGTATTGTTTAGGAAATAAGGCCAAGAAAAAAGTCTGTACATTTTCAGTACAGATGCAACCATCCATTTTTTTTTCTACATATTTTTGATCCCTGGTTGGTTGAATCCATGGATGCGGAACCCCCAGATACAGAGGGCCAACTGTATATTTAAATTTAAATTAAGCTCTAGTTTGCAATATTCACACTATGACAGTGTAGTAAAAATCAACACAAAGCTGGGTGCAGTGACTCACACCTGTAATCCCAGTACTTTGAGAGGCTGAGGTGGGAGGACCACTTGAGGCTGGGAGTTTGAGACCAGCCTGGGCAACATAGTGAGACCCCACTTTCCCCCACAAAAATCAACACAATACTTCTGATTGCATGATTGTTAAAAGTAAAGTAACACCTTAAAAAAGCCCCAGCTTATACTATGTAGCCGTAAAAAATGTTGAGTTCATGTCCTTTGTAGGGACATGGAAGAAGCTGGAAACCATCATTCTCAGCAAACTATCGCAAGGACAAAAAACCAAACACCGCATGTTCTCACTCATAGGTGGGAATTGAACAATGAGAACCCTTGGACACAGGAAGGGGAACATCACACACTGGGGCCTGTTTGGGGTAGGGGAAGGGGGGAGGGACAGCATTAGGAGATATACCTAATGTAAATGACGAGTTAACGGGTGCAACACACCAACATGGCACATGTATACATATGTAACCTGCACGTTGTGCACATGTACCCTAGAACTTAAAGTATAATAAAAAAAAAAATATATATATATATATAAAAAGCCCCAGCTTGTTATATCTTATTTTCCTCATTCAAAGTCTATTCATTAAATGGCTGAGTGGGAATAAATATCATTCCTAATTTTAAGATCCAATGACAGGTAATTAATGAACTATACTATACATGATTTTCATATTTATAGACATCTGTCACTTTACATTTTGTTAGTCTTACCATATGTGCTGCTTTGTTTTAATTCCAGTACTTAAGTTTATGAACATATACTGTGAAAATGTAGCTGTAACATCATCAAATTGGTTATCAGAGTCTTTCTTGCTGATCAGCTTTCTATTTTTAAAGGGTAATTGTTGCAAATATTAAACTTATCCTAGAATCTTATTCCTCTTTTTAAAAAATATTTGCTGTGCACTTTTTTAAGTTTCTTCTATCTAGACTCGTTCTATCACCTAGGCTGGAGTGCAATGGTGCAGTCTTGGCTCACTGCAAGATTCAAGCAATTCTCCTGCCTCAGCCTCCCAAGTAGCTGGGATTACAGGCATGTGCCACCACACCTGGCTAATTTTGTATTTTTACTAGAGACGGGGTTTCTCCATGTTGGTCAGGCTGGTCTCAAACTCCTGACCTCAGGTGATCCGCCCTTCTCGGTCTCTCAAAGTGCTGGGATTACAGGCGTGAGCCACCGCGCCCAGCCCTTATGTTTCTTAAATTCAGTCTAAAAATATACCCCCCAGCACTGGATATGTGGCTGTACTTACATAATATTTATACTTGGTATCATCATTTAACATGTGAAATGTGTTAATAATTTCTAGAACTTCTGCCTGATGAGGAAGACTTTTTCGATTCCTAATCATCACTAATTTTGGTTTCACTGCTCGAGACACACTCCAGGGGTTGAGAAATGCCCTTTTAGGTTCTGTCTTTCATTGCTAAGTGCAGCATCCAAATTAATTATTGTGTATTTAGTCTGAGTAGAGTTGTTTTTCTCATTTTGAGCTTCTCTTCAATATCACCATAGATTGGGTTTAATTCTCTAAATCCATATTGGATTTGAATCAGCCCTGAAGGCAGCGACAGTACTAGACACATTTTTTTTTTTTTAAGTTTTAGCAACAAAGACAACAATCCCCAAACTATTCTTGAAAAGTCTATTTTTGATATAAATTAGGGAAAGGAGATTCACTCAATAGAGAGACTGAATATACAAAATGAGCCATGGCCAGACCATATATAAAATGCTTCTGTAACAACTGGCCCTAAATGGCCAAGATTTGATTAATAACTGACAGCTTCCCTAACTTTTGTCCCTGCTTCCAACACCAAGTATGCCCCCCTAACCAATCACATAGGATGCTCGCCTCTAGCCAGCCCGCCTGCAGCTTCCCCAGGTCATGGTCTCCATCAGGGCACACCTGATGCCTTCTCTTTTTTCTACTCTGAAGCTTTCCCACTCCTCTGCCTTCCGTTGAGTCTCTGCAACAACGCAAGTAATAGTGGGTGATTCACTTGTTGTAGCAAGCTCTGAATGAACAACTTTTCATAGTTCTCATTTGATTGGTCTTCTTTTAATTTCTACACAATGCATTAAGTGTATATTGAATGTCCTCTATAAATATGCATTCTGGTGGAGAAGGCCTAAGACCGGGACTCAACAGAGCAGACAATCTAGCTTCCCAACTGAAGGAAACAATAACTGAACAGTTTTTGAGGGAATCATATAAAATATGAGTCAGATTATCATAAACTGTGACTGATTTTTGCTGCACTATGAACTTCTTTAGGGTGGACACCATGACAAAATGCTCAGACTGACTTAAACAAAAGTGGGAGGCTACCGTTTCACACAAGTCAGATGTGCAGTTGAGTATGGCCTGACCGAGAGAAGGAATTGTGTCAGCAGGATTCTTTTCTCCACAGTGCTGCTTCTAGCTTGGTTCCCCTGCCAGGTGTTTATGGCAGCATCTCCTGACTTCAACTCCCAGAATCTCTGGGATTCCCCATCCTGGTTTCAAGATGCTGCAGAGGAAGCCCACTGCAAGCTTCACGTCTTTGGAGCAGCGAATTCAATAAAGAGTGCAGGACCCTATTTCCCAGAGCCTCAGCTAAGTCTTCATGTCCTCTTGGCTTCACTTGGGTTAAATTCCCAACCCTAACACAGTCATGTGGCAAAGGAGATGGGAAACGGTCATTGGCTTGAGCCAATGTGAACTCACTCTTGTCCCATGAAGGAAGGCACTAGTCATATCTCTTTATGCTCCAAAATTTAGCCCAGTGCTCTCAGTAAATGACTCTTTTTTATGTTATGAAAGAAAACCAAGAAGGGTTGGTTTGGTGGGAAGATGAACTCAGAGCTTTGGTAGGGAAGGAGTGAGACCCCAAGGCTTAGGTTGGGGACAATAGGTAGATGCAATCGAGAGCTCTCACTGTAATATTCTCTGGAATCCTTGAACTTCAGAAGTGGCCCACATGGCCTAATTGGAAGATAGTGGGCCCTTCTTACTTGAAGACCAGATAGTGAGACAGTGCCTTATAAGACAACATCTGTCTTCCTCAGGATCTGCTCTACCTCCACTCCCAGCCACAAAATTCATAATTAAGGTCAGATGTCAGCACAACCTAACAGGGAAAGCAGAGCCTGCTAAGGGAGAAGAGGGATTCTACACCCAAGCAGCTCAGAACCTGGCTGATGTGTACTGGCAAGAACTGGTGAGTATGCCTGGAAGTGAATCTCCATGGTGCTGGACCAAAAGGTTGGAATATAAAACTGGATAAGAGAGAGTTTCTCTATAAGGGGGCACTCCTCTTTCACTCAGAATTAGCTACCTGGCAAGGGTCCCAGGATGTGGGTCTCATACACCGCTTGGATAAGTCCTGGAAACTTGCAGAAAGTGTTGGCCTACAAAAAAATGAAGTAAAGATGGCAGAACTACCAGCACTGACTGTGGAGAAAAGAATCAAGAGGCTTGGAGAAGTGGACATGCTAGAATAGTTCTCCCACGGGAGGTCAGTTGACCATGCTCCTGGGGAGAACACTGCATGGATGCAGGTGATAAGGAATGCACTGGTGAGTTTGGAGTCCTAATTAGGGAAAAGGAGTCAAGATGGTTGGGACCAGGGTAAAGCAAAAAAACAGATAAGCTGTAAGTTTGCCTTTCTTCATGGTCCAGGACACAGAGCCATCCTGTGCAAATAACTCACCATCTTCCTGCGCCCAGCTATCACCAGACACTCGGCTGATAGAAAAATGCAAGTTAGCTCACTGCGACCTTGGCATTATCAGTACCGCACAAAGCCCTCTTCAGCACACAGCACAAGCACCATCCTATAAAATCTCCAGCAAGCTTTTGTCTCCTTGCAGTCAGCTCCTCTCTTGCTGACTTGCCCATTGCTTTCCTGAAATACATTTTCCTACTTTTTCCAATAAATCTGCCTTTCTTTACCTAAAACTATCTTGATAAATTCTTTTTACCATCTGTGCCACCAGCCCTAGGCAGTTGCTACCCATGACAGTGAGGATACCAGCACACTGAGAAACTCAGTGGCAGCTGTCTTCTGTAGGTTGGGGCTGACAAGAGATGACACTACAGAACTGATCACACAGTAGCAGAGGCCAGCAGCACTTAATCGTCAGAAGCTAGATGGCATAATAAGGACAGTAAATCTGGAATGACAGTCAGGGGAGATCCAGGGAGGTGTTTCTAGAAACATGGTGTTTCTAGGGGAAAGATAAGTGGGCAGGCAACAAGGGCATTGTTTACAGGGTATCCTAAAAATCTTAGTGCAGTTTTAAGCTCTAAAGAGAGATCAAGAATGAATGATCAGTTTAAAATAACTGAAAGTATAATTGGATTGTTTGTAACACAAAGGATAAATGCATTAAGGAATGGAGACCCAATTTTATGTGATGTGATTAGTACTCACTGCATGCCTGTATCAAAACATCTCATGTACCCCATAAATATATACACCTACTGTGTACCCACAAAAATTAAAAAAAAAAAGAATGGATGATAAGGAGGCTAAAGTCAGCCATTCCTAGCGGGAAGTTATGCCTTCTTGCCCAATTTCAAGACCTAAGCCAGTTCTCAGACCCACAATTCATTGAGTAAAGAAAAGGTCCATACGGGTCCATGAGGAAGGATGCATTCATGCAGGATATACAGCATAGCCTATGCAGTATGGATTCCCCAGTGCTCCCAAAAGAAACTACAGCCACCTATGTAGGTGCTATACCTTGGAAAGAAGGGAACACCCAGATCTTATATCCAAGGCCCTTGAATAGAGCAATATCTAAGAAGTCAAATGTCACTGTGGCCTCCCTGTTAGAGAAATGCGGGTGTGAGAAAATAAATAAGGCAGTAGGCTCAGCATGGCCATGGGCAGCAGCGGTGGTGGTGGTAGAGGTGGAGATGGAGTCCTGGATAGGAGGACTGGGTGTTGTTCCTGGGCAGTGCAGGCCAGAGTGATGATTGTGACGTTTGGAATGATACAGCATTGATAGAAGCTTATGATAAAGCCATGCTTCATTTAAGCCACCATTCACAAGAATGACATTTGTGAAACTTCAGATAACCAAATGTCACACCTAAAAGAAAACCCAAGAAGAATAAGAGCCAAAAATAGAATATGCAACTCTCTTGAAACACAGGAAAGCTGGTGGCGCATGTTCTGCCATTAGGTCAGAAGACAGCTGCCTTCACCCAGCTACATCATTGCTTCAGTTGATTGTATTTTATTTTTATTGTTATTATTTTGAGACAGCATCTTGCTCTGTCACCCAGGTTGGAGTGCAGTGGCACCATCACAGCTCACTGCAGCCTCCACCTCTCGGGCCCAACCGATCCTCCTGCCTCAGCCTCCCGAGTAGCTGGGACTTAATTTTTATTTTTCGTAGAGACAGATTCTCACTACATTGCCCAGGCTGGTCTTGAACTCCTGGGCTCAAGCGGTTCTCCCGCCTCAGCCTCCCAAAGTGCTGGGATTACGGGCGTGAGCCACCACAGCCTGAGCCACTTAGGTTGATTTTAACGGAAAAACCCATGTTGCGGTGTACACTGGATATGGAAATGGAGAAGAGCAAAATCTGCCTGATCTACTACTTTCCCCAACCTCTGAAGTAGCTAATAATATAGAATAGAACACTCGAGAGAATGAAAGTCAAGTTCCAATGGATGAAAATGAGAACTCCAGGTCTCCTGGAAATAAACCAAATAACACCAAATCAAAAGCTACTCCATGAAACTCTTTTCTCCTTCTGCCACCCCCATGCCAGGGTCAGGACTGAGACCAGGAAAGCCAGGTCTAAAATTCAATGTTCCTCCACCAGCACCCCATTTCCTGTCATGCTGGCTGCCTCCATTTCCCTCTGGACCATCAGTAATTCCTCCACTCCCACCTCTCATATGTCCAGAGTCTCTTAATGATGCTTTGCTTTGGGAAGTGTGATCATCTCTTGGTACCTAACTGGCTATCATACTGGCTATTATATGGTGTGATGGTTAATATTAGATGTGAACTTGATTGGACTGAAGGATGCCTAGACAGCTGGTAAAGTATTGTTTCTGGGTGTGTCTGTGAGGGTGTTGCTAGAGGAGACTGACGTTTGAGTCGGTGGGCCGGGAGAGGAAGACCCACCCTCAATGTGGGTGGGCACCATCCGATCAGATGCCAGTGCCACAGGTGGGAGGGGGTGGGATAACCTTGCCTGCTGAGTCCTCTGGCTGCCCTCCGTCTCCTGTGCTGGGTGCTTCCTCCTACTTCTCCTGCCCTTGGACATTAGACTCCAGGTTCTTTGGACTCTGGGACTTGCATAGTGGCTTGCTGGGGGCTCTTGGGTCTTTGGCCACAGACTTTCAGTCTGCATAGGGCTGCATAATCAGCTTCCCTGGTTTGAGGCTTTCAGACTCGGACTGAGCCACTACCAGCTTCTCTCTTCCCCAGCTAGAAGACAGCTTATCATGGGACTTCACCTTGTGATTGTGTGAGCCAATCCTCCCTGATAAACTCTCTCATAGGAAGAACTGACTCACACAATCACATACGCAATACATGATATGTATATGATATATATATATAATATTAACATAAACGGTGTGTGTGTGTGTGTGTGTGTGTGTGTGTGTGTGTATATAACCCATCTATATACATATACATATATCCTACTAGTTCTGTCCCTCTGGAGAACCTTGACTAATACATATGAGGGTTTTTTTTATGTGTTTGTTTGTTTGTTTTTTGAGATGGGTGGTGCAATCTAGTCTCACTGCAACCTCTGCCTCCTGGGCTCAAGCAATTCTCCTGCCTTAGCCTCCCAAGTAGCTGGGATTACAGGCATGCGCCACCACGCCTGGCTAATTTTTGTATTTTTAGTAGAGGCAGAGTTTCATCATGTTGCCCAGGCTGGTCTTGAACTCCTGGCCTCAAGTGATCTGCCCACCTCAGCCTCTCAAAGTGATGAGACTACAGGTGTGAGCCACCATGTCTGGCATGAGGCACCGCGCCTGGTGAGTTTCAAAATAAAAATAAAAAAGAAAGGTGCTCGCATGTCAATTAAGGAGTAATTCTGCTATGATTATAAAAGTGAATCTTACTTTTGCATACATTTTATGGTTTGTGGAAAACAAATGTTTTACAATATTTAAAAAATCGGATTGTTAAATAGTTGAAAAGTTAATGTAAAACAACATTAAAGGGATTTTGATGCCAAAACTATTAAATAAAAAATTGATCTACATCCACCCCAGAATTCTCATGGTGTCAAAGTATCATCTTACCAAAGATTTGCTGATTGGTTTTGTGGGCACAACATACGTTTACAATGAAGAGATCCTTAGGATCTAATGACATTGCATCACCAGGAGTCAGACAACCAGACATGCTTTTTCATTTGTCATGTAGTGTGCACCTATGATGTGTTCTTATCAAAAGAGTTCAACTGGAATTTAGTCGAGCTTTTAGATCTAATTTCCCATTTGCAGAAGATACTGAGGCTAGAACAACAAGTTAAATGACACCATTAAAGAAATGATCAGATAGGTTCAGAATGTGGAATGTTGTAGAGATAACTGGCCTCATTTCTTCAAAATATCAGCATTCGGGAAGAAGAAGAAGGAGGTGGAGTGGGTAACTCTTCTATACTCAAAGTTACTTAAGGCCAGGCAGGGTGGCTCAAGTCTTTGGGAGGCTGAGATGGGAGAAGCACTTGAGGCCAGGAATTTGAGACCAGCCTGGGCAACATAGCCAGAACCCATTCTCTAAAAAAATTCTTAAAAAATTAGCCAGGCATGATGGTGAATGCCTGTAGTCCCAGCTGCTCAGGTGGCTGGGGTGGGAGGATCTCTTGAGCCCAGGAGTTCCAGATTGCAGTGAGCTATGATTGCGCCACTGCCCTACAGCCTAGGTGACAGAGCAAGACACTGTCTCTAAAAAAATAAAAATAAAAGTTACTTAGGAGACTTAACAACTAAATGCAATGTGCAGTCTTTGATTGGAACCCATGCTTTTTTGTTGTTGTTGTTTGTTTTTTGAGACAGGGTCAGGCTGGAGTGCAGTGGCGCGATCTTGGCTCACTGCAACCTCTGCCTCCTGGGTTCAAGTGATTCTCCTGTCTCAGTCAGCCAAGTAGCTGGGTGCACGCCACTATGCCTGGCCAATTTTTGTATTTTTAGTAGAGATAGTGTTTCACCATGTTGGCCAGGCTAGTCTCGAACTCCTGACCTCAGGTGATCTGCCCGCACCAAAGTGCTGAGATTACAGGTGTGAGCCATTTCGTCCAGCCTGAAGCCTGGTTTTAAAAGTCATCTGTAAAAGACCTGGGCAAAGGGCCACTGAAGAAATTTGAATATGGACTAGATTTTAAATGATATTAGACAATTATTGCTAATTTATGAGCTGGGATAAGGGTATTGTAGTTTACAGAAGAATGTCTTTATAAATGTGCGTGCTGAAGTATTTAGGAGTGAAGTGTTAAAATGTCTCTAAGATATTTTCAAATGGTTTAGCAAAATGTGTGCATATGTGTGTGTGTGTCTGTGTGTGTAAAGTATATATGGCAAAATGTTAATGAACCTAATTGGTATATTTATGAATGTTCACTGTCCTATTTTTCTATTTTCTTTATGTTTAAAAGTCTATAATAAATTTTTTTTTCATAAAAAAAGAAAAGAAAGTCCTTGATAAAGTTTGTCTCTCATTGGGTCTATGCATCCTGCCACCCACAACACCGGGTGTCATTTCCTTAGTCCCAGAATACATCAGTCTCCTAAGTAAGTTTTTCATTTTTATTCTTTTACAGACAAGTTCCCTTTTTGTTTTTTTGAAACAAGCTCTCACTCTGTTGCCCAGGCTGGAGCGCAGTGACTTGATCGTTGCTCACTGCACCACCAACTTCCCGGGTTCAAGTGATCCTCCCACCTCAATCTCCCAAATAGCTGGAATTACAGGCACACACCACCACGACTGGCTAGTTTTTTGTATTTTTAGTAGAGATGGGGTTTCACAATGTTGCCCAGGCTGGTCTTGAACTCCTGAGCTCAAGTAATCCACATGCCTCAGCCTCTCAAAGTGCTGGGACTACAGGTGTGAGCCACTGGGCCCAGCAGAGACAAGCTCTTGACCACATGTGGCAACTGGCAGACAGAATCCTACGTTGGTTCCTTGACTGTAGAATAAGAACTACCATAGTAGGAAAGGCCACCTGAAAGTTCCTGAAATTACCCCCTCTGACCTTGATAGTAAATATCTCATTCAGAGAGATAGCAGAGATGGGTGCCACCCTTGAAGACTTTAATAGTTCAAAGCTGGCGGTCCTTCTTGTAACTCCATTTAATTCACCAGTCTTGCCTCTGCAAAATCTAGGTGCATCATGGCAGATGACAGTGGACAATCACAAACTTAACCCTAATTTTAGCTGCTGTTCTGGATATGGTATCCTTACAGAGCAGATGAACCCAGGTTGGGTCTGTGGTATGCAGCTATTAATCTAGGAAGGGCATTCTTTCAATACCCTTTAGGAAAGCGCATTAGTTCTCATTTCCATGGGATGAACTGCGGTAGGCTTTCACTGTCTTGCCTCAGAATATCATCCTCCCATTCTAGTTTATTTCTATGAAATTTCAGCTTTCAGGAATGACAACAAGTATTTGATAGTCTGTCAGTTAGTTCTGCATATGAAGATAGAAGGTAGACCTTGAAAATATGTCAAGCTTTTTTGCTAAAGTCTACATTCACTGCTTTGTTGGATGCTAAGCCAACAAGCTTCAGACAAAGCTGTAAGACTGAGAGTTTCAAGGTGGCAGATAGTAGCAAAGATATTCCTATTAAATTACTGGCCACAAATCACTGGAAATCATAAAACGGTTGTTATGGGTATTAATGATGTCATAAAAATTGCCCAAAGACACTGAAGTCTTCTCTGATTGTCTCTCCGTTAAATACCTGGTGTGCCTCAGCATTCAAAAGCCGAGCATGCTCCTCCTTTTCTCCACACAGCGCAAACTTAGTGGTGGCCGTTTGATTATATTTACCTGTTTCACCATTTCCTTCAACACCTAATTTGGATCAAAAGGCATCTTTTTGTCCACCAACTGTTCTCCATAATTAAAGCAGTGGATGAATTGGCATTTAGGTGTATTCTTTCTCTTTCTCTCTCTTTTTTTTTTTTTCTAAATTGAGACAGGATCTCACTCTGTCACCCAGTCTGGAACACGGTGGTGCGATCACAGCTCACTTCAGCTTCGAACTCCTAGGTTCAAGTGATCCTCCCACCTCAGCTTCCCAAGTAGGAGCATACTTTCTGAGTAGGTATGCACCAGCATGCCTGGTTAAATGTTTTTTTTTTTTTTTAGATGATGTCTCACTCTGTCACCAGGCTGGAGTGCAGTGGCACAATCTTGGCTCACTGCAACCTCCCGCCTCCTGGGTTCAAACCATTCTCCTGCCTCAGCTTTCTGAGTAGCTGGGGTTACAGATGCCTGCCACCACGCCTGGCTATTTTTTGTATTTTTAGTAGAGATGGGGTTTTACCATGTTGGTCAGTCTGGTCTCTAACTCCTGACCTCAGGTAATCCACCTACCTCAGCCTCCCAAAGTGCTGGGATTATAGTGTGAGCCACTGCACCTGGCATTTTAAAAAAATTTTTTAATAGAAAAAAATTATTTTTTAATAGGGTCTTGCTATGTTGCTCGGGCTGGTCTGAAACTCCTGAGCTCAAGTGATCCTCCGGCCTTGGCCTCCCAAAGTGCTGGGATGACAGGCACCAGCCACCGCACCCTGCCACCTGAATTCTCTTTCACTCACATTCTATGTTCATGCATAGCAGATACTCTGTCAGCTCTGATCCCAAAGCCTTTTCAGTGACAAGTGCCCTACAGCTCACAAGATCATCATTAACAAAACAAGAAAATATCTGTTTATAGAGTCTGTGCTTTCAGAGATAAATAAGATCAAAAGCCGTAGAACATTATCCCCAAGGAAAACATGTACGCTAGAAGCAGCTTCATGCCCTGTTCCTCAGTTCTGTCCAGTCTTGGTGAGAAATATCTGCTAGCAAGAGGATGTGGTAGTAAAGACTCTTTCAATTTATCTGCCATATTATTCCGCTTTCTCTTTATGCATAATATTGGCCATTAACTTTGGGGCTGGTGTTGTTTGTTTCTTAATGTTCATGTCACTGATATCTCTTACTGCTACTACCTCTTCTCTGCCTTTAGTGATACAATTGATCGGTTTCATACTTGAAAAGCGATACTTTGCTTTTATTCCAGGAAACCTCATGTGGATGCTGGAAAGGTCACTGAGCTTGTGTGAAAGTGATACAAAAGTTTGGATGGCTTTGTGCCATTATGGGACAAAATTCAATACAGACAAAGCATGAAGGGCAAAAAGTGAATGGATCACTTGTCGAACGAAATCCAATTTTCAGATATTCATGATGCTATATCCTATTCACACTTTTCTTTTCCAATGCTTGTGTGAAATCGTCACCTTCACAGATTCACTTGTCCCAACATGTAAGAGTTCCCATTCCACATTTGTGCTGGAGTCTTGTTTATTATGTTTGTGTATGGTGTTATTCCGGTTGTAGTATGTATGTTATTATTTCGTTATTGCCTTTATGCCTCAATAAACCATGTGCACCACTAATCCACTTTTGTGAAATGAAGCTAAAATGCAATGCGTGCGTAAAAATAAAAAGGCACCTTGAATAAAGTAAGCAGTATTATGTAAATGATTCGGATGCGCATAAGCCACAAGGTAGCAGACCCTACTAACCGGATAGCAGCTCCCTCCAAAATGATCAGCACAATTTGTGGCTCATGTGCAACCTCTGAACACATAATTATTTTTAGCATGTTAATGGCATTTCTTGAAAAGCATAGTTTATCTTACATTTTAAATTTATGACACGAATATGAACAAAATTGCCTCATAGCTTTCCCTCTGAGGCTGCCTGTGGGATGCATGATAGCCTTACAAGGATGACCCAGGGGGTGTGAGCCACACTGCTCTCCACCTCTTGCCTTCTCTTCTTCTTCCTCTCTTGCAAATTAAATATTTGCTCACATTTTTAAAAGTTATTTTTCATAGTTTTATTTTCTATCCTTAGTTATTTAATTCTCTGGATTTTTTTTTTTTTTGAGACGGAGTCTTGCTCTGTTGCCCAGGCTGGAGTGCAGTGGTGTGATCTTGGCTTGCTGCAACCTCCGCCTCCTGGGTTCAAGCGATTCTCCTGCCTCAGCCTCCTGAGTAGCTGGGATTACAGGTTCCCACCACCGTGCCCAGCTAATTTTTACATTTTTAGTAGAGACGGGGTTTCACCATGTTGGCCAGGCTGGTCTCAAACTGCTGACCTCAGGTGATCCGCCCATCTTGGCCTCCCAAAGTGCTCAGATTACAGGCATGAGCCACCACACCCAGCCCTCTGGACTTTATTTTTGCATATAATATAAGAATCTCATTCCTTCTCCAGAAAGTTAACATATTATCTCGGTAGTACTCATGAAATCATTTTTATTTTCTCCATTTATTTCCACTGCCACGTTGATCACACACACGTTCTTATATGCCTTCAGCACAATTTCAGGGGCGCCCTTCATGTCAGCCCTGCAGGCAAATCTCTTTTCTTTCTGTTCCACGTTTTGATCCCTTATTCTACTCTTGCATTTGCACTGCACTACTTTACTTAAGCTTAGTATGTTTTCCTATTTGGTAGTGCGAGATCCACCTAATTTCTCTTCTATTTTCACGTTTTTATTGGCTATTCTTTAGGGGATGTGCATATATTAGTGGTTTTTGGGTTTTGGTTTTCATGCACAAGGCTTTGGAATAAGCGAGAAGCACTCTACAAATATGAGACATTTTTCTTCTTGTAGTCTTATTATTAGTAATCCTATTAACAGGCAATTTTAATAAAATAGGTAACCTTTTCTCATCTGGGAGATCTCAGGTCTTGATACTGTTACTGATATAACATTTTATAAGAAGCCCTTCATATTGTGACTCTTAAGTTTTCCTAGTCTGAGATGCTGGGAACACATGAATTGATGTGGTTGTCATCCACTAATGCAACAGGCCAAATTATTTCTCCACTGGACTGTGGAGATACTGCCACTATCTATTGGCCAAAACAATTAAGATTGGACTACATATTTAGGATGCTAAAATTGCCAATAAAAAGTAAAAAAATGTAGTCAGCCTATTAGTTCCTTTGTTTCTATGACTCTAAGCAATCAATTTTTCACATTCCACCCCTGCACTGAGATAACTAACTCACAAAGTTCAGTGTGGACACCAGGGAGGCAGAACTTTAAGGTAGCATCTTATTAAAAACACACACACAGACACAAAAACCCCATGGGTCTTGCTGTGAGTTTGCATACTCTATGCATAGATTGTCAGAGCAAATATCTCAGAGATCCAGATGGTTCACAAAGCATCTTGTGATTAAGTGATCTGAGGCAAAGGACCCATCGGTGGCCTTGTATTGTTAGTAGTTAAATATGATATGGCTTCTGTAATCAGAATCCACTAAATGCAAACAGAGCGGGTACTACTGTTTGTACTTGGTGTGCCAAGTTAGGTTTCTCTGTGGACTTCAAGAGATTTTTTAAATGTTGTTTTATTATATTTGTAATTAGCCCTTATGAAGAAAGACTCTTTTAGTTTCTGCAGTGATGCATTGCAGCTTTCATTATAACAAATACCCATGACCCCTGGTGCCTATCCGTAAACAATGATAGTTACTAGCCTCATTAGTAGACTAGCAGATGGCTTATAAAGTCCTCACTGGAGTTTCAATCCATTTGCGGCTTGCAGTGCACAAATGTTTATCTTTAAACAGTATAAAATATGTCAGACGGGGTCTGCATTCTCCTTTTCATTAGTATTAATGCATTCTGATTTTAACAAGGAAAATTTCTTTGATTACACTTTTTTTTTTGTTTGCTTACTCTAACGTGAACTGATTTTCAGAATTTTTTCTGGCATCTTACCTTTTGGAAGAACAAACCAAATTCTATCAATTTCTCACTTTTGGCTTTACTCGTTCTGCAGACATTTATCTGAATCCTACTATAGGCTAGGCTAAAATACTAGAGATAGAATGATGAATACGATATAGTAGATGCTCAATAAATACTTACTGAAAATGCAATGGATTACCCCTATGGACAGTTTTGCTCTCCATGGTTTCAGTTACCTGCAGCAAACCTTGGTCTGAAAATATTAAATGGAAAATTTCAGAAATACAAAATTCATAAGTTTTGAAAGTGCATGCTGCTCTGAGTGGCATAATGAAATCTTGCAACATTGGCTCTGTCCCGCCTGAGAGGTGGATCATTCCTTTGTCTAGCATATCTGTGGTGTGTACACTACCTGCCTGCTAGTCCCTTAGCCAGCTTGATTATCAGATTGACTGTCTTGGGTATCACAATGCTCGCATCCAAGCCACCGTTATTTTACTTTCTAGTGACCCCAAAGTGCAAGAGTAGTGATGCTGGCAATTTGGATATGCCAAAGAGAAGCCATGTGAATGTGAAAAAGAGAAAGTTTTCAACTTATAAGGAAGGAAAAAACTTGTACGCTGAGGTTCTTAAGATCTACAGTAAGGTCAAATCTTCTATCGTGAAATTGTGAAGAAGGAATGAGAAATGTGTGCTGGTTCTGCTGTTGCACATCAGATTGCTATAGTCATGGCCACAGCGTGTGGTAAGCGCTCAGTGAAGGTGGAAAAAAGGCATCAAATTTGTGGGTGGAACACATGAACAGAAAACATGGTTTAGGCATTCACTGGAGGTCTTGGAACACAGGGACGATGGCTCTATTTTTCATATCTTTTGCCTATTTTTCCTATTGGATGGTTTATCACTTTTTGCTCATTTTCATCAATGAGATCATATTTTAAGTTGAGTTTTTCTTTTTGAGATGGAGTTTCATTCTGTCGCCCAGGCTGGAGTGCAGTGGCACGATCGCAGCTCGCTGCAACCTCCACCTCCTGGGTTCAAGTGATTCTCCTGCCTCAGCCTCCCAAGTAACTGAGATTACAGGTGCCCACCACCATGCCCGGCTAATTTTTGTATTTTTAGTAGAGATGGGGTTTTGCCATGTTGGCCAGGCTTGTCTTGAACTCCTGACCTTAGGTGATCCGCCTGTCTCGGCCTCCTAAAGTGCTGGGATTACAAGCATGAGCCACCGCCCCGGCCTTTAAAATTAATTTATACAAGATAAATTAATTGGTCATAAAGTATGCCCATTTTAGGTTTTTATAAACACAGGGGTGCACCACATAACGATGTTTCGATCAGCATCGGTCAAGATTATCATGGAGCCGCCCTATGCAGGTGTTTCATTTTTGTCTTTGATACCATATTTTTACTGTACCTCTTCTGTGTTTAGATATGTTCAGATACATAAATCCTTGCCATTTTGCTACAATTGCCTACAGTGTTCAGTAGAGTCACATGCTATACAGGTTTGTAGCCTAGGAGCCGTAGGGTATACCACGTACCTAGGTGTGTAGTAGGTTGAACCACCTAGATTTGCAGGTGGAGGACATGAATGGAAAATGTGTTTCAATTGACGACAAATGCGTTGTGCCATAAAGCACTGAACTTATAGGAAGCCTTGAGCAAGGGGTCCCCTGAAACAAGTGATATCAAGCCATTTACTACAAGTAAGGGATGGTTACACAGATTCAGGAATAGGTTTGGACGAAAAAATAAAAACATTACTGGAGAAGCTGCACCTGCTGATGAAGAAGCAGCTGCTGCATTTCTGGCAGAGCTGAGGAAGTTGATTAAGAAGAAGGAATACCATCCACAGCAAATCTTCAACTGTGATGAAACGAGGTGTTTCTGGAAGAAGACGCCCGATAGAACCTCTATTCATAAAAGTTCAAAGGAGGCACTGGGGCATGAAGCACGGATGGGCAGATTAACCCTGGTACCAGGTGGCAATGCTGCAGGGCATACGATAAAGCCAGGTGTCATGCACAAAGTGAAGAACGCATGTGCTCTCAACAACAACAACCACCACCTACTATGTACCCACAAAAATTAAAAATTAAAAAAATTCATGATTTAAACCCCCCCAAATTATCTGCCCATCTTCTGTCAAAATAATCAGAAAGTGTGGGTGAGAATCATCTTGTTTATGGAATGGCTTCACCGATGCTTCATCCCAGAAGTGAAAAAATAAATGGAAGTGGAAGAGTTGGAATTTAAAGTCCTGTTTGGACAATAGACATTGCACCTGGACAATTTTTTTGTTTGTTGAATTTGTTTTTGTGAAAATTAAAATGTCAAGGTTGTGTTTTTACTTCGGAGTACAACCTTTGTTGAATTTGTTTGTTGTGAAAATTAAAATGTCAAGGTTGTGTTTTTACTTCTGATTACAACCTTGTTGCTTCAGCCCTTTGTCCAGGGCATGACGTCATTTGGTTTGTCAAAACCATATACATCCACCTGAGATTTTGATCAGCAATCGAGGCAGACTCTAATCTGGACACAATGCGGTGCTGGAAATTATTCACTATCGTTGACACAATAACACTCACCAAAGCTACAATGCATGAATCGAAACCAGCAATGGTAAATGTCTGCTGCAAGAACCTGTGGAGTGAAGTCAAGAATGATTTTAAAGGCTTTCTGGGATTGAAGAAGTTAGGAAAATCACTCATGCAGAAAGACAAGTTGGTGGAGAACGATTTGCCGACCTGCTTGACAGGAAGTGGGAGAACACATTGAAGGCCATTGACAAGTGTTAAACCAGGAATTGGGAGAACTTGAGTCATCTACAGAGGAAGAGGAAGAGGAAGAAGAAACTGAAGCAGAACCAGCAATGTGGACATTACCAACATTTGCTGAAGTGTTTCAGATTTCACAGACTTTTAAAGACAAAATTATGAAATGTGATCCTTAGTTGGAATGCAGCATTAAAGTCACCTGCATGCTCACCAAAGGATTAGAACGTCTGCAGCAAAGCTTTGAAGAGTTAGGGACAACTTCTGATTACAATGTTCTTCCAAAAGTTTTCAGCAAAAAATCTTTCAACTATCCAGGATCCCCAACTATCAACATCATTGGCTCCTGACGTTCAACCATCAACACTGTCATGGCCCAGTGACCTGGACCACCTGTAGCACCTCATCCCCCTTCTGACATAACATCAGCAGGTCCGCAGTAGCCTAACACTATGTCACAATGCCAATGACATTCACCTCACTTCACTCATCACAAAGGCATTTCATCATCTCACATCATCATCAGAAGAGTGGGTACAGTACAGTAAGATATTTTGAGACAGAGAGCAAGACCAGATTCACATAACTTTTGTTACAGTGTACCATTATAATTGGTGCATTTTATTATTATTGTTGTTAATCTCTGACTCTGCCTAATTTATAGGCTAAGCTTTATCATAAGTATGTAGGCATAGGAAAAAATTGCTGTATATAGGGTTTGCCACTGTCTGCGGTTTCAGGCATCCACTGGGGGTCTTGGAACATATCCCTCACAGATAAGGAGGGACTCCTGTACTTAAGGAAAGACTGAAACTAAAATTAAAGCGGCGTTTCATTTTATATGTTTGTGCTCTCCAGCGAAATAGTACTTGAGCACTATTTCCCAAAGAGCCGTATTATTTTTGTCTATAAATAATTTCCTTTAAACTACAAAATGTTAGAAATTGGAGAATATGTTTTGCATCAGCTTAAGACTTCTCTCAATCAGACACATATGAAATTTTCAGTGCTAAAAGTTACCTAGATAAAAATAACAATAGTGACCATTAATTGAGCATTTACTATGTGCCACTGCTTACTTATGCTAAGGATAAGGATTTTATTACCTCACTTAATTCTGTAAAGTCTAAATAATCCATGGGGAAGGTACTATTTCCTCATTTTACGGATGAAACTAAAGCTTAAAAATATTAATCAAGTTGCCCAAGTTCTCCCAGGTGAAATGTGGCTGAGACTAGATTCAAATGGAGGGAATCTGACTCCAGACCCCATACTCTTTTGAACTATTATATGTTAGTCACAACAGCATTTACATCTAGACATCCGTGTGCCTACAATAGTTTGTTCCTACCCAGCATCATTTGGGAGACTGCATTTATGAGTATTTAACCATTTGGACTGCTTGGTTCAAATCTTGGTTCTATCATTTAAAGCTGTGTGACTGGCTGGGCACGGTGGCTCACGCCTGTAATCCCAGCACTTTGGGAAGCTGAGGCGGGTGGATCACCTGGGGTCAGGAATTTGAGACCAGGTTGTCCAACATGGTGAAACCCCGTCTCTACTAAAAATGCAAAAATTAGCTAGGCGTGGTGGCATGTGCCTGTAATCCCAGCTACCCAGGAGGCTGAGGCAGGAGAATTGCTTGAACCTGAAAGGTGGAGGTTGCAGTGAGCTGAGATCATGACACTGCACTCCATCCTGGGCAGCAGAGCAAGACTCCGTCTCAAAAATAAATAAATAAACAAACGAATAAATAAATAGCTGTGTGACTACAGGCAAGTGACTTGACCTCACCAGGTCTTGTTTTCCTTACTTAGAAACTGCAGGTAATTATAGTGCCCACCTCATAGGGTTGATGTGAGGATAAAATGATGTAATATATGCAAAGCACTTAAGGAGCAGGTGGCACATAGTACATCCTATTATACGAATAGCTATTACTACTATTATTCTTATCAATGTTATTAGAGAGTCCGTTGCTCCTATTTGAGCTCAATGTGTCCATAAAAGAATTCATATTCAGTGTTGCTACATCTTCTGATTTTTAAAGAGAAAATAAAACCTAGATTTTTTTTTAAATGAGGTCTCCCAATTTTTAAATGTCAACACCTAACGGAAACTTTCAAAACTCCTGAGTGAGCAAAGGAAAATGTCTGTAGGCCAAATGCAGCCCACAATGGGCAGTTTGTGCCTTTTACTGGAGGAACTGCAGTGAAGTTATACAGAATAAGGACAAGAGAATGCAGACACCAGATGGGATGGTTTCTGCCACTTGGAATAGCCTAGCGTCTCAACAGGTCTTTGGGAAATTCACTTAGCATACAGTGTTACAGACTTAACCTGGTCTGATTGGCTTGGTCCACTCTTTGTGTTGATAGCTGGTAAGAATTCTGTTAGGTACCATATCCCTCACGTATTCTCTAAAAGATGATCAATTTGAGTCGATTACTTTCAACAAAACTAAAAGGAATCAAAGAGCTGGGTGTGGTGGTGTGTGCCTGTAGTCCCCGCTACTCAGGAGGCTGAGGCGGGAGGATTGTTTGAGCCCAGGAAATCGAGGCTGCAGTGAGCTATGATCACACTGCACTTCAGCCTGCATGATAGAGTGAGACTTCATTCCTAAAGAAAGAAACTGAAAGGTGAAGAAAAGTTAACGAGATTTCCATTTCCAGAAACCGAAGCCTCGACGTTATCCACAGGGAACGTGTCGCTCAGATTGAATATACCAGTACTATAAGTTTCCTTGGAAATTTAAATGATAATATGTCTATTTTCATTTCTAAGATGGTTCTGCCAGAATGTCTAGCCTCTGTCATCATATACTACGGTCTACCCAACAACACTTAATTCTTTTAGAAATATTATCAGAAGTCGAGGTTTGTTTATATGCCAGGTCTATCAGCACCTGAGTGCTTCACAAGCTGGCTGTCAGCAGTCGCAGCAGGAATCACTCTGGCCCCGACTCGTGTTCCAGCACTGATCCAAACGCCGGTTCCAGCGGCTCTAGCAGCTGGCCAGGCATGTGCTTCAGACGATAAAATATGCTGAGACAGACACATAGTTTTGAAAAACTCAGTAGTAGTGAATGAGTATCCATGTTAACTTAAATATAAATAAGTAAATTTATAAAGAGGGATTTATAGGATTAAATAAAGAACAGTGGTGACCAGAGATGTTGTGAAAGGAAATTAAATGGTTTTTTGTGCTGGCCAGGCTTTTCCTTGGTGTTGTCCGGAAGGGCTGAATTTCCTTAGCCCTGGTTTTCCTTGAGGGAAAAACCACATGCAAAGGGTTCCAGTCTCTATTTTTGCAGAAGAATGCCACACTCAGCATTGCGTTTTTAGAAGTAATAATGTGCTCCATTCATTTGTTAATTAATTAATTTTTTTTTTTTTCAATTTTGAGATGTAGTCTCGCTCTGTTTCCCAGGCTGGAGTGCAGTGGCCTGATCTCGGCTCACTGCAGCCTCCGCCTCCCAGGTTCAAGCGATTCTCCTGCCTCAGCATCCGAGTAACTGGGATTACAGGTGTGCGCCACCACGCCCGGCTGACTTTTGTGTTTTTAGTAGAGACGGGGTTTCGCCATGTTGGCCCGGCTGGTCTCGAACCCTTGACCTCAAATGATCCACCTACCTTGGCCTCCCACAGTGCTGGGATTGCAGGAGTGAGCCACCGCACCCCACTCATTTGTTAATTTATTTGTCCAATATTTATCGGTCTCCTACCATGCCCCAGGCACCTTAGAGGGTACCGAGAATACAACAGCAAACACGACACAGTCCCTGCCCTCGTTCAGCTCAAGAGCCGGAGGGAGAGGCGGGTGAGTGAAAACAGTGCACTGAGACGGAGGATGGGAGGGGCAATCGGGGGTGCTTCACAGAGGAGGAGGCATGTTGGTAACGTGGTAACGTGGAACGTTGGTAACTTTCCGTGATAACGTGGAACGTTGGTAACGTTCCGTGAAGTCTGCATCTTCAAATGCCCCCAGCTCTGTCTAGTCTGATGAGAGAGGAGAATGGCCAGGCCTGAGAAGTGGCTTATGGTTGGAGGGGAGTCGGAAAGGGAAGGAGGATTTCTCAGAAGGAATCAAAGGAGCTCAGCCCCCTTGGTGATCCCCACTTCCTGGGGAACGGGCCTTTTCCTGGCAGTACTGTGCTGCGACCCCGTGTGATCGGGAGAAGGGCAGGGCACTGTTCCTTCCCTGTGCCCCTCCCCTCTGCCATCAGTCTCCACCTCTCTGTATTTACCTGTCTGCCCTCTCGCCCCTAAACCTCTTTTCTGTCCCCATCTGGCTTCCCTCTCCATCGGTCAGTGAGCTCTGATTACGCTGCACTCCAGCCTGGGCGACAGAGTGAGACTTTGTCTCTAAAAAAGAAGAAGAAGAAGAAGGAGAAGGGGAAGGGGAAGGGGAAGGGGAAGGGGAAGGGGAAGGGGGGAAGGAGGAGGAGGAGGAGGAGAAGGAGGAGGAGAAGGAGGAGAAGAGGAAGAGAAGAGGAAGAGGAAGAAGAGGAGGAAGAGGAAGAGGAAGAAGAGGAGGAAGAGGAAGAAGAGGAGGAAGAGGAAGAGGAAGAAAAAACGAATGATGAAGGAAAGTGACAAGATTTCCGCTTCCAGAAACCCAAGTCTTGACTTTATCCACATGGAAGGTGTGGCTCAGAATGCACTTTTCTTGGTGCGCTTTTCTTCCTAGCTTAGGGCATTTCCTTCTATTTCGGGATCCGTGGGTAGGACAGGGGCTTGTGGGGGCCCCCCTGTCTTTCACTTGGCTGTTCAGATTCTGCCATCTTCAGGAGAGGATGGCCCTGCAAGTGGATTCAATTCAGTTTCTTGGCTGCGGAGGATGAAAAAGCAAGGAGGGTCTCAGGAACGGAGCGCAGCTGTTAGGAGCGGCTCACAAGGGAGGAGGAAGATGTTTTCTCTCAGATACCCGTCCCAGCCTGTCACTGCTCTGGGTATGGGACCTGGGGGGTCAGAGATACAAATGTGTCTAGGCAGCCAAAATGTCAAGCAATTACACTGTTCCAAGGGCGGAAGGTAAATGTGTATGCCACACACAAAATACAATTGTGCTGACGGCACTTGGAGAAATGAGTGGCTATCTTAGCCTAAGCCAGTTCTCAAAATAGGAATGCTCGCTTGCTGAGAATTGGAGGAAAACCACGAATTCACTTCAAGGTATAGCGCTTTGGCTTGCCGGAAAGTTGCTGTGAGTGGGCAAGGATGGGGGCATTAGGATTGGGGGCTTGGGGTTGGGGGCAGATCTGCTGAGAGAACTAATGACTTGAGTTGGAGTGAAAACAAGAATAAAAGACTTTGTATTCAATTTCCACTCCCTTGAAACACACTACCCTGTGGGAGCCATACATAATTAATGATATTACCATGCAACAGTAGGACTACAGAGATACACTAATATTGATGAATATTTTTTCATTTTTATTGCACTTTTCAAGTATGCCAAAAAACATTAAAAGTTCATAAAAGAAAATAACTTGGCTCCATCACGACTGATCTCATACCTGCAAATGAGTCCATGGTACCACAAGCTTACTAGCCATCTGCGCTTATTGGGACAGTCCCATTTTTCACTATTTGTGGTCCCAGATGTCTGGACGTTTCGGATAAACTCCTGGGTTTGAGTACTGGCTTTTACCAGAAGGAACAGAGTCATGGGAGACTAAATCCCATTTTATTCCAGAAATACTTTGAGGAAGGAAGAAGACATGGGTAAATAAGATGCTGACTTTGTCAGCTGATGAGTATTCATTAATATCAACCGATATTCATTGACCTCTTAAGCTTAAAATTTATCACTCAAATTGTAGCTAACATAGCGTGGACTACACAATAGCTGTGCTTTTGCTAGTTGGTGGTTCTACTGCTATAGCCAACCGTGCTGAATTTTTTTTTGCTCAGAAGCTGATGTATTTGGGAGGGAAATAGCTTTCTGGCCCTTTAATAAATAATTCTAGTTAGTCCTTTCCCATCCATCCCAAATCAATAGGAAGCACAGTCAAGAGGAACCCATCATCTGGTATTGAAAGGTAGATGTGCAGAAGTCCACCCATGTGTGATAGAGACAGAATACTCAGCAGATATTTCCCAGGCTCCCCTGCAGGCTCAGCCCCTGCAGAGGGGAAGTGGATAAGCCTCATTTCTGGACTGAAGTTGCACGTTGAATGGGTAAAGCCCGTGGTCATAAGCAAGCTGGTTCAATGACATGGAAGACACAGCTGCAGTCACTGGAACCGCGATGGACTTTGTGTGTGCTGGAAATGAACCTTCATGGCGCTAAGTCACTGAGTTTTCAGACTTTATCTGTTACCCTAACATATCACTGCCTACACACACTAGTAGACTGTTTATCTTTTTTCTAAAGCAAGAAAAACCACATATCAATAAACATTTACTGTGCCCCTATTATATGCAAGCGGACATAGCAGTGAACTCCCTCCCAGAAGAGCACTTTCTCCACGGAAGTCTCTGACTCATCGTTCACTGTTCCCATGGGTGACTGATGACATCCCAAACTCTGAAGGCTGGTGACAATCCAAGTCAGGAATATCTATCACCCACTACCCACATGTGTGGAGGAAGCATTGGCTCTGATGCCAGAAACTCAAATTAGCTTTTGATATTTAATGTCATTTAATCTTGTCTGTTTACTTATTTAAAATAACTGTGACTTTCTTAGTTTTCAGTATGCATTAAAGTACATTTTGTACTTGATGGAAGATTAGTGTCTCTTGAAACGTATCATGTGAAGGAATTTTAGACTCTTTTTCTTCCCCAGTTAGGCTGCCACCAAGCCCTGCTGCTTCCATCACAAACTTTCCAAAGCACTCTCATTCTTGCACCTTCCCCATCAATGGGCTAAATTCAAAAACAAACCCTGACTTTCGGGTATATAGAAAGGAGATGGTGGGCAGACCAGAGAAAGTTAGTCACCTTTTAAAATCTCATCTGAGAGGCTTACTTACTTCATAATTCTCTTGAGTGATGTACCTGAGGGAGTCTATTATACCTTCAGAAAGAAAGAAAATGCTTTCTATTTTGTTGCTAATCTTACCATGGAACCTTAAATAAAGAATAGTGAAATTTTATTAGGGAAGGAAAGTAGGGAGAAGAGGGTGATTAATATACTCAGTTTCTCAAGTGCAAAGAAATTTCAGCGAGCTGTAAAGTTTGAGTATGTGCGTAACTTTTTATTTCCCCTTGATGTATGATTAGGTTTACTACCTCTCGATAGTAACATTTACACACCAGCTATAGTAGCAACACATTTTACATTCGTTTGCAAATTAGTTTTCAATCCAGTATGTCTCTGGAAAGGGAAGTAAAATCTTGCTAAAGAATCCAAACTAGCTCTTGTAAACCAGAATATTATATTTCTGACAGAAACTAAAGGGAAGAGAGAGAGATGAGAACTCAATATGATGGATGCTTGTTGCTGTAATACAGATTTCATTACTGAATTCTCACTACAATCTGAAGATAGAAATGATTCCCATTTTATAGATGAGGATACTGAGCCTTAAGGGAATATGGGTATTTCCTAAATTTAGCCTGCTGGTCCTGCTAGGGGCAGGTGGAGCTGGCATGCTGACACAGCCTTTCTGACCCCAGAGTTAGTGTGTTTTTCCCATTCCGCCAGACT
Organism: Homo sapiens; assembly: GCF_000001405.40. Lineage (NCBI taxonomy): Eukaryota > Metazoa > Chordata > Mammalia > Primates > Hominidae > Homo > Homo sapiens. The sequence continues at coordinate 183,010,195 of NC_000004.12, read as the reverse complement.
GGCCGCGGGAAGATGCCCCACCACAGCTCCGTCTTCAAGTCATGCCTATTCCAGCTGGCTCTCCAAAGGTGTTCGGGCATGCATTTTCAATGGGTGCGATATTGTCCCCAGTGGGGCAAAAATTGGTTCTTGAGAAGAGGCAGGAATCTTTCTCTTGCTGTAAAGCGCCAATATAGTACATAAACAGATATCCAGCATGCCTGTGCTATTAACATCTCATGGAGGGGGTGATTAGGAACAAAAGTGTCTAAGAAAGGCTGGTTATAGGGGTGCTAATGAAAACAAGGTTGAGAAACACTGGGCAAAGGGAAGAGGAGAGGCCCAGGAGACGTGAGCGGCTGTTCAGTGGGTTGTTGCATCTGCTGTGGGTCTGGGACCATAATGGGGGGATGACCTGGAGCCCCAGGTGCCTCGGGTTCTTTCTCATTCTTTCTGAACATGCAAGTTCAGAGAAGGCACAGACCACAGCCAATAAGTGGAATCTCTTGCTAGATCTTCATCCCGACCTTTTGTCCTCCAGCTCCTTAGAAACTTCACTGGTAGATTTATCTCACACACGGCAATGGCAAAAAGGCTTCAAGGAAAAGCACAGTAGCTCCTTTCCCTAAGCAGCTCGGGGACACCTGAAGTGGAAACACTTTCTAGAGCAAGGATTCAAAGACGCTTCCATCTATCCAATTCACAGATCCCCCAGGGACCCTATTGGTCTGGGACATGTGTGTTGTTCCCCAACTGCTCTCCTGTAATTGGCACCAAGGGTGGGGGAAGGTTGAAGGCTTTTTGGAAAACGAAGCTAATCATTAGGTCTACCTAAAGATTCCTCCACCAAAGTGGGATGTCAGGCTTTACTCCTGTGACCTCAGGGGTCTATCTTGTCACTCATACAGGGGACTGAGGAAGTGGCTGCAATAACTGAATTCTTTTGTGTGACTTCCCTGCCCTTCACAGAGCAGAACTTAAGAAAGGTATCCTCTGGAATAACGGCACCGCTCACCTCTCATTTTAAAATTACATCAGTGGTAGTCCTAGAAGCAGGTTTTTTTCTTTCTTTTTTTTTTTTTTTAAGCAAAAACCAGAAACTAAAGAACAGGGCTCCAATATCCTGTGTCTTCTCTGTGTTGTAACTGGCCATACCGTGTTTCCACTAACTTTTGTCTCCATTTTGAAGGAGGGAGAGGGCTGTTTAAGATTTTAAAATGTGGGATAGACGAAGAGCTATGTTAATGGTAGGAGGAAAACTATGCGTTTAGGTCACTCATTAACACACTTAAAAGAAAATGTTTCCAGTGACAATAAATAATTGGATTTCTTACGGGGGACACACAATACTTCAGATAACTCCTTTCCCCTTTATCTGGGTTTTTGATGCCTGGTAGGAGGGAGCTGGGGAGAGACGCTTCACAGTGGATGGAGGGAGATAAAAGGGAAGGATCTGACAGTTGCCATTACCACCGTGCCGTATCGTTTACCTCAGCCAGGAGTCACTAACGCACCAGGTCACCCCTGGGGTTGAGGGCAAGAGGAGGAGTTTACACAGCCACGTAGGGTAGCTGGCTGGCTGGGGGCATTCATCAAAGTGTGACAACAAACATGAGAAGATGTGTTCAGGCACAGAGATGAAGATAACGGGTGCTTTCCTTGCAATGCCGCAGCACTTTGGTGGAACAGGTGCTTTAATTTTGACATCAGCTTCTTCTGAGCTTTTGAGGAGCCACACAATTAAGGGTTTAGTGAAACAGGCTGTTTCTTTAGAATTGAGCTCTTCCTGAGAATGTACTCTTTCACTAACATGTCTTCCTCTGCACCGACTCCAAATCTGAGCTGGAAATCTTTCTTTTTTATTGTGGTGAAGTATATATAACATAAAATGTACCATTTTACTGATGTTTCCTTGTACCATTCAGTGGCATTAAGTACCTTTGCATTGTTGTGCAACTATCCCCACCATCCATGTCCAGAACTTTGTCATTAGCCCCCGTTAAACTCTGTAGCCATTGAATGCTAACTCCCTATTCCTGGCTCCTCTCAGCCCTGGGTGACCACTGTTCTATTTTCTATTTCTATGAATTTGACTATTTCCAGGAACCTTATAAAAGAGGAATTATACAACATTTGTCTTTTGTGTCTGGCTTATTTCACCTAGCATCACGTCTTCAAGGTTCATCCATGTTGTAGCATATATCAGATTTCATTTTCCCCTCACTTAAAAATTGTGCTAAAATACACATGCATAAAATTTACCATCTTACCATTTTTAAGTGTATAGTTCAGTGGCATTAAATATATTCATAATGTTATGCAACCATTACCACCATTCATCTCCATTACCACCATTCATCTCCATCACTTTTTCACGTTGTAAAACAGAAACTCCGTACCCATTAAATTCCCACATCTTCTCCTACCCCCAGCTCCTGACAACCCCCATTCTACTTTTGTGTCTATGACATTGATAGCTCTAAGTATTAATACATCCTATTGGTGGAATCGCACAGTATTTTTCTTTTTATGATTGACTTAATTTGGTTAGCATAGTGTCCTCAAGATTCATTTGTGTTGTAGCGTATGTCAGAATTTCCTTCCTTTGTAAGTCTGTGTGATATTCCATTGTATGTATATACTACATTTTGATTATTCATTCATCCATTCATCAGTGAACACTTGAGTTGCTTCCAAATTTTAGCTATTGTGAACAAGGCTGTTATGAACACGGGTGTGCAAATATCTCTTTGAGACTCTGCTTTCAATTCTTTCAGCACTCAGAAGAGAAATTGTTGGATCATATGGTAATCTATTCTTAATTTTTTGAGGAACTGCCATACTGTTTCCTACAAGGACTGCACCATTTTATATTCCCACCGACAATGCACATGGTTTCAATTTCTCCACATCTTCACCAACACTTGTTATTTTCTGTTTGTTTGATAGTAGCCCTCCTAATAGGTGTGAGGTGGTATCTTATAGTTGTTTTGATTTGTATTTTCTAAGGATTAGAGATGCTAAGCATTTTTTTAATGTACTTGTTGGCTATTTGTACATCTTCTTCAATGAAATGTCTATTTAAGTTTTTTGCATTTTTTTTTTTTTTTTTTTTTTTTTTTTTTTGTGGAGACAGGGTCTTGCTCTGTCACCCAGGCTGGAGTACACTGGCGCAATCTCAGCTCACTGCAACCTCCCCCTCCCAGGTTCAAGGGATTCTCCCACCTCAACCTCCTGAGTAGCTGGGATTACAGGCATGTGCCACCACACCCGGATAGTTTTTGTATTTTTAGTAGAGATGGTTTTCACCATGCTGGCCAGGCTGGTCTCGAACTCCTGGCCTCAAGTGATCCACCCACCTCAGCCTCCCAAAGTGCTGGGATTACAGGCATGAGCCACTGCACCTGGCCTTTTTTTTTTGCCTGCTTTTGAGGTGGTTTGTTTGTGTTTTTTAAATTGTTGTTGAGTTTCAGGAATTCTTTTATATCCTGGATATTAATCCTTTATCAGATATATGATTTGCAAACAATTTCTCCCATCCTGTGGGTTGCCTTTTTTACTGTCTTGTATAGATTTTTATGCATAAAAATTTAAAATTATTATGAAGTTCAATTTTTCTGTATTTTTTCTTTGGTTGCACATGTCTTTAATGTCATATCCAAGATATCACTGCCGAATTCAATGTCATGAAGCTTTTGCTCTATGTTTTCTTCTAAGATTTTAATAGTTTTAGGGCTTACATTTAGGTTTTTATCCATTTTGGGTTAATTTTTGCATATGGTGCTAGGTAAGGCTCCAGCTTCATTCTTTGCATATGACTGTCCAGTTTTCCCAGCACCATTTGTTGAAAAGACTATCTTTTCCCCATTGAGGGATCTTGGCACCTTTGTAAAATAATTATTTGAACATAAATGTGCAGGTTTGTTTCTGGGCTTCCTATTCAATTCCATTGGTCCATATTTCTGTCTTTATACCAATACTACACTGCTTTGATTATTGTAGCTTTGTATTAAGTTTTCAAATCAGGAAATGTGAGTCCTCCAGCTTTGTTCTTCTTTTTCAAGATTGTTTTGTCAGTTTGGGATCCCTTGAAATTTCATATGAATTTTAGGATGTGTTTTTCTATTTCTACAAAAAAATGGGATTTTGATAGAGATTGCATTGAGTCTATAGATTGCTTTGGATAGTGTTGCTATCTTAACAATATTAAATCTTTCAATTCATGAAAAAGGGATATGTTTCCATTTACTTATGCCTTTAAAAATTTCTTTCATCAATATTTTGTAGTTTTCATTGTACAAATCTTTTACCATGTTGGTGAAGTTGATTCTCAAGTATTTTATTCTTTTTGATGCTATTGTAAATATAATTCTTTTCATAATTTCCTTTTCAGATTGTTTGTTGTCAGTGTATAAAAATGCAACTGATTTTTGCATGTTGAAAAGTCAACATGCAAAAGACACAAAGGTGTCTTGCTACTTTGTTGAATTAATTGATTAGTTCAACTTTTTGTATGTGGAATCTTTAGGGTTTTCTACATATAAAATCATATCATCTGCAAAGATAATTTTACTTCTTCTTTTCCAACTTGGATGCCTTTTATTTATTTTTCTTGAATGATTGCTCTGAGTAGAACTTCCAGTATTATGATGAATAGAAGTGGAGAAAGTAGACATCTATGCTTTGTTTCTAACCTTAAAGGAATAGCTTTTAGTCTTTCACTATAAGTATGGTGTTCACTGTGGATTTTCATATGTAGCTTTTATTATTTGGAGGCACTTTTTCTCTATTCCAAGTCTGTAGAGTGTGTTTATCATTAACGGGTGTTAAATTATGTCAAATACATGTTCTACATCAATTGAGATGATCATGTGTTTTTTGTTATTCATTCTGTTAATATGGTTCATTACATTGATCATTTTTTTCCTCTGTCCCCTTCTTTTTTAAAATTTTTTAATTTTATTTTATTTTAAGTTCTGGGATGCATGTGCAGAACATACAGGTTTGTTACATAGGTAAATGTGTGCCATGGTGGTTTGCTGCACCTATCAACCCATCACCTAGGTGTTAAGCTCTGCATGCATTAGCTATTTATCCTGATGCTCTCCCTCCCCATGTGGCACTAAGAAGAATGTACATTCTGTTGTTTTGGGGTAGAGAGTTCTGTAGATATCTATCAGGTCCACTTGATCCAGAGCTGAGTTCAAGTCCTGAATATCCTTGTTAATTTTCTGTCTCAATGAACTAATATTGACAGTGGGGTGTTAAAGTCTAAAGTCTCCCCTTATTATTGTGTGGGAGTCTAAGTCTCTTTGTAGGTCTCTAAAAACTTGTTTTATGAATCTGGGTGCTCCTGTATTGGGTGCATATATATTTAGGATAGTGAGCTCTTCTTGTTGAATTGATTCCTTTACCATTATGTAATGTCCTTCTTTGTCTTTTTAAATATTTGTTGGTTTAAAGTCTGTTTTGTCAGAAACTAGAATTGCAACCCCTGCTTTTTTCTGCTTTCCATTTGCTTGATAAATTTTCCTGCATCCCTTTATTTTGAGCCTATGTGTGTCTTTGTATTTGAGATAGGTCTCTTGAATACAGCACACTGATGGGTCTTGACTCTATCCAATTTGCCAGTCTGTGTCTTTTAATTGGGACATTTAACCCATTTACATTTAAGGTTGATATTGTTATGTGTGAATTTGATCCTGTCATCATGATGCTAGTTGCTTATTTTGCACACTAGTTGATGCAGTTTCATCATGGTGTCATTCATCTTTGTACTTCAGTGTGTGTTTGTGTGTGTGTGTGTGTGTGTGTTTTGCAGTTGCAAGATTTAATAGAGTGAAAACAGAGCTCCCATACAAAGAGAGGGGACCCAAAGAGGGTAGCTGTTGACAGCTCGAATGCCTGGGTTTATATCCCGATCATTGTCCCTCCCGCTGTGCTCTCAGGCGATAGATGATTGGCTATTTCTCTACCTCCTGTTTTTGCCTAATTAGCATTTTAGTGAGCTCTCTTTACTACCTGATTGGTCGGGTGTGAGCTAAGTTGCAAGCCCCGTGTTTAAAGGTGGATGCAGTCACCTTCCCAGCTAGGCTTAGGGATTCTTAGTCAGCCTAGGAAATCCAGCTAGTCCTGTCTCTCAGTACCCCCTCTCAACAGGAAAACCCAAGTGCTGTTGGGGAGGTTGGCTGATGACCGCTCTAACTGCTTCCTGCTGAACTGGGGTGTAGTAGGGGTTGTGCAGTTGAGATGTCCTTGGGAGGGGTGCCTTCAATGTCATTAATATCAGAGCAAGGGCTAGCAGGCCAGTCCAGGTGTCCACGGCAGATCTTAGTCATGGACTGCATCTGGGGCTCCATTTGAAGAACGATTGGTAGTTTTACAGCTTTGATTCTGGAAGAGACAAACTTAACAAGGAGGTTAAAGATACAGGGATTAAAATGTATGGCCTGTAATGTAGGGGATTACTTCATTGGCACAATTCACAGGCCCTGACTATCTGCTTGATAGTTTTGAAAAGGCCTGATCCAGTAAATAATAATTTGGCCATCTGATGGGTGCTATCAATGCCTAAGTGAAAGGTTTGGTGAAGGGTTTTAAGTAATTTCCATTGGTTAGCTGCAGGCAAAAGTATTTTTCCCTCTTCGGTGGCTAGCCATCCTGAGGGGAGGAAACTATGTCCTCGTGAGGTTCCCCATTCTATTTCTTCTGCTGAATATTGGGGTTTTGTTTCCCAGAGGGGATTACCCCATACTAGGGGTCCTTCTGTAAGCATTTCTAATGGAGCATCCTGCCTTGTGGCTCTTTTTGCTTTAATATCTGCTTGGTGGTTCTCTTTTATTTCCCTTTCCTTTCTGATGACCCAGGCAGTGTAAGACTGCCACCTCTTTAGGTTTCTGTACAGCCAATACTAATTTCCTAATGGCTTCCTGATGTTTGATAGGTGTTTCCTCGGAAGTTAGGAATTCCCTTTCTCTCCATATTGCCACATGGGCATGGAGGACTAGGTAAGCATACTTAGAGTCTGTATATATATTTACCCTTTTTCCTTCTCCTAATTCTATTGCCTGAGTGAAGGCTATTAGTTCTGCCAGCTGAGCACTAGTTCCTAGAGTGAGGGGATTACTTTCAAGTATTCCATTATCACTGACCACTGCATACCCTGCTTTTCGAAGTCCTTTTTCTACAAAGGAACTTCCATCAGTATACAAGTTGAGATCAGGATCAGTCAAGGGAACCTCTAGAAGGTCCCCTAGAGCAGCATAGGTTTGAGCAATTACTTGTTGACAGTTATGTTCTATCTTTTCTTCATTGTCTGGAAGAAATGTGGCTGGGTTAAGAGTTGCACAAGTGCGCAGTTGCAGCACTGGCCCTTCAAGTAATAGAGCCTGATATTTAAGTAAACGGTTGTCTGACAGCCACAAGTCTCCTTTAGCAGTGAGTATGCCGTTCACATCATGAGATGTCCACACAGTAGGATCCCTTCCCTGTATCATTTTAACTGCTTCAGATACTAAGACTGCTACTGCCTCCACTACCCGTAAAGAATGAGGCCAACCCTTTGCCACTACATCAATTTCCTTACTCAGATATGCCACGGGTTGCAAGCTTGTCCCTCAGACCTGTGTAAGGACTCCTAGAGCTATTCCTATTTTTTCTGTGACATATAAAGAAAAGTCTTGCCCTGTTGGCAAGCTTAACACTGGGGCTTGGGTTAGGGCTTTCTTTAGTGCCTGGAAAGCTGATTGTGCTTCAGATGTCCATCTTACTAAATGGGTATTGGCTTTCTGAGTTTCCTTAATTAGTGTATTTAATGGCCTGGCTATTTCACCAAACCTGGGAATCCATATTCAGCAGAAGCCTGTTATGCCAAGGAACCCTCTTAGTTGCTTTAGGGTTTTGGGATGAAGATAAGCCAGTATAGGCTGGATACGTTCCTCACTGAGGGCCCTGGTGCCTTTGGATAATTTTAGCCCTAAATATTTAACCTGCTGTGAGCAGAGCTGAGCCTTTGGTTTGAAAACCTTGTAGCCAGAGGTAAAGAGGAAAGTTAAGAGCGCTTGTGTGGCTTGACATCACAAGGTTTCTGAATGGGTCACTAAAAGTAAATCATCCATATACTGAAGGACAAGAGTGTCCAGGTATGAGAACTGGCTCAAGTCTTGGGCTAATGCCTGGCCAAATAGATGGAGGCTATCCCTGAACCCTTGGGGTAAAACAGTCCAGGTGAGTTGAGACATTGGGTTTGAAGGATCTTCAAAGGCAAACAAGAATTGAGAGTCAGGATGTACAGGGATGCAGAAAAAGGCATCCTTAAGGTCCAGGACTGTAAACCACTCTGCTTCCTCTGGTATTTGGGAAAGCAGAATGTAAGGGTTAGGTACAGCTGGGTATAGAGGGACAACAGCCTCATTGATAATCCTGAGATCTTGCACTAACCTCCACTGTCCGTTGGGTTTCTGTACTGCTAAAGTTGGAGTATTGCAGGGGCTACTGCATGGTGTTACTAGGCCTTGGGCTTTTAGGTCCTTAACAATTTTTTTGAGTCCCTGTTTGGCCTCAAGTCTAAGGGGGTACTGCCTTTGGTAGGGAAAGGAGGTGGAATCCTTTAGTTTAACTTGAACAGGATGGGCATTCTTTGCTCATCCATATTGTCCTTCTGTTGCCCAGACTTCAAGATTAATTCCTTCCTCAAGCAGGGGACAACAAACGGGTGTTCCTTCTCCTGTGTTCAGGTGTATAATGGCACCTGCTTTTGCTACAATGTCTCTCCCTAACAAGGGAGTGGGGTTTTCAGGCATAATTAGAAAAGCATGTGAAAAGAGTAATGTTCCCCAGTCACAGCTTAGTGCTGGGAGAAGTATCTAGTGACTGGCTGTCCTAGGACCCCTCGGATAGTGACAGATCTGGAGGACAGTTGTCTGGGATAGGAGAGTAAGACTGAGAAGGCTGCACCAGTGTCCAGCAGACAGTTAACTTCCTGGCCCTCAATGGTCAAGCATACCCGGGGCTCTGTGAGGGTGATGGCATGGGCTGGTGCTTGCTGCAGGCACCCTCAGTCCTGCTGCTGGATCATCTGGTTAGTGGCTTCTGACTCAGAGAACTTTCATCCCCTGGGGCAGTGGGCCTTCCAGTGATTCCCTTGACATAAGGGGCATGGACAAGGGGGCGGCTTATTTCTATTTAAACAATCTTTGTAAAAGTGTCCTTGTAGACTGCACTGGAAGCAAGCCCTATTAGGCATTCAATTTGCCCAGCTTTTCCCTTTTCCAGAGCCTCCAAAGTCCGCTTGCCTGAGGGCCATGACTAAAGCAGTGACCTTTTTTTTAATCCCGTTTGTCCCATTCCACCTGCTCCTCCTGATCTTTATTATAAAAAACTGAGGTTGCCAAGTTCAATAGGGCTCCTAAGTTTTGCTCCGGGCCTAAGGTGGACTTTTGAAGTGTCTTTCTAATGTCTGCAGCTGACTGAGTGATAAACTTATCCTTTAAGATTAGTTGGCCTTCAATAGAGTCAGGTGACAGAGAGGTATACTTCCTCAATGCCTACCTTAGTCTCTCCAGAAAGGCGGTAGGATTTTCTTTCTTTCTCTGTGTTGTAGTGGACATCATTGAATAATTCATAGGCTTCTTGCTAGTTTTCCTTAGTCCTTCTAGCACACACATTAACAAATGTCTGTGGCACCAATCACCATGTTCTGATTCTGTGTCCCAGTGAGGGTCTACACTGGGAACTGCCTGCTGGCCTGTGGGGAATCATTCTCTTTCCTCTGTTGACATCCTATCATTGACCTGACTGAGACACCAGAGACTGCCAAACTGTCAGGCTGCAGTTATGGTGGCACTTCTCTCATTTGGGGTTAGTGTCTGATCTAGCAGTAGCATTATATCTCTTCATGTCAGATCAAAGAATTGTCTTAACCCTTGTAAAACATCAATATAGCCATCAGGGTTATCTGAGAATTTACCTGGTCTATTTTAATTTGCTTGAAATCTGAGAGAGAAAAAGCTACCTGCACTCCAGCTGGGCCGAATTCTCCTCCTCCCACTGCTTGGAGGGGGCATAATCGGGGAATATAGGGACTCTTTGGTTCATTGTTTACCCCTTTGTCTATCTCCTTTTGGACCGTTTGGGTTGAAGGGGGGTCCTTATTAGTTGGGGAAGGAGTCGGGGGGATGCTGGAGTAGGGAGGTAGACTCTGAGGGCTTCCTATAGGGCATAAATCACACTTTTTACATAATAGCGAGTTGTCTCTTAATGAAAAGAAAGTTTGTACATATGTCCCTTCACTACATTTGCCTTCTCTTCTACAAAAGAGGTCTAGCTGTAAGATAGTGTTATAATATATACTTCCCTCAGGAGGCCAGGTCTCTCCCCCTTGAAGAGGATATCGTGGCCAGGCAGTACTGCAGAAGAATATAAGTCATTTCTTTCTTAGCATCTGAGGGCTAAATTGGTCCCAATTCTCTAGAATACATCTTAGGGGCGTTTTTGCCTTGGGGGGAACGTTTCCCATCTGAAAAAAGAACAGAGGGATGCCAGCACCCTTAGTCATTTTCCCATGAGCATTAGTCCTAGAGCGTCCTCTATGGTCCTAATGCTTATTCCTTTCCAGGGTGCATAACCACCCATGGACTTCTGCTTATCGGATTAGTTATGCTCACCGATGTAGCAGTCCTGCACCCTTTTCCTGCTTTTCTTGACCACAAAGAAAGGGGTCTGGGCTGCTGGATTCTAGTGGTCCTTTACCAGCATGCCCAACATTGCCTTTGTGCTCAGGGGTGAATCCTAGAGCTGGGCTGGGTTCCTAATTATTTCATAACACTTAAGGGTTATGTTTTTGCAATGGCTGGTACTGGTTTTTCCTTTCCATACTTAGTGCTTTCCTTCAGGAGCTCTTGCAAGGCAGGCCTGGTGGTGATGAATTCCCTCAACATTTGCTTGTCTGAAAAGGATTTTATTTCTCCTTCACTTATGAAGCTTAGTTTGACTGGATATGAAATTCTGGGTTGAAAATTCTTTTCTTTAAGAATGTTGAATATTGGTCCCCACTGTCTTCTGGCTTGTAGAACTTCTGGTGACAGGTCTGCTGTTGGTCTGATGGGCTTCCTTTTGTAGGTGACCTGGCCTTTCTCTCTGGCTGCCCTTACCATTTTTCCTTCATTTCAACCTTGGAGAATCTGATGATTATGTGTCTTGGGGTTGATCTTCTCGTGGAGTATCTTACTGGGGTTCTCTGTGTTTCCTAAATTTGGTCGGCCTGTCTTGCTAGGTTGGGGAAGTTCTCCTGGATGATATCCTGAAGTGTGTTTTCCAACTTGATTCCATTCTCCCTGTCTTTTTCAGGTACTCCAATCAGTCGTAGGTTTGGTCTTTTTACATAGTCCCATAGTTCTCAGAGGTTTTATTTGTTCCTTTTCATTCTTTTTTCTCTAATCTTGTCTGCCTGCCTTATTTCAGCAAGATAGTCTTCAGGCTCTCATGTTCTTTCTTCTACTTGATCGATCCAACTATTAATACTTGTTTTTGCATCATGAGGTTCTCGTGCTGTGGTTTTCAGCTCTACCTGGTCATTTATGTTCCTTTATAAACTGGTTATTCTAGTTATCAGCTCCTGTAAGCTTTTATCATGGTTCTTAGCTTCTTCACACGGGGTTAGAACATGCTCATTTACCTCAGTGAAGTTTGTTATTACCCACCTTTCAAAGCCTACTTCTGTCAATTCATCCATCTCATCCTCCGTAGAAATCAGAGATTGCTGGAGAGGTGTTGCAATCATTTGGAGAAGAGGCATTCTGGCCTTTTGAGTTTTCAGCATTTTTCATTGATTCTTTCTCATCTTAATGAGTTTGTCTAGTTTTGATCTTTGAGGCTGCTGACCTTTGGATGAGGTTTTCGTGGGGACATTTTTGTTGATGCTGTTGTTGTTGCTTTCTGTTTGTTTTCCTTTCAATAGTCAGGTCCCTCTTCTATAGGGCTGCTGCAGTTTGCTGGGGGTTCACTTCAGGCCCTATTCTTCTGTGTCCCTCCCGCACCTGGAGATGTCACCCAAAGAGGCTGGAGAACAGCAAAGACATGTGCCTGCTCCTTCCTCTGGGATCTCTGACCTTGAAGGGCACCGACCTGATGCCAGCAGGAACACTCCTGTATAAGGTGTCTAGTGACCCTGTTGGGGGGGTCTCACCCAGTTGAGGGGCATGGGATGCAGGACCCATTTAATGAAGCACTCTGACTGCCCCTTGGTGGAGGGGGTGTGCTACACTGGAAGGAAAGCACTTGTCTGGGCTGCCCAGATTCCTCAGAGCTAGCTGGGGGAAAGACTAAGTCTGCTGTGCATGTGCAGAAGAAAAGAAAGTACATTCTGTTGTTTCGAGGTCAAGAGTTCTGTAGATGTCTGTTTGTCCATTTGGTGAAATGTCAAGTTCCAGTCCTGAATGTTTTTGTTAGTTTTCTGCCTTAATGATGTGTCTATCGCTGTCAGTAGAGAGTTCAAGTGTCTAACTATTATTGTGTGGTTATCTAAGTCTCTTAGTAGGTCTCTAAGAACTTGTTTTATGAATCTAGGTGCTCCTGTGTTGGGTGCATATATATTTAGGATAGTTAACTCTTCTTTCTGAATTGAACCCTTTACCATTACATAATGCCCTTCTTTGTCTTTTTAAATCATTGTTGGTTTAAAGTAATATATAATCTCCTTCTCTATCTCTTGCAAATTTTTTAAAGTCTATTTTATCTGATATTTATATAGACACTCCTGCTCTTTTTTGATTACTGATTATATGGAATATCTTTTTTTCTTCCATCTTTTACTTTCAACCTATTCATGTCTTTGGATTTAATGTAAGTTTCTTAAAGAGAGCATATAGTTGGCTTATGCATTTTTTATTCATTCTGCCAATCTCTGTCTTTTAATTGGAGAGTTTAATCCAGTTACACTTAATTACTGATAAGGAGGGACTTCTGTCATTTAGTTATTTGTTTTCTATATGCCTTATAGTTTGGGTTTTGTTTTGTTTTTTAGATAGGGTCTCACTCTATTACCCAGGCTGGAGTGCAGTGGTGTGATCTCGGCTCACTGCAACCTTCATCTCCTAGGCTCAAACCTCCCACCTCAGCCCCCCAAGTAGCTGGGATTACAGGTGCAAACCACCATGCCTGGCTAATTTTTGTGTTTTTTGTAGAGACAAGGTTTCGCCATGTTGCCCAGACTCATCTTCAACTCATGGGCTCAAGCTATCTGTCTGCCTCAGCCTCCCAAAGTTTTGGGATTACAGGCGTGAGCCACCATGCCTGGCTAATATGTCTCATAGTTTTTTTGTCTCTCATTTCTTGCATTACTATCTTCTTTTGTGTTTACTTGTTTGTTTGTTTGTTTGTTTGTTTTAAGATGGGGTCCTGCTCTGTCATCCAGGTTGGAGTGCTGTGGCATGATCTTGGTTCACTGCAGCCTCGAACTCCTGGGCTCAAGTGATCCTTCCACCTCAACCTCCCAAGTAGCTGAGACCACAGGCATGCACCACCATGCCTGGATACTTTAAAAAAATTATTTGTAGAGCTATGTTCTTCTTGCATTGCCCAGGCTGTTCTCAAACTCCTGGTCTCAAGCAATCCTTCCACCTTGGCCTCCCAAAGTGCTGGGATTATAGATGTGAGCCACCATGCTTAGCCAAGTTTATTTTTTTGTAGTGAAATATTTAAATTCCTTTCTCATTTTTGTATATAATCTATAGCTATTTTCTTTGTGGTTACCGTGGGGATCACATTTCACATCCTAAAGTTATAACACTCTAATTTAAATTTATATCAGCTTAACTTCAGTAACATACAAAAACTACTCCTTTAACATTTCTGTCCGCATCCTATTTAATTGTGATGCCACAAACTACATCTTTATACATTGTGTGCCCCAAAACATAAACTAGTAATTATTTTAAATGCATTGGCCGGGCACAGTGTCTCATGGCTGTAATCCCAGCACTTTGGGAGGCCGAGGCGGGCAGATCACGAGGTCAGGAGATCGAGACCATCCTGGCTAACAAGGTGAAACCCCGTCTCTACTAAAAATACAAAAAATTAGCCAGGCATGGTGGTGGGTGCCTGTAATCCCAGCCACTTGGGAGGCTGAGGTGGGAGAATGGCATGAACCCAGGAGGCGGAGCTTGCAGTGAGCCGTGATTGTGCCACTGCACTCCAGCCTGGGTGACAGGGTGAGATTCTGTCTCAAAAAAAAAAAAAAAATGCATTATTTTCCTAAATTATGAAGAAAACAAAATGTGGAGTTATACAGCAAAGTTACAATAATACCAGCTCTTACACTATTAATTGTTTTATTAATATATGTATTTGTGTCTTAAATCATGTGGAAAATAAAAAGCAGAATTATAAACTGTTGTTATAATAACACTAGCTTTTAAAATTGCCTGTGTATTTATCCTTATTAAGATCTTTATTTCTTCTTATGGTTTTAAGTTACTATATAGTGTCCTTTCATTTCACCTCATAGGATTTCCTTAGCATTTCTTCCAGGGAAGATCTAGGTAATAAACTCATTCAGCTCTTGTTCACTTGAGAACATCTTAATTTCTCCCTCTCTTTTGAAAGACAGTTTTGTTGTGTATAGGATTCTTGGTGGACAATTTTTTTTCTTTTAGTACTTTGAATATATTTGCCTATTGCCTTTTGGCCTTCAAAATTTCGGATGTTAAATCTGTTGATAATCTTACTGAGCATCCCTTTTATTTGATGAGTCACTTCTCCCTTGCTGCTTTCAGATTCTCTTTTCAAGACTTTGATTTACAGCTGACTTTTAAACAAAATAGGGGTTAGGGGTGCCAATCCCCTGTGCAGTCAAAAATCCATGCATAACTTTTGACTCTCCCAAAACGTAACTACTAATAGCCTACAGTAACCCAGAAACCTTACCAATAACATAAATGGTTGATTAACAGATATTTTGTAGGTTATGTGTATTATATGTTGTATTCTTACAACAAAGTAAGCTACAGAAAAGAAACTGTTATTAATTATAAGGAAGAGAAAATAAGTTTACCATTTATTAAGTTAAGTTGGGTCATCATAAAGGCCTTCATCCTTGTCATCTTCACACTGAGTAGGCTGAGAGGAGGAGAAAGTGGAGGAGTTGGTCTTGCTGTCTCAGGGGTGGTGGAGGTGGAAGAGATGGAGGAAGTGAAAGGGGAGACAGGCACACGTGGTGTAACTTTTATTGAAAAAATTCAATATATATAAGTGGATCCACGCAGTTCAAACTTGTGTTATTCAAGGGTCAGCAGTAATATGTTTTGGTGTGGGTCTCTTTGAATGTGTGTTACTTGGAGTTCATTGTGCCTCTTAAATGTTTAAATCATGGCTTTCATCAAATTTGGGAAGTTTTCTGCCATTATTTCTTCGAATATTCTCTCTGCCCCTTTCTCTCTCTCTTTTCCTTCTCTGATTCCCATAATGCATATATTGGTTCACTCGATGGTGTTCCCCAGGTCACTTCAGTTCTGTTTACTTTTCTCCAGTTTTTTCCTTCTGCTTCTAAAACTCAATATTTTCCACTGTTCTATCTTCAAATTCACCAATTTTTTTTCCTGCCTAATTAAATGTGCCTTTGAGTTCCTCTAGTGCAGGGGTGACCAATCTTTTGGCTTCCCTGGGTCACGTTGGAAGAAGAATTGTCTTGGGCCACACATAAAATACACTAATACTAGTGATAGCTGATGAGCTAAAAAACTAATTTTTAAAAATCTCATAATGTTTTAAGAAAGTTTACAAATTTGTGTTAGGCTGCATTCAAAGCCATCCTGGGCTGCATGAGGCCTGCAGGCTGTGGGTTGGACAAGCTTGTTCTAGTGAATTTTGCAGTTCAGTTATTGTACTTTTCAACTCCAGATTTTTTGGTTTCTTTTGGAGGTTTTCTATCTCTTTATTGATATTTTAAGTTTGTTCATACATCTTTTTCTTGATCTTCTTAACATCTTCCTTTAGTTCTTTGAACATCTTTGAGATGGTTGTTTTCAAGTCTTCATATAGTGTATCTGTTATCAGGTCTTTTAAAGGGACAGTTTCTCCTGATATGTCACTTTCCTCTGTGTGTGTCATACTTTTCCCATTTCTTTATTTGTCTTGTTATTTTTTTATTGAAAACTGCATATTTGAATATAATATTGTAATTCTGGAAATCAGTTTTTCCCCTTGACCATGTTTGCTGGGTTTTTGTTACTGTTTTTGTTTTTTAAAGTGTTTTAAGCTGTCTCCATGCCAAAGATAAGCCTGAGGTAAAACTTAAGAGATTCTCAGGTCTCTCCTGAGCCTGTGCCTTTCCCTGGGCATGAATAGCCATTTTCTACAGCTTCCCATATACGCAGTTGCATTTGAATGTCCTAGTCTTTGATGTCTGGCTCCCAAAAGAGAAAAATGAAAAGCAAAATGAAGGGGTGGGGGAGAACGTTGGCTCCTTAAATCCACTGGAAGTCACTTCAGCCAGAGGAGGGGTTTGCAGCAATGGAGGGCAGTGCAAAAACAATGCCTGTCACCTCTTTGGCTGCAGCTCCATGATCAGAAATAGCAATCAGTGGTTAGAGCAATCAGTGATTAGAGCACAGATCCCTGATATTTGGAAGACATGGGCAATTGCCTGTCATAGCTCTGGAGGTGAAGGATGAGTAGCTACTATGGTGCTAAGAGCTGAAATTGGCCAAAATTAGCATCAATTTACCATCCAAGGCCTCCCCTGGAAGTTTCAAGCCTTCAATAGACTCTAGAGTTCCAAAGGGTTATATCAGACAGATACTGTCAGGGCAATTGCTGTCTAGATGGGGAGCCAGATTCCTGGTGCTTCTTACTTTGCCATCTTCCCTTTCATTACTTTTTAAAGGTGAATAATATCCCACTGTATGTATTATATATATCACATTTTGTCTATCCATTCATCTGTGGATAGACATTTGTGTTGTTTCCATCTTTTGGCTGTTGTAAATAATGCTGCTATGAACCAATGGTGTATAAGTATCTGAGTCCCTGCTTTCAGTTATTTTGGGTATATACTCAGAAGCGTAATAGTTGGATCATATTGTAATTCTATGTTTAATTTCTTAAGGAACTGCCATATTCTCCCCACTCCCATTTTTGTGCCTTAAACCTATGTTGCTTTTTAATTGAGCATCACATTAAAATATTTTTTGAGAGTAAAATGATTCTGTAGATTAAATATTTAAAATAGATTATACTTTTTACAATGGCATTGACTGCCAAATCTAGTCTCTAAAAAATAGCTATCTGGATAGCCAGTCAGCAGGTGAGAGAAACCCAGTGAGCACTGTTTCTTGTGAGACAACCTATTTCAGTGAAATAACGTGAGTAGTCTTCAGTGTTAAACCATATACAGTAAAAGAGTAGGTATCAGTAATTTAGAGTGGCCACTCTCCAAGTAAAAAATGAAATTTGCAACCAAACAAGAAACCCTATGAATTCCTAATTCAGTTAATCAATACTCGATTTCTTGAGTCTTTGTAATAGTGGTAGTTCAAGGAGACAGGAGACCTGGATTCTCACCCTGGTCTTTTATATATATATATATATTTTTATTATTATTATTATACTTTAAGTTCTAGGGTACATGTGCACAACGTGCAGGTTTGTTACATATGTATACATGTGCCATGTTGGGGTGCTGCACCCATTAACTCGTCATTCACATTAGGTATATCTCCTAATGCTATCCCTCCCCCCTCCCCCGACCCCACAACAGGCCCCGGTGTGTGATGTTCCCCTTCCTGTGTCCAAGGGTTCTCATTGTTCAATTCCCACCTATAAGTGAGAACATGCAGTGTTTGGTTCTTTGTCCTTGTGATAGTTTGCTAGGAATGATGGTTTCCAGCTTCATCCATGTCCCTACAAAGGACATGAACTCATCATTTTTTATGGCTGCATAGTATTCCATGGTGTATATGTGCCACATTTAATCCAGTCTATCATTGTTGGACATTTGGGTTGGTTCCAAGTCTTTGCTATTGTGTCACCCCGATCTTGTCACAAACTTCTTGTCTGACTTTAAGAGAGTTTTTTAGCCTCTCAGAGACACAGCTTCCCTAAGGACATTTGAGTTTTTTCTCTAAGTTAACTTAGGGCTTTATAATTCTGTGATTCGTTACTTTAATGCAATGCTGTTGTCAAATATTGATGACTCCTTCTAATTCTGGCTTCTTTAAAGAATCCAGGCCAGGCACAGTGGCTCATACCTGTAATCCAGCATTTTGGGGGCTGAGGTGGGCATATCACGAGGTCAGGAGTTCGAGACCAGCATGACCAACATGGTGAAACATCATCTCTACTAAAAATAAAAAAATTAGCTGGGTGTGGTGGCGGGTACCTGTAATCCCAGCTACTCAGGAGGCTGAGGCAGGAGAACTGCTTGAAACCAGAAGGCAGAGGTTGCAGTGAGCCGAGATCGCGCCACTGCACTCCAGCCTGGGCAAAAAGAGTGAAACTCCGCCTCAAAAAAAAAAAAAAAAAAAAAAGAAGAGGAATCCAATAATTTGGCTGAGCATGGTGGCTCATGCCTGTAATCCCAGCACTTTGGGGTGCTGAGGTAGGAGGATCACTTGAAGCCAGGAGTTTGAGACCAGCCTGAGCAACAAAGCAAGGCCTTGTCTCTACAAAAAAAAAAAAAAATGTTTTTTAAGTTAGCCAGGCATGTAGCTCCCATAGCCTCAGCTACTCAGGAGGCTGAGGCAGGAGGATCACTTGAGCTTAGGAGTCTGAGGCTGCAGTGAACTGTGACTGTGCCACTGCACTCCAGCATGGGTGACTGAGACCCCCATCTCTAAAAAAAAAAAAAAATCCAATAATTTTCAAGAAACCTGTAATAATTCCTCAGCTTTTTGTTCCTGGTTACTAGAAGCTTCCCACTCAATTATGAAGGATTTCTGGTTGCAGCAATATTTGAGCAGCTCTGCTGGGTACTTGCAACTTTGCCCATTTGCTCAGGGGTTGGGAATTCTCCTTGTGACACCTCTCTCAACATTATGAGGTCTGAAAAGCAACCTTGAAAAGAAGACACTGGAGACCTCTCAAAGGTGGGGCAGGGCCAGTGTGTGTCTGTAATAGACTCTATGAAGATACCCATTTCCCTACAATCAAAATTAAGTACAGAAAATGCGATTTCTCTGCATTTACATTTCATCTGCACAGAGTCACAGGCTACTTTCCCTTCAAAAGTATTGTGACATAAATATGATTTCTTCCATTGTTATGATAAAATAATTTGAATGTTGAGCCTTAAGTTCCAAGTTCAAATTGTTGTTTATGGTTGTTCTTATTATTGGAGTATGTGAAGATTGGCCAAATTTTTAGAGGCTGTTGGGAAAACCTGCTCATGAGAGTTTTTTATTTGCAAGAAAGGAAAAAACCACCAGTGTTAAAGTGCACTTTCTAATTAGCCAAAGTCTTGGCCAGGCGTTTACTGGCAAAAGCTGATCCGGTGAAATCTTGAATGTGCCATTCAGGTGTTTCAATTCCATGATGGGTTTATTTATTCAAAATGGCAGACTCATATTCAAGTTTTGTTTCTGGTGTTGCTTAAATTTATATGATGAGTAGTATATTAGTCCATTCTCACACTGCTAATAAGGATATACCCAAGACTGGGTAAAGGAAAGAGGTTTAATTGACTCACAGTTCAGCATGGCTGGGGAGGCCTCAGGAAACTTACAATCATGGCGGAAGGGGAAGCAAACATACCCATCTTCACGTGGCAGCAGCAAGGAGAAGTGCCGAGCAAAAGGAGGAAAAGCTCCTTATAAAACCATCAGATCTTGTGAGAACTCACTCAGTATCATGAGAACAGCATGAGGGTAATCTCCCATGTGATTAAATTACCTCCTACTGAGTTCCTCCCACAACATGTGGGCATTATGGCATCTACAACTCAAGATGAGATTTGGGTGGGGACACAGTCAAACCATATCAGGTAGTGTGACTTGAAGCCATCCCAAATTTCTGTGATAATTAAGAAAGACAACATAGGAATGTGTCCCCAGCATTAGGGAAGTAATGAGATGACTAAATAATAAAAATTACACTACTGCTGTTAAGGAGGTATTTAATTGTGTTACACTGAAATTTAAGCTACTACAAAATGTATAAAACATATGTGTATGATTTAAAGACTAGTGTACCAATATATCCATCACCCAAATGAAAAAATAGAATATTACTAGTATCTTGGAAGCCTCCATGTGCCTTTCTCCAAGCACATTCTCCCATCAGCCAGTTGAGTAATGGTTTAGATGAGAATCACCTGGGGAGCCTTTTGAACTGTATTGATACACTGATGCCAATCCTATTACACATTAGAATGAGGGGAGTCCAGGAACATGTGTGTGTATAGGTGTGTGTGTGTGTATAAAGTTTTTATTATAATATGCAGCTAAGGATAAAACCACTGCACTAAAAGAGTTCTTCTCAAACTATAATGTGCATACAAATCACCTAAAAATCCTGTTAAAATGCAGCCCATAAAATCTACCCTCTTAGCAAATTTCCAGTATACAAGACAATATTATTAACTATAGTTCTCATGGTGTATGTTACATCTATGGACTTATTCATCCTATGTAACTTTGAACCCTTTGGCCTACCCCTCTCATTTCCTTGCCCTCCTTCCACTCCCAGGAACCACCTTTCTACTCTGTTTCTATGTGTTCGACATTTTTAAAAAGATTCCACCTATGCATGAGATTGTGCAGTATTTGTCTTTCTGTGCCTGAATTATTTCAATGAGCACAATGTCTTCCAGGTTCATGTATGTTATCCCAAATGTCAGGATCTCCTTTCATTATGTGTATAGATTTTTTGGTGCTCTTACCACAAAAAAGGAACCTATATGAGATGATGGAACGTAGTAATCATTTCACTGTGTATATTTATATCAAAATGTCATGTTGTGCACCTTTAATATAAACAATTTTTAATAGAGAAAATGGAGCCTTTGAAGGATTTGCACGTCCTTTTTTAGGTTTTGTACTGAGTATTATATTTTTATTATGATTGCAAATGGTATCTTTACATTACAATACATTACAAGTGCATTACAATGTTGGTTTTTGTGAATTGATATTATTTAGCAAGCATGCTATACAATTTTACTAATTATGATAGTTTTTCTAGAGATTAATTTTCTATGTAGACAGTTGTATCACTTCGCAAATAATGACAATTTTGTTCCTTTCTATCCGATTCTTCTATGTGTCTCTCTTCCTCTCTCTCTCTCTTTTTTTTTTTTTTTTTTTGGCTTTTCTCACTTCATGGCTAAGCTTTCCAAACAATCTTAAAGAGAAAGGGTGACAGTGGATATTCGTGTTGTATTTCTGCTCTTAAAGAGAATGTTTTCAACATTTCATAATTACTTATGATGTTTTCTCAGAGTTTTTTTTTGAGGATGTCTTTTACAGAAAAAGTTATAAAAGCAGAAACACACAGAATAAAAAACAAAGTTCCAATAAAGAGAATCAACCCAGCCAAAGGCTGGGCCTTTCACAAGACTAACAAAGTGGACAAAAGCAAGATGTCTTTTATTAAAAAGTTGTTTTCTATTCTCAGCTTGCTGAATTTTTATCATGAATGGACATTGAATGTTATCGAATGACTTTTCTGCATTATTTAATTTTCTCCTTTAAAGATCTATTATAGTGGTGAGTTATATTAATTGATCTTGAATTCCCAGGATCAACCCAATATGTTAATCAACAGTGTTATCTTTAGACATTGCTACATTTGGTTAGCATATGTGTGTGTGTGTGTGTGTGTGTGTGTGTATATATATATATATATATATATTTTTTTTTTTTTTTTTTTTTTTTTTTTTTTGAGACTGAGTCTCACTCTGTTGCCCAGGCTGGAGTGCAGTGGTGTGATCTAGGCTCACTGCAAGCTCCACCTCCCGGGTTCACACCATTCTCCTGCCTCAGCCTCCCGAGTGGCTGGGACTACAGGTGCCCACCACCACGCCTGGATAATTTTTTTGTATTTTTAGTAGAGACGGGGTTTCACTGTGTTAGCCAGGATGGTCTCGATCTCCTGACCTCGTGATCCACCCATCTCAGCCTCCCAAAGTGCTGGGATTACAGGCGTGAGCCACCGCGCCCGGCCCAGCTTATATTTTGTTCAAGATTTTTATATCTATGTCAGGCTAGCCTCACAATCTCTTTTTTCATTCCCTGGAAGAAATTGAAATTGTCTGTTTCTTGGATATTTGGTCAAGCTAGAACTAGTCATTTGAATCTGTTGTTTTTTTGTGTCACAAGACTTTATTTATTTATTTAATTTTTTTTTTCGAGACAGAATCTTGCTCTCTAGTCCAGGCTGGAGTGCAGTGGCACGGTCTCGGCTCACTGTAACCTCGGCCTTCCAGGTTCAAGCGATTCTCCTGCCTCAGCCTCCTGAGTAGCTGGGATTACAGATGCCCACCACCATGCCTGGCTAATTTTTGTATTTTTACTAGAGACAGGGTTTTGCTATGTTGGGCCCAACTGGTCTTGAACTCCTTACCTCATGATCCGCCTGCCTCAGCCTCCCAAAGTGCTAGGATTACAGGCATGAGCCACCTCTCCTGGCTGCACAACACTTTTAAATTACAGATTTAGTTTTGCTAATGATTGAGATTTTTTCTAAGTTTGTGTATTAGTTTGCTAGGACTGCCATAACAAAGTGACACAGACTGCATGGCTGAATCAACAGAAATGTGTTTCCTCACAGTTCTGGAGGCTGGAAGTCCAAGATCAAGGTGTCAGCAGGGTTGGCTTCTCCCAAGGCCCCTCTCTTTGGCTTGTAGTTGGCCACCTTCTCCCCGTGTCTTCACTCAGTCTTTCCTCGGTGTATCTGTGTCCTTATCTCCTCTTATGACACCAATCCTATTGGATTATGGCCCACCCTAATGATCTCATTTATACTTAATGGCCTCTTTAAAGACACTATCTCCAAATACAGGCATATTCTTAGGTACAGGTGGTTAGGACTTTAACATATGGATTTGGAGGGAACACAGTTCAGCTCATAATACGATGTATTCATCTCCTCTAGGTTTTCAAACGAATTGTCCCAAATTTGTTCATATCTTATAATCTGTTTTCTCTCCAGCCTCTAGAGATATGTGCATATTAATTCTTAATTAGTTTATATGTCTCTCTGTTTTTGTTTCATTAATCTTGCTGTTGTCTATTTTATTAGTATTGTCGAAGGCCAAATTTTTAGCTTTGTTGATTCTCTATCTTGGAACTATGTTTTTTATTTTATGCATTTCTGCTTTTATGTTTATTTTGTTGTTTCTTCTACTTTTGGGGGAATTATTCAGCTGTTTTTTTTCTTGCTCCATAAATTGGATGCTTAGGTCACACAGTTGAGACGTCTTTTCCAGTTTAAGCATTTGAGGCTATAAAACTCACTCTTAATACCATTATATCTCATATATTTTTAATATGTACTAGTTTGTTATTCTATTTTAAATATTTTATAGTTTCCATTAGAGTCTCTCGCTTCTGTGAAATTCTTTAGAAGTGTGTTTTGTATCTCTAAAGGTATGAGGATTTTCTACCTTTTTTGCTATTGATTTCCAATGTAATTGTCTAGCGGTTAAATAATACGTTCTGAACAATGCCAACCTGCTGGAATTTATTGAGGTTTTCTTAAAGCCTAGCATGTGGTCACTTCTCTAAATGGGTAAATGTATACTTGAAAAGAATATATATTCTGAGAGAGAGAGAGAGAGCGAATCATAGATCCTGATTGTCTATTGTGCTATTCTAATTTTTAACATTATTACTGACTTAAAAAAATCTGTCTCTACCAATTACTAAAACAAATGTTAGAAAAACTTCAACTATGATTGTGGATTTGTTAATATCTCTTGTAGCTGTCAATTTTTTACTTCATGTTATTTGAAACTATATTATTAGTTGTATAAATGTTGTATCTTCCTAATGAGTAGAATCTTAATCATTAGGTATAATATATGTCTAATATTACCCAGAATTGTTTTGGTTAACATTTACCTGGCATATCTTTATTCACTTTTTTGATTAAAATACATTTTTTTTATAGACAGAGTCTTGCTTTGTTGCCCAGACTGGAATGCAGTGGCACGGTCATAGCTCACTATAATCTCAAACTCCTGGGCTCAAGCAACCTTCTCGCCTCAGCCTCCTGAGCAGCTGGGACTACAGGTATGTACCACCATGCCTCGCTAATTTTTTTATTTTTAATTTTGTGGTAGAGATAGGGTCTCACTATGTTGCCCAGGCTATTCTCAAAATCCTGGTCTCAAATCATCCTTCCGCTTCAGCCTCTAAAAGCACTGGGACTACCGGCATGAGCCACTATGCTTAGCCCTTTTTTTTTTTAATTACTGTATCCTTATGTTTTAGATAAGTCTTTTATAAATATCTTGATTTCATATTTTTTTTCAGTTTAATAATATTTGTCTTTTAATTGGCAGGTTTCACTTAACTATTTTTTTATCTATTTATATTTGGATTAATTTATTACATCTTGTTGTATATTTTCTATTTGTTGTGCTTTCTTTTTTCCTTTTCTTCTTCTTTTTTTTTTTTAGACAGAGTCTTGCTCTGTCACCCAGGCTGTGCAATGGCACGATCTTGGCTCACTGCAGCCTCTGCCTCCTGAATTCAAGTGATTCTCTTGCCTCAGCCTCTCGAGTAGCTGGGATTACAGGTGCCCACCACCACACCCAGCTAATTTTTGTATTTTTAGTAGAGATGGGGTTTTACCCTGTTGGCCAGTCTGGTCTCGAACTCCTGACCTCAGGTGATCCGCCTGCGTCGGCCTCCCAAAGTGCTGGGATTATAGGTGTGAGCCACCGCGCCTAGCCTCTTTTCTTCTTTATGAATTATTTATTTTTCCTTCTCTATTAGTTTAGAAGTTATATTGTGATGTCTATTATTTTAGCAGTAACTTTAGTTACTTAAAATGCATGGTTAACAGTCTAAAATTAATTACTAACTTTACCTTCTAATAAAAAGATACAAGTTCTTATAAGGCTATAATCCTGATCACCCCTTCCAAATTCTACACTATTTCTGTCTAGTATTTTTACTTTTCTTTTACCCTATAAACATTCTTATTGTTTTATTCTCAGTATTTGTTTATATTTACCTGATATTTGCCAGTATCTTTGCTCACCGTTCCTTGAATCTCAGACCTTCCTTTTGTAATAATTTAACTTATTCTTGTCCTTGAAATTTTCTTTCATGTGATTCTCCTAAAGTCAAGTTCAGCTTTTGTTTGCCTGAAAAGGTCTTTATTTTACCCCTTCTCTTGAAAGATTGTTTTACCAAGAACATAATTGTAGGTTGACAGATATTTTATCTCAGCACGTCAAAAATATGGTTCCACTGTCTTTTGAGTTACCTTGTTGATGCTGAGAATTCATCAGTATAATTGCCATTCCTAACTAAGTAATTCATCTTTTCTCTCTGATTGCTTTTATTATATAGTCTTCTCTTTTTCTTTGGTGTTCTGCAGTTTGGATCTTCCTAGGTGTGCATTGTTTTAATTTATCCTCCTTGTTATCAGTTGGGTTGGTTGTATATGAGATTGATATATATATTCAACAATTTCTGGGAAATTCAGCTATTTGATATCACCTTTATCCTCTCTATCTTCTCCTTCTGGAGGTCTAGGCAGCTGAGTTGTACTTTCTCACACTAACCTCTGTCTCTTCATGCATTTTTCATATTTTTTAGCTATTGATCTCTTTGTGCTATATTCTGGTTATTTCTTTAAATCTATCTTCCGGATAACTAATTTTCTTTTCAGACATGTATTATCTTCTGTTTAACTTTCCATTGAGTTTCTAGTTTCAGTGATTGTATTTTATCTCTAAAAGTTCTGCAGAGTTCTTTTCCAAAATAATCGATTGTATGATCTAACATTTCTACCAGCAATGTTCAGTGCTCTGCATTCTCACCAACACTTGGTGTGGTCATATTTGTAATTTTAGCAATTTTAGTGGATATGTAACGGTGCTTCATTGAAGCTTTAGTCTACATTTGTCTGATGACTAATGATATTGAGTATCTCTTTATGCACTTTATGGCTATTCCTATATCTTATCTTGTGAATGTGTAACATTTTTGTCTACTTTTAAAAATTATTTAACCTTATTATTGGATTGTTGATGTCTTCATATATTTTGTATACAATTCTTGGTCAGATATATGTCTTGTGAATATTTCTCCCAGTCTGTAGTTGTCTTTTCATTTTCTTAACTGTGTTTTTTAGTTCTTTTTATATTTTTTGTATTTACTAGAGCTTATATTTAATTGTGTCTTTTGAAGTATGGAAATGTTTGTTCATAAAGTCCAACTTATCAACTTTTCTTTTGTGTTAAGTGCATTCCGTGTTCTGTCTATAAAAGCTTTGCCTTTCCCAAGATTATGAAGGCTTTCTCCTGGAAAATTTATAATTTTAGCTTTTACAATTAGATATATGATTTATTTAAGGCTAGTTTTTCTCTATTGTGTGAAGTAAGGTTTAAGGTTTATTTTGTTTTCCATATAGATAACTAGTTGTTCCAATATCATTTGTTAAAAGATTATCTTTTCTCCCATTTGATTACCTTGGCACTTTTGTCAAAGATTAGCTGATCTTTTTTACATGTGGGCTTATTTTTGGACTCTGTGTCTATATATTGATACATGTCTATCCTTATATGGAAACTACACTGTCTTAATTACTGTAGCTTTATAGTAAACCTTGAGAGCACATAGAGTAAGTCCTCCAAATTTGTTCTTTTTTTTTTCAAAATAGTTTTAATTCTTCTAGGTCTTTTCATTTCTGTATTTTAGAACCAGCTTGGCAATTTATACAAAAAAAAGAGTCTTCTGGGATTTTGACTGGGATTGTGCTTATTCTGTAGATCCATTTGGGGAGAATTAATACCTTAACATTACAAAATACATGAACAAGGTACATCTCTCTATTTATCAAGATCTCTAATCTGTCGCCCAGGCTGGAGTGCAGTAGTGTGATAGGTGGCTAGCCAATTATCCCAGCACCATTTATTGAAAAGGATGTCCTTTCTCCACTTTATATTTTTGTTTGCTTTGTTGAAGATTAGTTGGCTGTAAGTATTTGGGTTTATTTCTGGGTTCTCTATTCTGTTCCGTTGGTCTGTGTGCCTATTTTTATACCAGTACCATGCTGTTTTGGTGACTACGGCCTTATAGTATAGTTTGAAATCAGGTAGTGTGATGCTTCCAGATTTGTTCTTTTTGCTTAGTCTTGCTTTGGCTATGTGGGGTCTTTTTCAGTTCCATATGAATTTTAGAATTGTTCTTTATAATTCTGTGAAGAATGATGATGATATTTTGATGGGGATTGCATTGAATTTGTAGATTGCTTTTGGCAGTATGGTCATTTTCACAATATTGATTCTTGCCCATCCATGAGCATGGGACGTGTTTCCTTTTGTTTGTGTTATCTATGATTTCTTTCAGCAGTGTTTTGTAGTTTTCCTTGTAGAGGTCTTTTGACTCCTTGGTTAGGTATATTCCTAAGTATTTTATTTTTTTGCAGCTATTGTAAAAGGGGTTGAGTTTGTGATTTGATTCTCCACTTGGTCACTGTTGGTGTGTAGAAGAGCTACTGATTTCTGTACATTAATCTTTATCCAGAAACTTTGCTGAATTCTTTTATCAGTTCTAGGAGCTTTCTGGAGGAGTCTTTAGGGTTTTCAAGGTAAATGATCATATCATCAGCTAACAGTGACAGTTTGACTTCCCCTTTACTGATTTGCATGCCCTTTATTTCTTTCTCTTGTCTGATTGCTCTGGTTAGGACTTTCAGTACTACATTGAAGAGGAGTGGTAAGAGTGAGCATCCTTGTCTTGTTCCACTTCTCAGAGGGAATGCTTTCAACTTTTCCCCATTCAGTATTATGTTGGCTGTGGGTTTGTCATAGATGGCTTTTATTATACTGAGGTATGTCCCTTGTATGCCGATTTTGCTGAGAGTTTTAATCATAAAGGGATGATCATGTGATTTTTGTTTTTAATTCTGTTTATGTGGTGTATCAAAAATTTATTGACTTGCATATGTTAAACCATCCCTGCCTCCTTGGTAGGAAACCCACTTGATCATGGTGGATTATCTTTTCGATATGTTGTTGGATTTGATCAGTTACTATTTTGTTAAGGATTTTAACATCTGTGTTCATCAGGGGTATTGGTCTGTAGTTTTCTTTTTTGATTATGTCCTTTCCTGGTTTTGGTATTAGGGTGATGCTGGTTTCATAGAATGAATTAGGGAGGGTTTCTCTACCTTGTGGAATGGTGTCAAAAGGATTGGTACCAATTCTTCTTTGAATGTCCAGTAGAATTCTGCTGTGAATCCATCTGGTTCTGAACTTTTTCTTGTTGGTAATTTTTTGATTACCATTTCAATCTCACTGCTTGTTATTGTTCTGTTTAGGGTATCTAATTCTTCATGATTTAAGCTGGGAGGGTTGTATTTTTCCAGGAATTCATCCATCTCTTCTAGGTTTTCTAGTTTATGTGCATAAAGGCGTTCACAGTAGCCTTGAATGATCTTTTGTATTTCAGTGGTATCAGTTGTAAAATCTCCTATTTCATTTCTCAATGAGGTTATTTGGATTTTCTCCCTTCTTTTCTTGGTTAATCTTGCTAATAGTCTATCAATTTGATTTATCTTTTCAAAGAACCAGCTTCTTGTTTCATTTATCTTTTTATATTTTTGTTGTTGTTGTTGTTGTTTCAATTTCATTAAGTTCTGCTCTGATCTTGGTTATTTTCTTTCTTCTGCTAAGTTTGGGTTTGGTTTGTTTTTGTTTCTCTAGTTCCTTGAGGTGTGACCTTAGAGTATCAGTTTCTGCTCTTTCAGTCTTTTCGATGTAGGCATTTAGGACTATGAACGCTCCTCTTAGCACTGCCTTTGCTGTATCCCAGAGATTTTGATAGCTAGTATCATTATTGTTGTTCAGTTTGAAGAATTTTTTAAATTTCCATATTGATTTTGTTTTTGACCCAATGTTCATTCAGGAGCAGGTTTTTAAATTTCCATGTATTTGCATGGTTTTGTAGGTTCCTTTTGGAGTTGATTTCCAGTTTTATTCCACTGTGGTCTGAGAGAGTGTTTGATATAATTTCAATTTTCTTAAATTTATTTAGGCTCATTTTGTGGCCTATCATATGGTCTGTCTTGGAGAAAGTTCCATGTGCTGTTGAATAGAATGCATATCTTGCGGTTATTGGATGAAATGTTCTGTATGTATCTGTTAAGTCCATTTGTTCCAAGGTATAATTTAAATCCATTGTTTCTTTGTTGACTTTCTGTCTTGATGACCTGTCTACTGCTGTCAGTGACGTATTGAAGTCCCCCACTATTATTGTGTTGCTGTCTATCTCATTTCTTAGGTCTATTAGTAATTGTTCTATAAATTTGGGAGTGTCAGTGTTAGGTGCATATATGTTTAGGATTGTGATATTTTCCTGTTGGACAAGGCCTTTTACCATTATATAATGTCCCTCTTCGTCTCTTTTAACTGCTGTTGCTTTAAAGTTTGTTTTGTCTGATATAAGCATAGCTAACCCTGCTCACTTTTGGTGTCCATTTGCATGAAATGCCTTTTTCCACCCCTTTACTTTAAGTTTATGTGAGTCCTTATGTGTTAGGTGAGTCTCCTGAAGGCAGCAGATAGTTGGTTGGTGAGTTCTTATCCATTCTGCAGTTGTGTATCTTTTTTTTTTTTTTTTTTTGAGATGGAGTCTTGTTCTGTCACCCAGGATGGAATGCAGTGGCATGATTTCAGCTCACTGTAACCTTTGCCTCCTTGGTTCAAGCGATTCTCCTGCCTCAGCCTCCTGAGTAGCTGGAATTACAGGCATGTGCCACCATGCCTGGCTAATTCTTGTATTTTTAGTAAAAACAGGGTTTTGCCATGTTGGCCTGGCTGATCTCAAACTCCTGACTTCAGGTGATCCACCTGCCTTGTCCTCCCAAAGTGCTAGGATTACAGGTACAAGCCACTGTGCCCAGCTGGTTCTGTATCTTTTAAGTGGAACATTTAGGCCATTTATATTCAATGTTAGTATTGAGATGTAAGGTATCATTTGATTCATCATGCAGTTTGTTGCCTGTGTACCTTGGTTTTTTGGTTTTTCATTTTTGCTTTTTAAATTGTATTTTTGTTTTATAGGTTCTGTGTGGTTTATGCTTTAAAGAGGTTCTGTTTTGATGTGTTTCCAGGATTTGTTTCAAGATTTAGAGCTCCTTTTAGCAATTCGTATAGTGGTGGCTTGGTAGTGGTGAATTCTCTCAGCATTTGTTTGTCCGAAAAAGACTATCTTTCCTTCATATATGATGCTTAATTTCACTGGATCCAAAATTCTTGAGTGATAATTGTTTTGTTTGAGGAGGCTGAAGATAGGGCCCAAAGATTTCTAGCTTGTAGGGTTTCTGCTGAGAAGTCTGCGTTAATCTGAAAGGTTTCCTTTATAGGTTACCTGGTGCTTTTGTCTCACAGCTCTAAAGATTCTTTCCTTCATCTTAACTTTAGATATCCTGATGACAATGTGCCTAGGCGATGATCTTTTTGCAATGAATTTCCCAGGTGTTCTTTGTGCTTCTTGTATTTGGACGTCTAGGTCTCTAGTAAGACCAGGAAAGTTTCACTCAATTATTCCCCCAAATATGTTTTCCAAACTTTTAGATTTCTCTTCTTCCTCAGGAACACCAATTATTCTTAGGTTTGGTTGTTTACTATAATTCCAGACTTCTTGGAGGATTTGTTCATATTTTCCTATTCTTTTTTCTTTGTCTTTGTTGGATTGGGTTAATTCGAAGACCTTGTCTTCAAGCTCTGAATTTCTTTCTTCTACTTGTTCAATTCTATTGCTGAGACTTTCCAGAGCATTTTGCATTTCTATAAGTGTGCCCAATGTTTCCTGAAGTTTTTATTGTTTTTTCTTTATGCTATCTATTTCCTTGAATATTTCTCTCTTCACTTATTGCATCATTTTTTGGATTTTCTTGCTTTGCCTTTCTCTGGTGCCTCCCTGATTAGCTGAATAACTAACCTACTGAATTCTTTTTCAGGTAAATCAGGGATTTCTTCTTGGTTTGGATCCATTGCTGGTGAACTAGTGTGATTTTTTCGGGGGTATTAAAGAGCCTTGTTTTGTCATATTACCAGAGTTGGTCTTCTGGTTCCTTCTCATTTGGGTAGGCTCTGTCAGAGGGAAGGTCTAGGGCTGAAGGCTGTTGTTCAGATTCTTTTGTCCCACAGGGATTTTCCTTGATGTAGTACTCCCTGGCTTTTCCTATGGATGTGGCTTCCTGTGAGCCAAGCTGTAGTGATTGTTATCTCTCTTCTGGGTCTAGCCCCCCAGCAAGAGAGTCCTGTGATGTGAATAATCTATGAGTCTCTCAGCTGTGAATACCGGCAGCTGTTCTGGTGGAGGTTGTAGGAGGGTGAAATGGACTGTGTGAGGGTTCTTAGCTTTGGTGGTTTAATGCTCTATTTTTGTGCTGGTTGGCCTCCTGCCGGGAGGTGGGGCTTTCCAGAGAGCATCAGCTGTGGTAGTATGGTGAGAAGCCGGTGGTGGGCGGGGCCCTAGAACTCCCAAGAGTATATGCCCAGTGTATGCCCTTTGTCTTCAGCTACCAGGGTGGGTAGGGAAGGCCCATCAGGTGGGGCCAGGGCTAGGTGGGTCTGAGCTCAGACTCTCACTGGGTGGGTCTTGCTGCAGCTGCTGTGGGGGTTGGCGGTGAGGTTCCCAGGTGATCCCAGGTCAATGGAGTTGTGTACCTAGGAGGATTATGGCTGCCTCTACTGAGTCATGCAGGATGTTAGGGAAGTGGAGGACAGCTGGCAGTCACAGGCCTCACCCAGCTCCCACGCAATCCAAAGGGTCAGTCTCACTTCCACTATGGCCCCCTAACAGCCCCGAGTCTGTTTCCAGGTAGTGGGCGAGCAGGGCTTGAGAACTTGCCCCAGGTTACCTGCCTCCCAGCTGTGAAAGAAAAGGGCTTTGGTTCTTCCCCTGCTTGTGGAGTCTGCACATCGGATTTGCACCCTCCCCCGAGTTCTGGCCAGGGGGCTTCTCATCCAGTTCAAATTGTTACAAAGTGGCCAGGCGCGGTGGCTCACGCTTGTAATCCCAGCACTTTGGGAGGCCGAGGTGGGCAGATCACAAGGTCAGGAGATCGAGACCATCCTGGCTAACACGGTGAAACCCTGTCTCTACTAAAAATACAAAAAATTAGCCGGGCGTAGTGGCGGGCGCCTGTAGTCCCAGCTATTCCGGAGGCTGAGGCAGGAGAATGGTGTGAACCCGGGAGGCGGAGCTTGCAGTGAGCAGAGATCGCACCACCGCACTCCAGCCTGGGCGACAGAGTGGGACTCCGTCCGAAAAAAAAAAAAAAAAAAAAAATTGTTACTAAGTTCAGCTGGAGACTTCCTTCTCCCTGTGACATTTTCCCCCGCGCCTCTGGCCGCCATCCCGAAGGATCCCTGTGGCGCCAGGCAGCAATGTCCTGCTTGGGGACCCAGCGAGCTCCCAGGGCCTTTCCCGTTGCTTCCTCTACCCCTGTATTTTGCTCAGCTCTGAATTGACTCAGCTCCAGGTAAGGTCAGAAACTTCTCCTGCAAACTAGACCTTCGTTTCCCCAGTGGGGGTGTGTGTTTGGGGTGGAGGGTCTCCCTTTCTCACTTTCGCAGTTTGGGCACTCACAGTATTTGGGGTGTCTCCCGGTCCTGCAGGAGCAGCCTGCTTCCTTCAGAGGATCTGTGGGTCCTCTCAGGATTGCTGGGTTGTTCTGCAGTGGTTCTGGAGCTGGAATTGATGATGCGAGGCTCCGCACGCTGCTGTCTGTCCGAGTTGGAGCTGCAATCTGGTCCTGCCTGCCATCCGCCATGATGATCTCTTTCTGACCCGGGGCATATTTAATGTCTTATTTCTATTAACGTTCTATTCATGATGATATATATTCTCTAAGATGATAAAAGCTTTCACTTTCTCTACAGCTATCCTCTCTTCTTCTTGAGCTCTCACCAGACTATAACATCCGTATTTCTACTAAAGTCTTTTCATGGCAAATTAGGCTTTTTCTAGCATGCACCTCAAAGTTCATTTAGCCTCTACCCATTATCCATTTCCAAAGTCACTTCCACATTTTTAGGTGTTTGTTACAGTGGCACTCCGTTTCTTGGTACTGAAATATGTATTATCATTATTATTATTAACAGCTTGGGCTGCCATAACAGAACACCACAGACTGGATGGTTTAAATAACAGAAATTTATTTTCTCACAGTTCTGGCGACTAGAAGTTCAAGATCAAGGTGCCAGAAAATTTGGTTTCTGGGGAGGGCTCTCTTGGCTTGCAGAGTGCTGCCTTCTCCTGTGTCCTTCTAGGGCCTTTCTTCTATGCATGTGTGGAGAAAGAGAGAGAGCTCTGGCGTCTCTTCCTCTTCTTGTAAGGCCACTAGTGCTAATGGTTTAGGGCCTCAATCTTTTTTTTTTTTTTTTTTTTTTTTTTTTTTTTTTTTTTTTTTGAGACAGTGTCTGGCTCTGTCACCCAGGCTGGAGTGCTATGGTGCGATCTCGGCTCACTGCAACCTCCGCCTTTGGGTTCAAGAGATTCTCCTGCCTCAGCCTCCTGAGTAGCTGGGATTACAGGCATGCATCACCATGCCTGGCTAATTTTTGCTTAGGGCCTCAATCTTATGACCTAATTTAATTATTTCCTTAAAGGCTCTATCTCCAAATACAATGGCACTGGGGATGAGGGCTTTCACATCTGGATTTTGGGAGGACACAATTTGGCCCAAACAGTTTTCTGTCCTTTTCCATTTTTATTTTTGGCAATTTAACTATAGGTTTATCAACTTTGCTGATATTTTCAAAGAACTAGCTTTGGGATTTATTAATTTTCTCTATTGGATGTCAATTTCTATTTCATCAATTTATACTCTTATCTTTATTATTCCCTTTCCTCTACTTACTTTCATTTAATTTGCCTTCTACAGTGGTTCCCCCCGCCGCCATCCAGTTTTATTTTCCACAGTTTCAGTTACCCGTGGTCAACTGTGGTCTAAAAATATTAAAGGGGAAATTCCAGAAGTAAACAATTCATGTGTTTTAAATTGTGTGCCATTCTGAGTAGCATGATGGAAACTCCCACTGTCCTGCTCTGTCCTGCCCAGGATGTGAATCATCCCTTTATTCAGTATATCTCAGCTTTATATGCTGCCTGCCTGTTAGTCACTTGGTAGCTGTCTCAGTTATCAGATTGGCAGATCACAGGAAGATGGATGAGTGTAGTAAAATGACATATTTTGAGAAAGAGAGAGAGAGACCACATTCACATAACTTGTATGACAGTACGTTACTATAATTGTTCTATTTTATTATTAGTTATTGCTGTTAATCTCTGACTGTGCCTAATTTATAAATTAAACTTTCTCATAGGTTTATATGTATAGGTAAAAACATAGTATGCATAGGGTTTGGTATTGTCCATGGTTTCAGGCATCCACCGCGGAAGGTGGGGGGGGTCATAAAATGTATCCCTTGTGGAGAAGAGGGGGCCACTATATTTTTAGCTTCTTATTGACTGATTTTTCTCCTGGTTTTCAGCCACTGTTTTCTGCTCTTGCATGTCTAGCAATTTTTTCTTGGATGCTGAAAATTTTGAATAGTATGTTGTTCATGTCTTGGTTTTGCTAAATTTCTTTAAAATGTGTTGACATTTATTTTGGCAGGTAGTTAAGAAACTCACAGTTCCACTTCACCTTTTGGGGCTTGTCTCAGGCTTTTGCTGGGGTAGATCAACAATAGTCCTTGCTCTAGGCCTAGTTTAGCTCCAGATCTAAAGCATCATCTTAATAATGCCCTAGACGTTAGTGAGGTTTTTCCACACTGGTTGGCATGGGGTTTTGTTTGTTTGTTTTTTGTTTTTTGTGTTTTTTTGAGACAATCTTGCTGTGTTGCCCAGGCTGGGGTGCAGTGGTGGAATGCAATCTTGGCTCACTGCAACCTTTGCCTCAGGGCTCAAGCAATCCTCCCTGCTTAGCCTCCCAAGTAGCTGGGACTACGCGCGCATGCCACCGCACCTGGCTAAGTTTTATATTTTTAGTAGAGATGGGGTTTTACCATGTTGCCCAGACTGGTCTTGAACTCCTGGGCTCAAGTGATCCGCAAACCTTGGCCTCCAAAAGTGCTGGGATTATAGGTATAAGCCACTGTGCCTGGCTGGCATGTTTTCATTATCTCCCAGCCCAAAGTGAGCTCTGAGAATTGTTTGGCTTACAGCTTCCCAGGAGACCCTTGCCAGACCCATCCATGGACATATTAATATTCAGCAATAGGCTCAAGGGAATCCCTCTGTTGATTTCTATATCTCTTTATCTGTACAGATCCTACCCCTCAGTATTCTGCCTGGCAAATTCCTGCTACTTGAGGCCCCCTTGTCTCACTTAATGAAATCCCCATGTATTGCTTGGATTCTCTCTCCCTGCAGCACAGTCCAAAAAATACCTCCAGGCAGACAGCTGAGGTGGGACTTACCCTGTTTTCCCCCCTTTTATCACATATCAAAGTCCTGTGAGATCGCTTGTCCAGTGTCTAAGTCTGATAGAAAATTTGAATTTGATATGAAGCGTTTCATACCGTTGTTCAGTTTTCCAATTGTTGACGGTAGGAGGGCAAGGCCAGCACTATTTACTCCAATATGGTTAAAAATGGCAGCGTTACAATGCCTTTTAATTCATCTCTCTGATTCTATCCTCGTAATTCTCCAATCTATTTTTTCACATACCTTCCAGGGTAATCTTCTGAAAACAGAAGTCAGATTGTGCCGCTCCTTTGTTGAAGATTCTCAGCTGGTTTCCCACCTCTCTCAGAGTAAAGCCCTAAATGCCTGCCCTTGTCTAAGTCCCGCCATTACTTGGCTCCAGGTTCCCTTCTTCATTCATTGCCGTCTTCATTGCCCCCTCCTTCCCCGGATTCACGCTGCGTCGGCCATTTTGATTTCCTTCTTGTTCCTTGAACACCCTAGCACATGCCTGCCTTCGAACCTTTGCACTTGCTCTCCCCAGTGCTTGGGTCTCTGCCTGAATCTGCCTGACTCACCTGCTCTTCTTCAGCTCTCTGCTCGGACGTCAACGCATCATAGAGCCTTCTCTGACCAGTCCATTGTAAACCACCTCAGCCCCTGCACTTGATGTTCTATTCCCTCCCCTGCTTTATTTTTCTTCATAGCGTTTCCAACCACCCAGGATATTACGTATTTGTTTACTCTCTTGTCTCTCCCAGCTAGAATACAAGTTCTGTGTGAGCAAGGACTTTTTTGTTCACTGCTATATCCTGAGTGACTAGAACAGAGTGCCTAGCTCAGCAAATATTTTCTGAGTAGTGCTTAAATGAGCCAGGAGCAATAACAGAAATTCTATTTTCAACTCAGATCCTGAATCTGAGATGACTAAACTCCCACAACGGGATTTCAACCGCCTTCCTATCATTGTAGCTTGCAGAGTAAAGCTGATTATTTCAAAGTGATCATTGGCAGAATGAAAGATTTGGCAGGGAGGGAGGAAGTAAGGGAAGGAAAGAGAGAGAGAGAGAGAGAGAGACAGAGAGAGAGACAGACAGAGACTGAGTTGCCAAGCCAAATAAACAGAAAACCCATTCCAGGATTTTCAGTATGGAGGAACTAGAAGTTGATGATAGGACTGACAGAGCCTCCTCAAAGTTGTACATATTGATGCTCAAATTAATAATAAATGTACAATCTGGTTTTTTTTTTTTTTAAGACAGAGTCTTGCTCTGTCACCCAGGCTGGAGAGCAGTGGCGTGATCTCGGCTCACTGCAACCTCCGCCTCCCGGGTTCAAGAGATTCTACTACCTCAGCCTCCTGAGCAGCTGGGACTACAGGCGCGCACCACCATGCCTGGCTAATTTTTTGTATTTTTAGTAGAGACGGGGTTTCACTGTGTTAGCCAGGATGGTCTCGATCTCCTGACCTCTTGATCCGGCGGCCTCGGCCTCCAAAGGTGCTGGGATTACAGGCAAGAGCCACTGTGCCCAGCCACAATCTTCCTTTTTTAAGACGGTGCCTTGCTCTGTTGCTCAGGCTGGAGTGCAGTGGCACGATCATACTTCACTGCAGCCCTGAACTCCTGGGCTCAACCGATCCTCCTGCCTCAGCCTCCCAAAGTGCTGAGATTATAAGCATGAAACACCAAGCCCAGGCTCCAAGTTCTCACTACAAAGTCAGGGTAGGTTGTCTTATCAACTCTTTTCGTAAACCTCATTAGGTGCCATGGTACAGAGCTCCTGTAGGATAAAGACCCCTTGCCTGAGAAGCTCCTGCCTGAGCATCCCGCTTAAGATTGCTATGTTCCAAGTGGAAAAGCTGGGAGCAGAATCAGCTAGAAAATTGTTCAGACTCAGCTTGTCTGGTATTGGTCGGTAAGTGCTACATATTTACTTTATTTGTTTTCAGTTTTCTCTTTTCCGGGTTAATTATTAATTTAATAATGGGTTTCTGGTGGGACTACCTACCAGCAATGAAAAACATTTTTATAATTCATGCATTTTCATGAACTTGCCTTTCACATATTCTATTTCAGACCAGATCCAGGTTTTACAAGCACGTTTTTTAGTGTTGATAGACTTCATAAAAATTGTTTCCTTTACAATTTTTTTCTGTCTTTAACATAAAACCCAATAAAATGATAAGACACATGACTTTGCCAATTATTCTCCACTTATTGTGAAAATTAGATTGCATTTGATCTTTAGCCAGAATATATATAAAATATGTTCTGTGATGAAATAGCATTTACTTTTATTGTATTTATAGATCTTGGTTAGAGAAAAAAACTGGATGTATTGAGTGTTATAAAGAAGAAAAATTATTAAATTATTACTTGCCAGGGTTCTTCTTTCCTACCTTTTCTGGAGGAAAATTGTCAATTCAGAATTTCTCTTATGGGTCTCAGAAGCTAGTAACTTATTGACTGCAGAAAATGGCTTGTTTTACACTTATATGCAGGAGAAATATCACCTCTTAAAAAGCCTCTAGTGTGATATATAATATACAACTTATGCAATAGCTGTAGGTAGATATAACACGAATTATAGAGATGCACAGAAATATATTTTGGGGCTTCTCTACACATCTTCAAAGATTTTTCTTCTGAGGCCCATTCCCAGGGCTTTTTGTTTAGACTAAAGGAAAGATGACTATGTGGTCTTCACTGACAGTCCTTGTGATTTATGAGTTTCAGTCTAAAGTTTAGTCTAAAAAGCAAACATGCCTTATTCTCACCTGAGCATTTGAAAAGCCTCTGTGGCATTAAATATTTATAAGTTTTTGGAGATTGAAGAAATGTATTTGTAGATTATTGCGTGAAACATGTAAACTGAGAATTCGGTTTTACCTTCATAACTTTGACATAGTTGGTGCTACAGATATTTGATGGAATTCTACTGTCTATGATAATGAAATCATGATTCAAGGTTACAGTTTGTTTAGGGCACACAGGAAGAGGCAAGATGAATCTATGCTGTGCTTTTCTGATTTGCACCCCTAAAGTTCTGCCGTGAAACTCTAGGATCAGACATTCGTTTATGTAAAAACATGTATTACATAGCAGGAACTAATCTCTTTCTAATGTCACCTTATTCCACAGAATATTAATATTAGGAAATATAGTTGCATGTGGCTTTATGTTGGATTCTGACTATCTAAGCCATTTTTGTCCATAAACAAATAAAAAGGATTTTAAGACTGTAATGTAATTTCAGCAATCCTGGAAACTTTCTAGTAATAAGAATACATATTCAAAAGCACCCATCCTTCTTGCCGACGCTCAGATAGTTTAAAAATAGTCTTCCATGAAAATCCTATAGTGTTTCAAAATGCGTCTAAGCCTAAGCCAAATGCTAGTTTGAAAAGTGAAGGTACTTCCACTTCTTTCTCTCTTTTTCTCTCTCTTTCTCTCTTTCCCTCCCTCCCTCCCTCCCTCCCTTCCTTCCTTTCTCTCTTTCTTTCTCTCTCTTTCTTTCTTTTCTTTCCTTCCCTCCCTCCCTCCTTCCTTCCTTTATTCCCTCCCTCCCTCCCTTCCTTCCTTTCTCTCTTTCTTTCTCTCTCTTTCTTTCTTTTCTTTCCTTCCCTCCCTCCCTCCTTCCTTCCTTTATTCCCTCCCTCCCTCCCTTCCTTTTTTCCTTCCCTTTTTCCTTCCTTTTTTCCCTCCCTCCTTTCCTTTTTCCTTCCCTTTTTCCTTCCTTCCTTCTCTCCCTTCCCTTCCTTCCTCCCTACATCCCCACTCCTTCCTTCCTTTCTTCCTTCTTTCCTTCCTTCCTTCCTTCCTTCCTGCCTTCCTGCCTTCCTTCCTCCTTCCTCCTTCCTTCCTTCCTTCAGGGGGAGACAAAGTCTCGCTCTGTCCCCAGGCTAGAGTGCAGTGGCACAACCATGGCTCACTGCAGTCTCAAACTCTTGGGCTCAAGCGATCCTCCCACCTCAGCCTCCAGAGCAGCTGGGATTGCAGGTACGTGCCACCATGCCTGGCTAATTTTGTTTTTGTTTTTGTTTTTTTTTTTTTTGAGACGGAGTCTCGCTCTGTCGCCCAGGCTGGAGTGCTGTGGCGCGATCTCGGCTCACTGCAAGCTCCGCCTCCCGGGTTCACGCCATTCTCCTGCCTCAGCCTCCCGAGTAGCTGGGACTACAGGCGCCCGCTACCACGCCCGGCTAATTTTTTGTATTTTTAGTAGAGACGGGGTTTCACCATTCACAGGATGGTCTCGATCTCCTGACCTCGTGATCCACCCACCTCAGCCTCCCAAAGTGCTGGGATTACAGGCGTGAGCTGCTGCGCCCAGCCTGCCTGGCTAATTTTTAAAAATTTTATTATTTAGAGAGATGGGAGCTGGTTATTTTGCCCAGACTAGTCTCAAACCCCTGGGCTCAAGCAATTCTCCTGTGTCAGCCTCCCAGAGTGCTGGGATTACATATCTGCGCCACCACATTGAACCACTTCCCCTTTTTTGTGATAGAAGAAGGAGCCTGAGGTCTCCTTGTCAATGAAGACTTGTCAAGAAGCCCTCCTGGTACCACGGGAATTAGCTCAGTTAGCCTGTGCACATGGGCGAAATCTGCTTGCGGACATGCAGGATTAAATAAATATAACGGTCAAAGAAGAAATACTGAGGTCTAGAATCAATATTTACTCGTGGTATATTTGCTTGGGAAACTGATTTTAGCCTGTTGTCACAGTAAGAGTGGCAGTGCCCAGCACCCACTTCTATGGGAGACCAGACATAGGCTTGCCAAGATGAGGAAGGAGCCATCCCCTAGAAGGCGGGTGTGGCAGGAGAGTCGAAGATTAAGTGGAGGAGCATGGCTGGGTGCCAGCCACGAGGTCCTTTTCCTTGTCAGGTAGCAGCTGCAAATCCTCCTGGCTTCTGAGGTAAATATTCCTGCAAACTGATGAATATCAGGAGCCATAGCTTCAGAGGAGGGATTTATCTCTCTGAAGATGCACTGGAGGAGGGAATGTGGGGAGAACACAGAAGAGCAGCTCTCTTCCTTTGTGAGTCTAAAGACGACTCCGTTAGGATTGCACTTCCTGCTATAGTGCAGGACACAAAAATGTGGTGAGGCCAACAAGAGAGCCGTCTAATTTGCATTCGAGTCTGAGTTCAGAGCTTGTTTTCTGGGTTGGCAGGTGACTCTCCTCCACATGTCATTCAGCAACTCAGGCTGACAGGAATGATAGAAAGACAAGTCTACGGTTAGAGATTTTCTCTTAGGCAAGTGATATGGTTTGGCTGTGTCCCCATCCGAATCTCATCTTAAATTCCCCTGTGTCGTGGGAGGGACCCGGTGGGAGGTAATTAAATCATGGAGGCAGGTCTTCCCATTGCCGTTCTCATGATAGTGAATAAGTCTCATGAGATCTGATGGTTTTAAAAACAAGAGTCTCCTTGCACAAGCTCTCTTCTCTTATCTGCTGCCATGTGAGACATGCCTTTCACCTTCAGCCATGATTCTGAGGTCTCCCCAGCCACGTGGAACTGTGAGTCCAATTAAACCTCTTTTTCTTCCCAGTCTCGGGTATGTCTTTATCAGCAGTGTGAAAATGGACTAATACAGCAAGTGAGGAGAAAATTTTACACATTATTAATATTATTATT
Organism: Homo sapiens; assembly: GCF_000001405.40. NCBI lineage: Eukaryota > Metazoa > Chordata > Mammalia > Primates > Hominidae > Homo > Homo sapiens. The sequence goes on along the minus strand of NC_000004.12, from coordinate 182,968,979 downwards.
ATTATTATTTTAAGATAGGGTCTTGCTCTGTTGCCCAGGCTGGAATGCAATGGCATGATCTCAGCTCACTGCAGCATTGACCTCCCAGACTCAAGTGATCCTCCCACCTCAGCCTCCTGAGTAGCTGGGACCACAGGCATGTGCCATCATGCCTGGCTAATTTTTATTTTTTTGTAGAGACAGGGTTTCACCATGTTGGCCAGGCTGGTCTCAAACTCCTGGGCTCAAGTGATCCTCCCACCTCGACCTCCCAAAGAGCTGAGATTACAAGCATGAACCACCATGCCTGACCTACTCGTTATTTTTTATCTCATTTCTTTTCCAAGAGTGGTGTCATTTGGGCACACCCAAATAAATGGAGTCATTTACTGAGGAGGGCTGAAAAATGCCATCATCACTTGGACAGTCTTTTGAGAAAGTCTGGACTACATCTTAGGTAAGTGTTCAGAAGGGTTTCATGTACTGCTGGCTCTGAAACAGTGAAGGGCCTGAGATGTCACCCTCCTTGTACAGTCACACAGACACACACATACACAAGACACCCACGCAAGCAGAAACACTAGCCCTCTGGATCAGAGAAAATAAACACTTATTTCTTTAGAGAACTTCTTAGTGCCAATTCTTAGGAGATACATTCTAAAGTATTTTTAGACTAAAAATGTCATGATGTCTGCAATAAATTTTTTGGCAACAGCTATATAAGATACAATTCACCCATTTAAATTATACGTTTCACATTCATTTAAATTCTACATTTTAAATTATACATTTTCATTCATTTAAATTATTTACTTTTTTTGCATGTTTACAGAATCATGAATCATCAAGACAATGAATTGTAGAACATTTTCATCACCTCCAAAATAAACTTTATACCCTTTAACTATCACCTCTCAATCCTTACAGCCCCCTCTAGCCCTAGGTAGCCACGAATTACTTTCAGTCTCTAGAGACATTCATATGCTAGACATTTTATATGAATGGAATCATACAATATGTGGTCTTTTATGACTGGCTTCTTTTATTTAGCATAATGTTTTCAAGGTCATCTATGTTGTAGCATGTATCAGTATGCCATTCCTTCTCACTGATAAGTCATATTCCATTGTATAGATATACTACATTTTGTTTCTTCATTCATCGATTGATGGACATTTGGATTATTTTCACTTTTTGACTATGAAGAATAATGCTGCTATTAACATTCTTGTTTATGTTTATGAATGGTCATATGTTTTTATTTTTCCTAGGGGTAGAATTGCAGTTGAGTGTTTCTATCATGAAAGGTTGTTGGATTTTGTCAAATGTTCTTTCTGCATTTATTGAGTAACTGTGTGGTCTTTGCCCTTCATTCTATTGATTAAGTGTATTACATCAATTGATTTTTGAATGTTAAACTAACCTTGCATTCCTAGGACAAAACTCATTTAGTCATGGTGTATGATCCTTTTATATGTTGCTGAGTTCAGTTTGCTAATATTTTGTTGAGGATTTTTACATTTATATTCATAAGAGATGTTGGTCTGTAGTTTTATTTTCATGTGAAATTTTGTCTGGTTTTGGTATCAGAGTATTTCTGACCTCATAGAATGATTTAGGAAGTTTTCCCCACTTTTCTGTTCTTTTGGAAGAGTTTGGGAAGAATCGCTGTTAATTATTCCTTAAATGTTTGGTAGAATTCACCAGTGAAGCACCTGGGCCTGAGCTTTTCTTTGTGGGAAGTTTTAAAAACGTTTTATTACTAATTCAATGTTTTTGCTTATTATACACGCCATTTGAATTCTTCTTGAGTCAATTTTACTAGAAATTTATCTATTTCATCTAAGTTATCTAACTTATTGAGACACAGTTGTTCATAGTATTCCCTTATAATTATTTTTATTTCTTTAAGGTTGGCAGTAATGTCCCCTCTTTCATTTCTGATTTTAGTAATTTGAGTCTTCTCTCTGTTTCTTGATTAATCTCGCTAAAGGCTTGTCAATTTTTTTGGTCATTTCAAAGAACCAGCATTTGATTTTATTGATTTTCACTGTTTTTCTATTCTTCATTTCATTAATTTCCACTTGAATCTTCATGATTCCCTTCTTTCTGTTTGGTTTATATTTAGGATGCTCTTCTTTTCCCAGTGTCTTAAGGTGGAAGTTTAAATTATTGACTTGAGATCTTTCTACTTTTTATACAGGCATTTACAACTATAAAGTCCCCTCTAAGTACAGTTTTAACTGTATCTCATAAATTTTGATATGTTGTGTCTTCATTTCTGTTCATCCCAAAGTGTTTCATAATTCCCCTTGTGTTATGGGTTAAATTGTGTACCCCCTACGCCAAATGCCTATGTTGAAGTCTTAAGTCCCTGTGTCTAAAGTGTGACTTTATTGGGAAATCGGGTCATTGCAGATGTAATTAGTTAAAATAAGGTCACAGTGGAGTAGGGCGGGCCAGGCCTCCAATATGACTAGTGTGCTTATAAAATGGAGAATTTTGGACAGACATGAATACAGGGAAAACGGTGATTGGAGTTATTTAGCCATAAGTCAAAAAACTACCAGAAGCTGGGCAAGAGACGGTCTTGGACAGTCTTTTGAGAAAGTCTGCACTGTATCTTGGATCAACGTACAGAAGGGTTCTATGTACTATTGGCTCTGAAACAGTGAAGGGTCTGAGATGTTACCCTACTTGCACAGTCACAAAAACACAGACACACACACACACACATATGCACACATGCAGAAACACTAGAACTGTGGATCAGAGGAAATGCCCATTTATTTACTTACAGAACTTCTTAGTAGCAGTTCTTAGAAGGTACATTCTAAAGTATTTAGGTTAAAAATATCATAATGTCTACAATACATTTTTTGTAATAGCCGTATAAGATGCAATTCACCCATTTAAACTAGAATAGATCCTTCCCTAGCATCTGTAGAGGGAGAATGGCCTGGCTAACACCTTGTTCTTGAACTTCCAGACTCCGGAACTGTGAGATAATAATGTTTTTTAACTACTCAGTTTGTAGCACTTTGTTATGACAGCTCTAAGAAACTAATACTTTCTCTGATTTTTCTTCGACACATTCATTTTTATATAGGAGTGTGTTGTTTAAGTCCATGTATTTGTGAGTTTCCCAAATTTCTCTCTGTCATTGTTTTCTAACTTGACTACATTTTAGTCTGACAACATACTCTTTTAATAATTTTATTCGTTTTAAATTTACTGAGGCTTGTTTTATAACCTAGCATATGGTCTATTCTGGAGAATGAGAAGAATGTGTATTCTGCAGTTGTTGGTTGTAGTCTACAGATGAGCATTGATCTATTTGGTTTATATTGTTGTTCAAGTATCTATCTCCTTGTTTACCTCGTGCCTAGTTCTTTTTCTTTTCCTTTTTTTTTCGAGATGGAATTTCACTTTTGTTGCCCAGGATGGAGTGCAATGGTGGCTCACTGCAACCTCTGCCTCCTGGGTTCAAGCGATTCTCCTGCCTCAGCTTCCTGAGTAGCTGGGATTACAGGTATACACCACCATGCCCAGCTAATTTTTGTATTATTAGATGTAGAGACGTGATTTCACCATGTTGGCCAGGCTGGTCTTGAACTCCTGACCTCAGGTGATCCACCCACCTTGGCCTCCCAAAGTGCTGGGATTACAGGTGTGAGCCACCGCGCCCAGCCTACCTTCTGCCTAGTTCTGTCCATTATTGAAAGTGGGGCATTGAAGACTCCAAATAGTATTATTCAATTGTCAATTTCTTCCTGTCTTAGTTCAAGCTGTTATAACAACGTATTATAGACTGGATGACTTATAAACAACAGAAATTTATTTCTTACAGTTATGGAGGTTGGAAATAGAAATCAGGGGCCAGCAGGTCAAGCTCTGGATAGGGGCCTTTCCAGACTGCAGACAACTAACTTCTTGTTGTTTTCCTCAATGGCAGGAAAAGAGCAAACTAGCTCTCTGAATTGTCTTTTACTAGGGCTCAAATCCTATTCATGAGGGTTCCACCCTCATTACCTAAGTTAGGGCCCAAAGGCCCCAACTCCTAATACCATCACATTTTGGAGTTTGGAGTTTCAGCATATGAGTTATGGGGGACACAAGCATTCAGTCCATAACAGCCTTCATTTCTCTCAGTTTTTGCTTTATGTATTTTGGGGCTCTCTTGTTAGGTATATATGTTTGTAATTATTATATCTTCCTGATGGATTGACATTTTTATTATTATAAAATGTTCCTCTTTATCTCTAATAGCATTTTCTGTTTTAAAGTCTATTTTGTCTGATAGTAGTTCAGCCACTCCAGCTTTTTTATGGTTGCTTTTTAAATGGTTTTCTGTCTTTTACATATTTTTCTATCTATTTGCATATTTTCCCTATCTCTTTTAGTTTCAGTGTATTTGTATCTTTGAGTCTAAAGTGTGTTTCTTATAGACAGCATATATTTGGATCTTTTAAAAAAAGTTTAGCCCAACAATTTCTGATTTTTGATTAAGTTGTTTAGTTCATTTATATGTAATATTATTGATATCGTTGGGTTTATGTCTGCCATTTTACTTTTTGTTTTCTGTGTCTCATGTCTTTTTTGTTCTTTATTTTCTTTATCCCTCCTTTACTGCTTTATTTTACAGTAAGCAAACATTTGCTTGTGTTACGATTTAATTCCTCTAATGACTTTTTTCACTATGTTAAGCTATTTTCTTAGTGATTGGTCTAGGCCTTCTGATATATTGGTTAACTAGTCAAGAGTTACTTCAGATTCTACATGAGACTTATACTAACTTAATTTCAATTAGATATATAAATGTCACTTCTGTATGGCTCCATTCTCTTTCCCACCCTTCTGTGCTATTATTGTTATACATATTGCATCTATAAATGTTACAAACCCAACAATACATTGCTATAATTATGTAATTATAACATTTAATTATATGTATCTAATTTTTTTCTGTTTTTACTTTAAATTTTATGTATTTTAAAGAAGCTGAGAGAAGAAGGCAAGTATATATTCATAGCATCTGTTATATTAATCTACCAATTGACCATTTCTAGTTCTCTTCATTTGTTCTTGTGGATTTGAATTACCCATCTGGTGTCAATTCTTGACTCCAATATTCCCACTCACATCTTTAGTGCTGTTGTTGGCAAATACAGACTCCTTAACTTATAATGGAGTTGTGTCCCAAGAAACCCATTGTAAGTTGAAAATGAATTTTATACACCTAACCTACCAGACATCAAAGCTTAGTCTAGCCTGCCTGAAACATGTTCAGAACACCTACATTAGCCTATAGTTGGGCAAAATCATACAACACAAAGCCTATTTTATAATAAACTGTTGCATAACTTATGGAATTTGTTAAATACTATACTGAAAGTGATAAACAGAATGGTTACATAGGTGCCATCATAAAGTTGAAATATTGTGGCCAGGCCCGGTTGTTCACACCTGTAATCCCAGCACTTTGGGAGGCTGAGGTGGGTGCAGAAAAGCATTTGGTCAAGATCCATTATATGATTTTTAAAAATTTTAGCAAATTAGGAATTGAAATAATCTCCTTAATTCAAGAAAGGGTATTTTAAAAATTGAAACAAACACCACGTTTAATGGCGCAGCATTAAGAGCTTTCCCTGTGAGACTGGGAAACAGACAAAAATGCCGATTATCACCTTTCCTATTCAACAGTGTTCTGTAGGTCTTAGCCAATGCAACAAGGGAAGATGAAAAAAATAGAAATACACAATTTGGAAAGGAAAATATGAAACTGTCATTATTTGCAGACAATATGATTTTTATATGTAGAATATCTATAAGAATGTACAGATATACTGTTAGAATTAATAAGTACATTTATTAATATTGGATCCAAGGTCAATTAAAAAATAAATGGTATTTTATATATCCCAAACCAATAAAACTAATTTACAAGTTATAATTTATAATATCATCAAAAAGGAAATATTTGGAAATACATCTAAAATGTTCAAGACATATGTAAAAATCTATTGAAAATATATCACTAAATTAAATTATTAATAATTAAACACAAATGAAAACTAAATAAATTGAAGGAAATACTAGACCTATAGATTTACTGTTTATTGATGTACTTTTTTTTATAGATTATAAGACTCAATATTGCAAAATGTTAATTCTTCCGTCTAACTTATAGATTCTAAACAATTTGAATTAAAAGCCCCACAATTTTCATTGCAATTTACAAGCTGACTCTAAAATGTATGTGGACATGCAAAAGACCAAAAACAGCCAAACCCAAGAATGAGAGGAAATTATTCTACCCTATAGAAAGACCTATAACGATACAGTAATTTTTAAAATTACAGTAATTGCACTAAGTGTGGGATTGGTACAAATGGATAAATAGACCAGTGGAACATAATAGAGAGTCTGGAAACAGAGCAACACATATACGGACACTTGAATTTTATAAATGCAGAGACCTGGTGGAAAAACAGTCATTTCAATAATGGGTGCTAAATTGATTGGTTATCTACTTTAAGAATAAAAGAAAACTTCACTCTTACTTTACGCTATACACAGAAATCAATTCTAGGTGGACTGTGCAATGTGAAAAGTAAAATGATAAAAAGCTTTTAGAAAATAACATAGGAGCATTTCCTCATGACCTGTGGGTAAGAAAGTTTTTTTGGACAGAAAAGGCGATAACATTAAGTCAGATTGATAAATCGGACAACCTAATAATAAGACTTTCTGTTCATCAAAATATCTATTGAGGGAGTTTTTAAAGCTACAGAAAGGGAAAATATGTGGAATGCATATTGCTAACGAAGAAATTGTTTCCAGAATTTACATAGAATTCCTGCAAATCAAAAAGAAAAAGATAAACAACACACTAGAAAAGTGGGCACAATTTTCTATTAGGCTATTCACAAAAGAAGATATTTAAGGGGCCAAAAAATGTAGGAAAAGATATTCAACCTTATAAGTTTTCAGGGAATTGCAAATTTTAAAAGCACAATGGGATACAACCCACTGAAATGGCCAAACTTAAAAAGGCTGATGCTACCAAGGAATAGGAAGAGATATGAGCAACTATAATTCCCAAAAATGCCTGGTGGTAATGTAAATTGGTGCAACTTCTTTGTAAGACTGGCATTATCTATTAAAATTGAATATATGTATGTACTCTGTAACCAAACAATTTCACTCCTAGCTATGGAACCAACAGCAAAGCATACCCCCGTGTGTCAAAAGACACGAACAATAATGTTCTTATAACATTAGTCAGCCAAAACTAGAAACAACCAAAGCCCATCAGATATAAAATGGATACATAAATTGTGAGTGTGTTCATCTGGTTATAATTCATCAAGCTGAACACTTTATGATTTTCTATATAGTGCACATTGCTATACTTCATGTATACTTCATATGCTATACATCAATTAAGTGGGTTGTTGCATTTTTTTAAACCTGGTCTGGGGAACTGAGCAGAGTTTCAGCTGAAAGACACAAATCAGTATCATTTCAGGTCAAGTGATCAAAGCCTCTACCAATTTCACCGCATGGAAACTTAAAAAAATTTAAGACTTTTTTTTTTTTTAAGGAGGAAACAAACTCTTTTAAAGTCTGAGCCTGCATGCCGAAAGCTATGAAATGATGACAAATGATGACGTAGATCTTTGTCTATGCTCTAACATTCGGACATGATATACGATGATATTTCAATGATATTATCAATGATAACTGGGAAATATCTCAGATGAGGTTTCTGACCCTCCTTACTCATTGCTTGAACTCTTGGTTACTTTTCATATTTGCAAATTACTGCTAAGCACATACTAGCATTAAGTACATCAACATTCCTCAGAACAAATGTTAGAGCGAATACAAAACCTGTCCTCTTACCTAAAGCATATGGTTTTAACAACAACAGTGATGATTTTTCATGTACCAGAGATGAACAGTTTGGCTTCTGTCTTTTTAATGAATTCAATCTGTTCTTAGTCCCAGGCTTGTAGTATGCCTCTTTCTTTCTGAATGGCTCTCAAAAATGAAATGACAATCTGTAGATGCTTCCCTTTACCACCAAGGGTACTCATGTTTTGGAAGACATGGGAACAGATGAAAGTATTTGGTTCTAGGAATGGAAATTACAGATGGATAGAATCCCATTACAATGAGCTTCATTGGCATTTTCTGTTGAGCAATTAGCCCTTGCCTAAGTGGAAAGGCTTTCCACCACATTCTGAAGGGAGCAAGGCAAAGTGGGATTTTATTTATTCCAGAAAAAAAATTTCATATTTCCAGCCTCTTTTTCAGATAGATGTGTTCCTTTTCCAGACAAGACGCTTTTTCACGTCTAAGGCTAAGGGTGTGTGTGTGTGTGTGTGTGTGAGAGAGTGTGTGTGTGTGAGAGTGTGTGTGAGTGTGTGAGTGTGAGTGTGTGAGTGTGACAGAGAGCGTGTGTGCGTGTGAGTGTGTGAGAGAGTGTGTGCGTGTGAGTGTGTGAGAGAGTGAGTGTGTGTGAATGTGTGAGAGTGTGTGAGAGTGTGAGTGTGTGTGAGTGTGAGAGAGTGTGTGACAGAGCGTGTGCACGTGTGAGAGTGTGTGCGTGTGAGGGAGTGTGTGAGTGTGTGTGCGTGTGAGAGAGAGTGTGAGAGTGTGTGAGAGTGTGTGAGTGTGACAGAGTGTGCGTATGAGAGTGTGTGAGAGTGTGTGTGTGAGAGTGTGTGCGTGTGAGAGTGTGTGAGAGAGTGTGTGAGAGTGTGTGTGAGAGTGTGTGCGTGTGTGTGTGAGAGTGTGTGTGAGAGAGAGTGTGTGTGTGTGTGTGAGAGAGAGTGTGTGTGTGTGTGTGTGTGTGTCTGTGTCTGTGCCTACACAATATGTATTCCCGAACCTGGGCCTGGAGTATAAATTAGATATTTATTAGGGATTCTTATTTATACTTCATTACTTTGTTTAACAAATGTTTTAAAAGTCCAATTAATTTAATCTAATTTTTAATACAGCAGAAGCTGCATGCCATAAGATTGCATGACAAAGTGCTATAAATGATATAATTCATTTGAAGCAAGATTTTGTAAACACATGCACAATAAAAATCGCCAGGTGTCTCTTATTTTGTAGATGTTGTCATTAGTCAAAAGTAAGCAACATGCAAGTAAAAATACAAAAAAAGACATGTTATAAAATAGTCCACAATATTGACGGCACACCTCCTTTTGGTGGATGCTCTCAGACCTTTTAGAATAAAACATACTGAAATACCACCAGTTATTCTGTGTTCCTCTGTTCACAAAGATTCTGGGCTTGGCCAAGCTTTGCTCAAGAGCCTTTTCCTAGGCCCATCTGTGTACTTCCTTGTAAAATCCAGTTTTAGAAAAAGAGCCCTTCTAAGTAAAGTTAGCCAAAACCTCCCACCCTCCGTATCTGATCATCCTTGATATCTGATCGGGTTCCTCATCCTCCATCAGCCCCCAGATGATGTCTGATTGCCCTGGCTTGCCTTCTGCAAGAATCCTATTAGGTCAGGTTAGCCAGAATCCCCCTTACCCTGACATTTCCTCTTAGTAATTTTCTATCCACTGACCACCCCCCACCATTCCTTGGCCAAAAGTTCACTTGCCCACGCTATGTTCAGAGTCGAGGCCAATTTCTCCCCACCATAGCAAGACTCCATTGTAGCGGTCCCAAGACGATCACAATGGTCCTGAATAAAGTCTGCCTTATGGCACTTTAAGAGGCATCATTGGATAATTTTTCTTTAACACTATCATTAGTTTTACTTAGTCCTTAAAAGGCAATCTACTACTACTCAGAAGCCCAAAGAACACATGGTTTATTTTCTATTATTGATATAATCTTGTTCTCAAACTTCCAGTCTGTGTATGTAGGATGCTTGTGGGAGGAGGAGAAACGGCTTGCCAAGTAAAGCTATCTCTTCTGGTTTGAATACTCTAGTCCAGGTAAATGTTCGGGTGTTCCAAGGTTTTCCCCTTTCCCTTCTCTTCCCTAAGACAGTGTTTGGATATAGATGCTTAGTGAGGGCCGTCTCAGGGTGGTGAGGAGATGGGGGCCTCAGGTCCCCAAGCCCAGCTCCTTGTGCTGCCTTCTGGATGATTGCTTGCCTCATTGTTGATGTCTCTAGTTACCTGCTCCCTGTGCACAGATGGCACTCACTGGTGACACTTGTGGCTCATGAATTTGTGGTCTATTATTTTGGCTGACCAGGGCCAATAGACACCCCTCGCTTTGAGTCCTATCAGCTCTGGCTGGCATTTCTGGCTGCTATGGCTCTTAATTGTGTCCTCCAGAAGGGAGGAAAAGAATTTTCTCTCTACCCTTTATAGTTCTGAACTACAGTGCTTAGTTCATAGTTCCTGTAACAAAAGACAGATTAGCAAGATAAAAATGAATAGAGGTTTATTAACATGTGTACCTCATGTATACAGTGGGAAAAAAACAGAGAAGTGAATCTCTAGACTAGCTCTCCAAGAAGGAGTCTAAACTTCGGACTTAAATGCTGTCCCTTGTCTGAAACAAAGAGATGGCCAAGAAAAGCTCCTTAAATAAAGACAAGGCTTGTTACGCAGATTTCAGGTGATGCCTTCACCACTGCTCAAGAGTGTCTGGAGATCTAACCATCCTTTCCTTCCTGGTGCAGAGAGGGAGCATCCCACCAGGTGGAAAGAGGTCCTTTATAGATGTAAATTAATTTTACAGAAGAACAACTTTTCAGAGTTGAACTTATGTCTGCAGTTTCTCAAAATAACCAGCTCAAAATAATCAATGTGCCAAAGAGGTGTATTTTGGGGTGGCATATTCTGGTCTCCTCTAGTCATATTTTGGGATAGTGGGTCCCGAGCACCATCATTCCATCTGCTCTTGCTTTCTTCCTTTTCTTTCTCTCTTCCTTCCCCCATCACCCCCTCCTTCCCTTCTTTCTCCTCATCTACTCATACTTATTGGGTACCCAGTATAAGCACACACTCTACTAGGCACAGGGAATCTATAAATAACCCTGAGGACTGAACTCTGATCTTTTTTCTCCTGTCCAAATTCCTATATAAGGGGCCTGGGGAGTTAAACCCCATAAACCATAAACTCTTGTTAAACAGATTTGTTTTTCTTAAAAAGAACTTTCTTCCCTATGGAAAAATCTGTATTTCAAATTCATGTTTACTATTAAATACAGAAATCTATCTTTCCGAATGAGGTTGCTTAAGTTCCAAATTATCCTAAAACCCAGCACCCAACTGATGTATTGAAAACTCTAGGCTTGGACAGGTGTGGTGGCTCATACCTGTAATCTCAGCATTTTTGGAGGCCAAGGTGAGTGAATCACTTGAGGCCAGGAGTCTGAGACCAACCTGGCCAACATGGCCAAACTCCATCTCTACTAAAAATACAAAAACCAGCCAGGCAAGGGGCACATGCCTGTAGTCCCAGCTAAATGGATTTTAAAAAGTTAACCTGGTGTAATGTGGCTTACTTTCCAACCTAATTCTGGTATAGCATCACAGGACAGGAGCAGACCTCCTTATCTTAACTCAGGCATTCCTTTCCAAGTCTTTAGGCAAAGCTTAAATCTCTCAACCAATTGTCAACAAAAGAATCCCTAAAACCCACCTATGGCTTGTAAGCCCCTATTTCGGAATGTCTCGCCATTTTGGACTGAACCAATGTATCCCTTCTGTGTATAGATTTATGATATTGTCTGCAATTCCTGTCTCCCAGAAATGTATAAAAGCAAACTGTAACCTGACTACCTCGGGCACACTTTCTCAGGAACTCTTGGGATTGTGTAGCCCCGGACCATGATCACTCCTAATGGCTCAGAATAAACCTCTTAAAATATTTTGATAAAATTTGGTTTTTCCATCAGCCAACACTAAGATGCCTGCTCCTTGGAGCTTACATTTTAATGGTGGGAATCAGATAATGAGCAACAAGCAGAAATAAACAGATAGTATGTTAGAAGGCGATGAGTGCAATGAAAAAGAAAAAAAAATTGAAGCAGAGTAAGTGATATCGGGTGCCAAGATGCAGGGATGGGGCAGGAATAGTGTTCCATGAAGTAACTGCGACAGGCAGGAGCAGCCAGGTTTTGTGGGACCCAAAGCTTATACAATTTGAAGGGCCCTCCTCCTTAAAAAACACAAACCTGGGGCCGGGCGCGGTGGCTCACGCCTGTAATCCCAGCACTTTGGGAGGCCGAGGCGGGTGGATCACGAGGTCAGGAGATCGAGACCATCCTGGCTAACACGGTGAAGCCCTGTCTCTACTAAAAATACAAAAAATTAGCCAGGTGTGGTGGCGGGCACCTGTGGTCCCAGCTACTCGGGAGGCTGAGGCAGGAGAATGGCGTGAACCCAGGAGGCGGAGCTTGCAGTGAGCCGAGATCGCGCCACCGAACTCCAGCCTGGGCGACAGAGCAGGACTCTGTCTCAAAAAAAAAAAAAAAAAAAAAAACAACACAAACTTGGAGCACAAAATTAGTCCCTAAAGTTAATATTTGACAATAGGTGAAAGATTTATACCAGCTGAAGGGAAATCAGAGTTTTGAATATGTATTTAGAATTAGAAAAGATTGCAAGTAATTACTGTAACAATGGCATTACAGGTCCCTATGTTCTGATTAGGCAATTTCCCAGGAATACTGACATAGAAATGCTTTCTAATCATAAACTGGCCTCACCTATCCATGTTGTACAACTATGAGCAACTTCTAGCACACACAGGGCCTGTGGGAATTATGTACCCCAAAACTGAAGCTTCTCTAGCTTCCCAGATCAATGTGCCTTTGCAGCTGTGTCTCACTGAGAAGGGGTATTTGTCCAGGAGAGAGAGAGTTAGCCAAGCATATAGATACCAGGAAGAAAATTGTCGCAGAAAGAGGAAACACATTCCATCCAGAGCCTCCATCTGTGCCATAGGGGCTGCTCCATTCATGGGCGTTTTAGCAGGTGTTGGGGTGGCAAGGGAAGAGGCTGGCTAGCATCAGTTGGCTGTGCCATACTTTCTGCCTCCTTGCTGAATGCCTCTTCTGCCATGCAATGCAAAGATCTTCATAGTTTGTGTCCTCTTCCCCAGGTCTATCCATATGTATGTCTCTTCCCTAGACTTCCTGGTTCCCATTTTTCAAACTTATTCCTTCCATGTCCTTAACAAACCAGCAAAAGCCATTCTGAGAGTCCACAACCCAAAAGCTTATGCCTAAGATTCCATGTGTACACTGACCTTGAACCATGTTCTTCTCGATACAAAGGTATCACTAGGTGCTGTGTCCAGTGCTTGGCCCAGTGGGAGGACTTTTTCCTCATCACCATCTTTCAGGGCCACCTTCGGGTAGATCTGTCAAGTAGCAGTAGCCTATTTTTAGCTGGGATCAACATACTCCACTGACTCATCTTTGAGCCAGGCCATTTTTTCTCTCTGTCCTCTGGCCATCAGTGTGAGATGAGGGAGGGATGATGGTGCACATATTCTTTTCTTAGAGCTCTCATAAAATGTGCCACAAACTGGATGGCTTAAAACAATAGAAATTTATTATCTCACAGATCTAGAGGCTGAAAGTCTGAAATTAAGGTGACAACAGGGCAAAAGTCCCTCCAAAGGCTCTAGAAGAGAATGCTGTGCTTCCTCTAGTTTCTGGGGTCTTCATGTGTCTTGTGGCAGCGTAACTCCCATTTCTACCTCCTTCTCTACGTGGCCTTTCTCTTCTTCTTCTTCTTTTTTTTTTTTTTTTTTTTTTTTTTGAGACAGGGTCTTGCTCTGTCACCCACGCTGGAGCGCAGTGGCACGATCTCGGCTCACTGCAACCTCCGCCTTCTGGGTTCAAGCAATTCTTGTGCTTCAGCCTCCCAAGTAGCTGGGATTACAGGCCTGCACCACCACGCCAGGCTAATGTTTGTACTTTTAGTAGAGATGGGGTTTCGCTGTGTTGGCCAGGCTGGTCTCCAATTCCTGGCCTCAAGTGATCCACCCACCTCGGCCTCCCAAAGTGCTGGGATTACAGGTGTAAGCCACTGTGCCTGGCCCCCACATGGCCTTCTTGTAAGGACACCATTCATTGGATTTAGGGCCACCCTAATCTAGTATGACCCAATCTTAACTAATTATGTCTGCAAAGACCCTATTTCCAAATAAAGTCACAGTCGGAGGTTGATGTAGACATGAATTTGGGGGATGCTGTTCAGTATAGCGCAGGAGGGTTAGGTAGCATTGGGTCTGGGTGGCTGGGTTTGACAGCTCACTTGTGGCCTCTGTACTAGCTCAAGCCTGATCTCAAACACACTGCTCCCTCCCATCATACGGTGGAATCCTGCTGGAATCACCAACAGTATGTCTGGTGGTTTGCTGGCTCCTAAGAGGCAGTTCTGGTGTCAGCATCACTTGATGTCCCATGTGAGACACTCAGTTTTCACCAGGGTCAGGGTCCCCTAGCATGAAAGGTGCTGCTTTTCGAATGGTGTATACTTTCATCTGGCAGATGACATGGCCTTGCTCCAGGATTCTAGGGTTCTGTGCTGTATCGCTTCTACAGGGAATTTCCAGAGACTTCATGTAACGTCTTTGTCTACTGTAGATACTTCCAGAACCAAGGGATCTTCCAGGACATGAGGCCCAAGCAGCAGTCCTGTTTGCCTCCTAGGCTGAATCTGCTTCAGAGCGCTCTCTTGTTCTGGACCCCAGCCAAAACCAGCAGCACTGAGCCAGCCAATAAGTTGGTCATAGAGATGATCCCAAGCATGGAGTATGCTGCTTCCCAAACCAAAGAGGCTTACTAAATATTGCACTTTTTTCTGCATGGGCCAAGATATAAGGCGAAATAACTTGTTTTTTACCTTGGAGGGGATATTGCAACACGCCCCAGATGACTGGACTCCTAATAACTGCAGCATTGTGTGAGGCACCTGAATCTTTCTAGTCTCTCTCTCGTCCCCTGGAGCACGTGTGTCCTACCAGGGTGTCTAGGATATTTATCACTTCCAGCTTATCAGGTCTGATGAACACAATGACATCAATAAAGTAGACCAGTGGGCTGTTCTATGTAACAGCAGAACTCTTCTGACTGTATTTTCAGAAGTAACGTAGCCCTGAGACAGGGCCATAAATGTTCACTGTTGTCCATCTAAAGTGACTGCAGTCTGCTTCTGATCCTACTTCCTGATGGGTGTGAGAAAAGAACACATTTGCAAAGACAGTGATCGTCTGTTCTAGAGAAGACACTTCTGGATTAACAGCTTCCATTGGGGCTATCACCTAATTATATTTGTAGAAGTCTACTGTCATCTGTCATGAGCCATCTGGTTTTTACAGGGGCTAGACTGGTAATAAAATGGGGATATAGGCCAGGCGTGGTGGCTCATTCCTGTAATTCCAGCACTTTGGGAGGCCAAGGTGGGTGGATCACTTGAGCCCAGGAGTTCAAGACCAGCCTGGGCACCACAGCAAAACCCTGTTTCTACCAAAAAACAATACAAAAATTAGCTGGGCATGGGGGTGCGCACCTGTGGTCCCAGCTACTCAGGAGGCAAAGGTGGGAGGATCGCTTGAGCCTGGGAGGTCAAAGCTGCAGTGAGCCAAGATTGTGCCACTGCACTCCAGCCTGGGCAACAGAGCTAGACCTTGTCTCAAAAAAAAAAAATGGGGATGTAATGAAGACCACCACCCTTGTATCCTTTAAAGTCTCCGAAGATTGTCTTAATCTCTGCCATTCCACCTGTTATGTTGTGCTGTTGTTTCTGATTGGCCACCGCCTGCTATAAGTAGGATACTACTCCTCTTACTTCACAAGTCACAGAGTCAAGTGGGGATATTGCTAGTGGCTCAGTGTGCCCACCCAGGTCATGGATTCTGGAACCAGGATGATGACCACCAAATGAGTGTGAGGGAGCCCCACTGTAAGTGGGCCTAGGCTAGAACCCCATTTTTTCACATTGTCTACATATGGTCCTACTAATGAGGGGGCATGATGACACTGGCATTGTTCGCTCAGCTGACCTCTACTTTTTCATCAGCCATTCTTTTTTTTTTTTTTTTTTGAGGCAGAGTCTCGCTCTGTCACCCAGGCTGGAGTGCAGTGGCGCGATCTTGGCTCACCATAACCTCTGCCTCCCGGGTTCAAAGAATTCTCCTCCCTCAGCCTCCCGAATTGCTGGGATTACAGGTGGCCGCCACCATACTCAGTTAATTTTTTTGTATTTTTACTAGAAACGGGGTTTCACCATGTTGGTCAGGCTGGTCTTGAACTCCTGACGTCAGGTAATCCACCCACCTTGGCCTCCCAAAGTGCTGGGATTACAGGTGTGAGCCACCACGCCCAGCCTTCATCATCCATTCTTGATGCCTTTGATTGCATATGTCAAGCAATACCCTATTGGTTGCACACGCACCCAGCTCCTAGGAATGCCATTGTGTATTAGCCCTCTACTTAGGCCCCTGTGGGTAAGGGCAGTAGTATCATATACTGCCCTCAAAATCCTCTGTGCTCTGCCTAGTTGTATTAGTGCATTCTCACACTGCTATAGAGAACTACCTGAGACTGGGTAATTTATACAGAAAAGAGGTTTACTGGCTTTACAGGAAGCATGGTGCTGGCATCTGCTTGGCCTCTAGGGAACCCTCGAGAAGCTTACGATCATGACAGAGGGCAAAGGAGGAGCAGGCACATCACATGGTGAAAGCAGGAGCAATAGAGGGAGAGCGTGGCAGGGGAGGTGCCACACACTTTTAAATGACCACATCTCATGAGAGCTCACTGTCATGAAGACAGCACCATGAAGGATCTGCCACCATGATCCAAACACCTCCCACCAGGCCTCACCTCCAGCATTCGGGATTACAGTTCAACTCGAGATCTGGTTGGGGAGAAATATCCAAACTATATCATAGGCTTATTCATATCGTATGTCTATTTCTTCTTTTGTGAGTTTTGGCATATTGTGTTGATATGGACAGGAGACAGGGAAATAAATACTGGGTAGAAGAGGGCAGTTCCCCAGCCAAGGCCCTACCCCCAAGCCTGGAAACCTATGGCCCTAAATGGGAACAGGCATTCCTTTTTTTGTACCCAAAATTTGCCTTTTGGCCCACCATGCCCCCCTCTCTTGTATCCATATAAATCCCAAACCCAGGCTCCACTAGCAGATGAGCAGACAAACAGAAGAGCGGAGGAGCAGAAGAGTGGCACAGCAGAGGAGAGAAGAGAAGGAACGTCTGAACGTTGAAAGGAAGTCAGCTGGGGATGGTCAGAGAGATCGACTGTGGGACAGCCAAACTCCAGGGGAAAATCATCTTCCCGCTCCATCCTCTTTCCAGCTCCGCATCCACCCTGCTGAGAGCCACCTCCATTACCCAATAAAATCCCCACATTCACCTTCCTTCAAGTCCATGTGTGACCTGATTATTCCTGGATGCTGGACAAGAACCCAGGCACCAAGAGGGCACTGAGCTGATTAACACTTAAGCTGTCTGCGAATGGCAGAGCTAAAAGAGCACTGTATTATGCCCACTGGGCGTGAGAATTGAAGACACTCACCCCTAGATGCTACTGTGGGGTCAGAGCCCAAAAGCGTTTGCCCCAGTTCCTGCACCTGTCCATCTGTGTGCTCCCCCTCCCATAAGGGGTTTGAGTGCGCATGGTGGCCAAACAGACAAGACACAACCCTGTCACATGTCCTGTGAGGGAGGTCAGGGAACTCTCCCATTTCAGTATCTTTCAAGGAAATGGTCCATTTAATCTAAGTTATCAACTTTGTGAGCATAGAGTTGTTCATAGTATTTCTTTATACCGTTTTAGTGTCCATGGATCTATAGTGATGCCCCCTTTTTTATTTTCAGTATTAGTAATTTATGGCCTCTCTTGTTTTTGCTTAGCCTGTTTAGAAGCTTATCAATTTTATTAATCTTTTCAAAGAACAAGTTTGGTTTTGATTTTCTATATTGATTTTGTGTTTCCAATTTCATTGATTTCTGCTCTAATTTTTGTCACTTTATTATGCTTACTGTGGATTCAATTTGCTCTTCTTTTTCTTGTTTTCTAAGCCCAAAGTTTAGATTCTGATTTTAGATGTTTCTTTTTATCATTGTATGTATTCAATGCTATACATTTTCCTCTAGGTGCTACTTTGGGTATATTCCACACATTTTGAAAAGTTGTGTTTTCGTTTTCATTTAGTTCAAAATATTTAAAAATTTCTCTTGAGATTTCTTTTTTGATCCATGTGTTATTTAAAAGTGTGTTGCTAATTCTCTGAGTATTGAAATTTTTCCAGCTATGTTTCTTTTTTTTTTTTTTTCTTTTTGAGACAGGGTCTTACTCTGTCGCCCATGCTGAAGTACAGTGACAAAATCACAGCTCCTTGTAGCCTCAACATCCCAGGCTTAAGCAATCCTCCCAACTCAGGCTCCTGCATAGCAGCTGGGACTGTAGGAGCCTGCCACCACACCCAACTTTTTTTTTTTTTTTTTTTTTTGTAGAGATGAGGGTCTCGCGATGTTGCCCAGGTTAGTCTCTAATTCCTGGGCTCAAGTGATCCTCCCACCTCAGCCTCCCAAAGTGCTTGGATTACACGAATGAGCTATTCCATCTGGCCCCCAGCTATGTTTCTGCTATTGATTTCTTTCTCTTTTTTTTTTTTTTTTGAGATGGAGTCTTGCTCTGTCGCCAGGCTGGAGTGCAATGGCGTGATTTCGGCTCACTGCAACCTCCACCCTCTAGAGTTCAAGTGATTCTCCTGCCTCAGCCTCCTGAGTAGCTGAGACTACAGGTGTATACCATCATACCCGGCTAATTTTTGTATTTTTAGTAGAGACAGGGTTTTGCCATGTTGGCCAGGCTGGTCTTGAACTCCTGACCTCAAGTGATCTGCCCACCTCAGCCTCCCAAAGTGCTGGGATTACAGGCATGAGCCACTGCACCCAGCAGCTATTGATTTGTAATTTAATTCCATTGTGATCTGAGAGCAGACATATGATTTCTATTCTTTTAAATTTGTTAAGGTGTGTTCAATGGCCCAGAATGTAGTGTATCTTGTTGAATTATCTGTATGAGCTTCAGAAGAATGTATATTCTGCTGTTGTTGAATGGTCTACAGACATCAGTTATATCAAATTGATTGATGATGTTGAGTTCAATTATGTCTTTACTGATTTCTGCCTATTGTATCTGTTCATTTCTGATAGAGGAGTGTTGAAGTCCCCCACTGTAGTAGTGGATTTATCTGTTTCTCCTTGTTCAGTTTTTTACTTGTTAGGATGAAATGGCACTTCCAAACTTTTTATGTGCCAGAATGGAAGCTGGAAGTCTGACTGCTATTTCTTATCTAATATTCATTACTTATTTTTAGTTTATATATATTTTTTGAGACAGAGTCTTGCTCTGTCGCCCTGGCTGGAGTACAGTGGCGTGATCTTGGCTCACTGCAACCTCAACCTCCTGGGTTCAAGCAATTCTCCCTGCCTCCGCCTCCCGAGTAGCTGGGATTACAGGCACCCACCACCACGCTTGGCTAATTTTTTGTATTTTTTAGTAGAGACGGGGTTTCACCATATTGGCCAGGCTGGTCTTGAACTCCTGACCTCAGGTGATCTGCCCACCTTGGCCTCCCAAAGTGCTGGGATTACAGGTGTGAGCCACCATGCTCGGCACATTACTTATTTAGTGGATACAAAACTAGAAGGACTTTCTTATTTGTTGTTTCAACATAAAATACATACGATTTATATATAAGAAACATAAGATTTCTAATAAGAAACAAGATTTCTAAGGACTTTTACAAGTTTGGGTGCAATCCTTGCTTCACAATTCCATTTTTTCCTGTAAAATTTTAAGTAATTCAACTGTGTGTCTTCCACTTATGGGAATTTTCAGGATCTCAAGCCTCATGTTCAAACAGATAATACTGTAGCTTCTACATTATATATGTGGGCATGTATGTCAGTGGCAATCATAGTGCAATTTGAGTCCCCTAATGGATATTCCTGTTTTTTTCCCCAACCAACTTAGCTCAAAATTTCCACACATTCTTTTTTTTTTTCATTTTTAATATTTTAAGTTATTCTTTTACATCATCTCTTATAACTATGGCTTTCTATTTCCCACTGTCATCACCCTAGTTGATATTTAGATTCTTGCAAAAGCCTCCTACCTGGCTGGGAATTGAACAATGAGAACACTTGGACACAGGAAGGGGAACATCACACACCGGGAGCTGTCGTGGGGTGGGGGGAGGGGGGAGGGATAGCATTAGGAGATATACCTAATGTAAATGACGAGTTAATGGGTGCAGCACACTAACATGGCACATGTATACATATGTAACAAACCTGCACGTTATGCACATGTACCCTAGAACTTAAAGTATAATAAAAAAAAATTTTTTAAAAAGGACAAAGAAACATCAAATGTAAAAGAATAAAGTGTTAGACAAATGGTTAAAAAAAAAAAAGCCTCTTACCTGGCATGTCTAATTTGAATATCTGCTCTTTCCAAGTTAACCTCTCTATTGCTCTTAGATTGTTTTTTCTAAAATTCCCCTTTTGCAATGTCATTACCCTGGCCAAAATTTTCAGTGATGTGCAATGATCTCTAGTAGCAATCTCAAAACTTACTTGATTGTGTATATATCAATAAAAATATTTTGAGCATGTGCCCTAATCTATATGTTTTAAAAAAATAAATTATACATATATACTCCTGTCTATCCATATATTTAATATTAGTTAAGCTTAACTTTAAAAATAAAACTAATTATAAGTGAGAGTTATAATTTTTTTTCTTCATCCCAAAAGATCACTTAGTGTGATTCGTTTTGGGTAATGGTGTATAGGCAGAATTTTTTTAAAAAGTTATTTATGTATTAAATTTTACTTTAAATTCTGGGATACATGTGCAGAATGTGCAGGTTTGTTACATAGGTATACATGTGCCATGGTGATTTGCTGCACCTGTCAACCCGTCATTTAGGTTTTAAGCCCCGCATGCATTACGTATTTGTCCCAATGCTCTCCCTCCCCATGCTGCCCACCCGCCGAAGGCTCTGGTGTGTGATGTTCCCCTCCCTGTGTCCACGTGTTCTCATTGTTCAGCTCCCACTTATAAGTGAGAACATGCAGTGTTTGGTTTTCTGTTCCTGTGTTAGTTTTCTGAGAATTATGGCTTCCAGCCTCATCCACGTCCCTGCAAAGGACATGAACTCATTCTTTTTATGGCTGCAGAATGCTTTTTTTTTTTTTTAGACGGAGTCTCTCTCTGTCGCCAGGCTGGAGTGCAGTGGCGTGATCTCAGCTCACTGCAACCTCTGCCACCCAGGTTCAAGCAATTCTCCCGCCTCAGCCTCCCAAGTAGCTGGGACTACAGGCGCACACCACCACGCCCAGCTAATTTTTGTATTTTTAGTAGAGACGGGGTTTCACAATGTTGGCCAGGATGGTCTCAATCTCCTGACCTCGTGATCTGCCCGCCTCGGCCTCCCAAAGCGCTGGGATCACAGGCATGAGCCACAGCGCCCAGCCAGAACACTTTTTAAAAAATCACTGATATGGGTTAGCGTCATGGTGCTGAACAATCACCGCACATTACCTCATCATTGTGTCTCCTGGCCTTTGGACATTGGAGACGCCTAACTTTTTCCCCTCACTCGGGAAAAAAAAAGGAAATGTATAGATGGTAATCTCTGTAGGATTCTATTTTCCAAGATGGAATACCAAAGGAGTCAAGATTGTCTACCCTACATGCTGAAGGAATAAAGTATCTTTCCCATGGAGAGAAGCAGACTGATAATGAAAAGAAATGAAGGGTTTAAATAAGTCTTCACATGAGCTGAATAATCCAATTTTGCTGTTGAAAAAACACAGACCAAAAAGTGTTAAAAGAAGACTCTAATTCTCATGTTTTCATAACTTTATAGCTTCATAACCAAGAATGATTGAAAACAGAAGAAGGAATTGCTGTCAAAGATTGTACAGTACAATGAAGTTGTACAGTGATGTTCAGGACTATAAATGTTAGCAGGTGCATGAATACTTCTGTGACTGTTGGCTATTAGACACAAGACTGTAAATTTCTGCCTTGAGGATGACTCTGATGGTCTATAAAATGTCAGCTGATGTTGTCACAAATCAGTGGTTCATATGAATCTCAAAGATTATAGAACCTGCAGCACTTGTTATATAAATGATAAAAGAGTATTTCCTTTTTAAGTCTCCAGCTAGCTGCAGTTCAACTGAATGCAAATTAGAAAGCCTAAGTGATACCTGCAGAGTTGAAAAATAGGTTTTCAGTCTAAGTAAAAATACATTGAGAACTTAGAAAAACAGAATAAAAAAAGGAAAAACAGAATAATGTCTGTCATTGGTGGTTCTAACATAATGCCATGAGAGAACTTACAACTAGTATAGCAACTTTGTGTAGACAATTAAAAACACTTTTTGTTACTTTTTAACTTCTCACTTTTTCATTTTTTAACTGGCAAGAAAAAATTGTATGTATTTGTAGTGTTCAATGGGATGTTTTGATATACGTATACATTGTGTAATGGCTAAATCAGGCTATTTTACATATTGTGAAAGGAAAGTAAGCCTTGGGACCCCCAAATCTCGAGCCAAAGGGAAAAGTCAGGCTGGGAACTGTATCAGGCAAACCTGCCTCCCATTTCATTCCTAAATAAGATAGCTACAAAGATGAAAAAGCTACATACCTCCTTCACAATTTGTCCACAGGGAAATTTCTTGTGGGCCTCAAGATCTTTTACCCTAAAACAATTCTGTTGAATTTCACCCTGACAATGTAAATTGATAGCTTATTTTCACAGGTGTGGGACAAAGGACAGAACTCAAAGTCCCTCCGCTCACCTGAGACAAATGCATAGCTGATTGCTTCCTCTCCCCTATTGTTTACGTAAAAACGCAGATTCACCGAGCCAGACTAAGGCATAAGTAACTATTCCTCTACTCCTGTCTCACATGTAAATTGTACATACAGTAAAAGGGTGATCAAAGACTCAAAAGAAGGCAACCATTTGTCTCTTATCTACCTACAACCTGGAAGCCATCTCTGCAGACCATTTTAAAACTTCTTTTTTTTTCTTCTATGGCAATTAATCTTTGTTAAAATTGGTGCTGAGAAAAATGAATGTTTGATTATGGGTCTCACCACCAATGCTAAACTTTGATATTAATGATTATAGTTTTTTTGTTGTTGTTGTGTTTTTTTGTTTTTGTTTTTGTTTTTTGTTCTTTGAGATGGAGTTTCGCTCTTGTTGCCCAGGCTGGAGTGCAATGGCACGATCTCGGCTCACTGCAACCTCCACCTCCTGGATTCAAGCGATTCTCTTGCCTCAGCCTCCCGAGTAGCTGGGATTACAGGTGACCACCACCAGGCCCGGCTAATTTTTTAAAAATATTTTTAGTCGAGAGGGGGTTTCACCACATTGGCCAGGCTGGTTTCGAACTCCTGACCTCAACTAATCTGCCCGCCTCAGCCTCCCAAAGTGCTGGGATTACAGACGTGAACAACCACGCTCAACCTGATATTAATGATCATACTTGAATGACCCATTTCACTGAAAGTCTTCAATATACACTTTTAGTATCTATTTCCATTTAGCACTTTTTTTTTTAGCGCATATTATATGCCATGCTACATGAATACAGAGATAAAGGCAGTTTCTACACTTAAGAAATTCACAATCCAGTGAAGGACACAGGCAAGAAGATAAGTTAATATCATTATGTTATATTAATTAATGAATATCAATATCATTATATTATATACATCTGACAGATGTATAAGCAGAATAGTATGTCAGCACACAGAGGGATACCTAATCAGTGTATCCTAATACTAACAGAACAGTCTTCCCAGATGAGATGATGGTTGAGCTGACTCTTTCAAGGACAGTAGGCACCGGCTAGACAAGCCAGTGGAAGAAGGGCATTCCAGAGAAAGAACGCAGTGTGTACAAAGCCAGACAGCTGTGAGGCAGTAGAGCAAGAATTGGAGGTTAAATGCCATTCATTAAAGGGGAGGGATTGGAGGATTCTCAGTAGTGACATGACAGTATTTGCATATTTAAAAAATCATTCTGAAAATAATTTAAGGAGTAGATTCACAACCTCCAAAAGACGGAAATAATTTTGGAATATTACTAGAAATGTTGACTCATCAACCAAGTCATTGAAAGTGAAGATGGGAAAAGGAAAAAAAATTAAAAGGCTGCGTGCAGTGCCTCATGCCTGTAATCTCAGCACTTTGGGAGGCTGAGGCAGGAGGATCACTTGAGGACAGGAATTCAAGACCAGCCTGGGCAACATAGTGAGACCCCACATCTACAAAAACAATTTTTTAATATTAGCTGGGCAAGGTGCCTCACAACTATCATCCCAACTACTCAGGAGGCTGAGGCTGGAGAATTTTTGCTTGAGCCCAGGAGTTTGAGGCAGCAGTGAGCCATGAATGTGACACTGTGCCCCAGCCTAGGCAATAGAGCAAGATCCTGTCTCTTT
This sequence comes from Homo sapiens, assembly GCF_000001405.40. Taxonomy (NCBI): domain Eukaryota; kingdom Metazoa; phylum Chordata; class Mammalia; order Primates; family Hominidae; genus Homo; species Homo sapiens. The sequence goes on along the minus strand of NC_000004.12, from coordinate 182,944,487 downwards.
TTTTAAAAAAAAACAAACAGGTTATAGAATCAATAAGGCTTGAGCAATTAACTTTAGGGCAAGGGATAGAGAGAAGTCTCAGGTAATCCCAAAGTTTTGGTTGGGAAAAGGATATCACCTGCTGATCAAGGGAATACAGAAGGGGGAACATTTGGGAACACAGAAGGAGGGACATGTGGGAATACAGAAGGAGGGACATGTGGGAATACAGGAGGGACATTTGGGAATACAGAAGGAGGGACATTTGGGAATACAGAAGGAGGGACAAGGGAATACAGAAGGAGGAACATTTGGGAATGCAGAAGGAGGGACATTTGGGAATACAGAAGGAGGGACATTTGGGAATACAGAAGGAGGGACAAGGGAATACAGAAGGAGGGACAAGGGAATACAGAAGGAGGGACATTTGGTAATACAGAAGGAGAGACATTTGGGAATACAGAAGGAGGGACAAGGGAATACAGAAGGAGGAACATTTGGGAATGCAGAAGGAGGGACATTTGGGAATACAGAAGGAGGGACATTTGGGAATACAGAAGGAGGGACAAGGGAATACAGAAGGAGGGACATTTGGGAATACAGAAGGAGGGACATTTGGGAATACAGAAGGAGGGACAAGGGAATACAGAAGGAGGAACATTTGGGAATGCAGAAGGAGGGACATTTGGGAATACAGAAGGAGGGACATTTGGGAATACAGAAGGAGGGACAAGGGAATACAGAAGGAGGGACAAGGGAATACAGAAGGAGGGACATTTGGTAATACAGAAGGAGGGACATTTGGGAATACAGAAGGAGGGACATTTGGGAATACAGAAGGAGGGACAAGGGAATACAGAAGGAGGGACATTTGGGAATACAGAAGGAGAGACATTTGGGAATACAGAAGGAGGGACAAGGGAATACAGAAGGAGAGACATTTGGGAATACAGAAGGAGGGACATTTGGGAATACAGAAGGAGGAACATTTGGGAATACAGAAGGAGGGACATTTGGGAATACAGGAGGGACATTTGGGAATACAGAAGGAGGGACATTTGGGAATACAGAAGGAGGGACATTTGGGAATACAGAAGGAGGGACAAGGGAATGCAGAAGGAGGGACAAGGGAATGCAGAAGGAGGACAGTGTGAGTGTTGGGCATGTTGTGCTTGAGGTCCCTATGGGGCATGAGAAGAGATGTCCAGTGGGAAAATACGTACTTGATTTTGAAGTTCTCTTGGCTCAAGGTGGACATGCTGAAGTCATCACTGGCAGCTGAAGCTGTGATAGGATCCCAGAGAGACTGTTTAGAGAGAGGATCGGGCCAGGAAAAATATTTCAGCCATGACTGGAGGAAGAGGAACCATCAAGGATAATGAAGTGAAGCAGCCACAGAGGCCAGAAGAAAACTAGGGAGCAGGTGCATCATGGAAGCCAGCGGAGGGAGAGCTTCAAGAAGGAAATAGAATCAACAGTGAATAAGAAGGCTGAGGAAGTTTGTACCTTAGTCATTCCTGTTGTCATTTTTTGACCAATTTAAATTTCATTTACATTCTATTCCTGTTACCTATTAAATTCAAAAATAAGTGTTTAATACATTACATAAAATATAGCCATATTGTATAGATATTACAGCTAACAATTATGGCCTTATCAAGGTACATCTCTCCTCTTGTATTCTTATGGTAATGCCAGAGGTATTCTTTCCAGTTGTGCTTGAAGCAAAGCCTGGAAACACATAAAGAAACTATTCCTGCAATTCTCCAGTATAAAAATGAAATTTTATTCTATAGAAATAAATTCTAGTATATGACTGAGTGGGTCCTTTTGAGAGATACTTTATAATGCCATAATAAAACTACTTTGTACTCACAAGTTCAGCCGTTCAGGTTTTTATATTTGTCATAATGTCAGAAATTACCCTGAGGTATCCAGAGAGTAGCAATACTTTGAATATGATGGAAACATATTCAGAGTTCTCAGCACTGCCACATAAACATTGAACCTAAATAATTGAATGAGAAAAATACATTTTAAAAGGTTTATTCCATGAAAGAAGGTCATGTATTCAGAGTTCTCCAGAGAGACAGAACCAATAGGATATATAGATAGATAGACAGACAAGAGGGCATTTATTAGAGGAATTGGCTCATGTGATTACGGAGGCTGAGAAGTCCCACGACAGGCTGTCTACAAGCTGGAGACCCTGGGATGTCAGTAGCCCGGCTCTGAACCAGGAAGCTGATGGTGTAACTCTCAGTCTGAAGTTGAAGGTCTGAGAACAGGGAGTTGGTAGGGGAGGTTGCTGGTATAAGTCCTGGAGTCCAAAGACTGGAGAGCCTGGAGTTGTTCAAAGATAGGGGAAGAGTATCCCAGCTCCAGCAGATGGATCAGCATGTGTCTTTTCTCTGTTGTTATTCTCTATGGACCCCCAGCGGGTTGGATGGTGCCTGCTCACACTGAGGGTGGGTCTTCCCCACCTGGTCCACTCAGACTTACATGCTAGTCTCCTCCGGAAACACTGTCACAGACACACCCAGAAATCATGCTTTACTGGCTCTCTGGGCATCCCTTAATCCAGTCAAGTTGACACCTAACATTAACCGTCACACAGCATTTTATAATACTCTCAAAAAGAACGCTGAATCTCACTGTGGGGTACTGGTCTTTTAGGACTAAAAGACAAGTTAGTTGAAATTCAGAAATGTACTTGTTTGGTGTGGCATGCATGCATGTGTGTGCCTGGTCCTGTGTGTGTGTGTGTGTGTGTGTGTGTGTGTGTGTGTGTGCACCTGTTGGTTTTAGGGGATGTCTGCCCGATGACATATCTAGAGTCTAGAGTGCCCAAAGAGATTTAAATATCCTACCCAAAGAGATTTAAATTTTAGGAGGACGGTCTATTCAGTTCCCTTCTGGTTTCTAAAGAGGAGACAGTCGTATATCTCTTATATCTACAGAAGCAAACAAGATGTGAATGGAACAAAAATCAACCGATTTGTTTTCTGTTAGAAAATAAATATAGGCTTCATATCTGTGAAAAGGTATTGTTTGTCATAAACCAACACCCACATGAAATGTAATATTCTCAAAACTTATTATTTTGAAAAATTCCAAAAGTACAGAAAAGTTGAAAGAGTAATACATATACCTTTCATCTAGAATCACTAATTAGTAATATTTGGCCATATTTGCTTATTCAATGTTTATGTGGTTACATGTGTGTATGTACTGTTTTCTCTGAACCATTTGAAAATAAATTGTAGCTATCAGGATATGTCTCTCCTAAGTACTCTGTAATCCTAAGAACAAGAACATCTCCATAACCACAGTACCATTAGCAAACCTAATAAATTTAAAACTGATCTGCTCATATTCAGTTTTTCCCAATTATTCCCTTAATATCCAGGATCTAACCAACAACCACATTGTGCATTTAGTTATCATATCTTTTTAGTCTTTTTGCATCTAGAACAATCTCCTACCCATTTTTTGTGTGTTTTTGCTGTTTATGACATTGATATTTTAAAGAATCAGACCAGTTGTCTTGCAGAACATCCCACAATCTGAATTTGTGTGTTATTAGTTCCCTAGGCTGCTGTGACAACGTAGCACAGACTGCCTGGTTTAAAACAACAGTAAGGTATTGTCTCACAGCTCTGGTGACTCTAAGTCCAAAATCAAGGTGTTGGCAGGGCCACGCGCCCTCCAAATGCTGCAAGAGATAATCATTTCCATGCCTCCTCCAGCCCCCACTGGCTCCTGGCACTCCTTGACTATGGGCAGCATAACTCTTCTCTGCCTCGGTCTTCACACCACTTTCTTACAAAGAACACCATTCATTGTATTTAGGGCCCACCCTACACTAGTGTGACCTGATCTCAACTACGTCTGCAAAGACCCTATTTCCGCATAGGGCCACATTCTGAGATGCTGCATGTTAGGACTTCGACATGGAGAGATTTTGGGCAGACACCAGACACAATTGACTGAAGAACAGTGTGTTTCCTCGTAGTTTTTTTGTTTGTTTGTTTGTTTGTTTGTTTTTTGAGACGGCGTCTTGCCCTGTCACCCAGGCTGGAGTGCAGTGGCATGATCTCAGCTCACTGCAACCTCTGCCTCCCAGGTTCAAGCGATTCTCGTGTCTCAGCCTCCAAAGTAGCTGGAATTACAGGTGCCCGCCACCACGCCCGGCTAATTTTTGTATTTTTAGAAGAGATGGGGTTCACCATGTTGGCCAGGCTGGTCTCGAACTCCTGACCTTAGGTGATCCACCCACCTCGGCTTCCCAAAGTGCTGGGAGTACAGGCGTGAGCCACCGCGCCTGGCCCCACATGGTTGATTGAACTTGATGATTTTCATGAAGAATATTTTGCAGGTGATGCTGTGTACTTCCCATTACCTCAATTTGTCCCATTATTGGTGATGCTAAATTTGTTCACATAGTTAAGGTGGTGTCTGCCAGATTAAACCGATTATTAATAGGTAATCTATGAGGGTGGGAACACAACTGAGCTGAAGATTCAAGCTCAAGTCATGATGTGGAAGCTGACCTAGAAACACTGGTAGGAGGTGGGAAAGGGACATAGGGAAGCAGCACGGCCAGTGCGGGCTGGGGCGTCGAGCTGACTGTCACAGGGTGCTGCAGCTCAGTCCTGCTGGGACCGCTGGGTCAGTGTAGACTGGAACGAGGACCCCCTGGCTCTGGCTGTGGGCCACTGGAGCGGAACTTCTACCCTCCCCTGCCAGCAGACAGAGCTGGCTCTTGACCAAGGAAAGCCCTCGGAGCTTTGGGCTTGTGTGCTTCACAACATCAGGGCTCAGGACCATGGCCAGGCCGTTGGCAGCATCTGCTACAGTGACCTTGTAAGCTTCATTTGTGGCTGAATAGTACTCCATTGTGTATATGCACTAGTGTACATTTTCCTATCCATTCACCTGTTGATGGACACTTAGGTGGCTTCCAAATCCTGGCTATTGTGGATACTGCGGCAGTAAATACGGGAGTGCAGATATCTCTGGGCATGTCGATTTCAATTGCTGTGGATATGTACCCATATATGAAATTGCTGGATCACGTGGTCATTCTATTTTTTGTTTTTTGAGAAACCAAATTGCTAAGAGAGTAAATTTCTAGTGTCTCACCACCAAAATAATAATAATAATAATAATAATAATAATAATAAGTCAGGTGATGGATACGTTAATTAGCTTGGTTTAATCATTTCACATTGTATACATGCATCAAAAAATCACAGTGTCCCCCATAAATGTACATATTATCTGTCAATTAAAAACGAAACACTGAGCCAGGCGCAGTGGCTCATTCCTGTAATCCCAGCACTTTGGGAGGCTGAGGTGGGAGGATCACAAGGTCAGGAGTTCGAGACCAGCCTGGCCAACATGGTGAAACCCTGTCTCTACTAAAAATACAAAAATTAGCCCAGCGTGGTGGTGCACACCTGTAATCCCAGCTACTCGGAAGGCTAAAGCCGAAGAATCACTTGAACCTGGGAGGCGGAGCTTGCAGTGAGCTGAGATTGTGCCACTCTGCTCCAGCCTGGGAGACAGAACAAGACTCCTAAAAAAAGAAAAAAAAAAAAGAAAAAAGAAAAAAAAAGAAACACACGCACACACACACACAATGAAACCCTGTCTCTACTAAAAATACAAAAAATTAGCTGGGTGTGGTAGCAGGCACCTGTAATCCCAGCTACTCTGGAGGCTGAGGTGGGAGAATCTTGAACCCGGGAGGCAGAGGTTGCAGTGAGCCGAGATGGTGCCACTGCACTCCAGCCTGGGCACCAGAGCAAGACACCGTCTCACGCACACACAAAAATAATAATAATAAATTAATTAATTAACTAAATTAATTTTAAAATGTTAAAAACACCTTAATTTACGAGCAAGTTATATAGACCTCAGCTACTTTATCTCTAGCCATGCTTTCAGGAGTTTTCTCTGTATAATATCCTGCTTTGTCAATTGCAGCTCATTTTGGTTCCATATTTTTGTGATTTTGGGAACTGGAGTTAATAAGGGGTCCACTCCTCACATCCTGCGGATTCTGCGTTGTCAGTTACATAGGAGGGAACAAGGACGTGAAATGAAATTCCTGAAAATCCGAGAGGGAACGTTGAGGGCGAGGGCACGCGACAGCGGGCCTGGAGTGTGGCCTTGCCCTCTGCCCAGGCCGGCTGCAAATCTCTGCTGCCCCCTGGAGTCCACGCTGAGCACAACCCTGAGTGTCCTTGAAGTCTGAGTCCTGTCAAGGACCGAGTTGTGTCCCCTTCCGCCAAAATTCACATGTTGAAGCCCTAACCTCTAATGGAACTGTATTTGGGGATAGGGCCTCTAAAGAGGTAATTAAGGTAGAAGAAGGTCTTATGGTTAGGACTTAATCTAATATGACAGGTTTCCTTAAAAGAAGAAATTAAGACAAACAACAGAGACCTGGTCAGGACAGGGAGGGAAGGCAGCTGTCTGTCTGCAAGGCAGGCAGCTGTCTGTCTGCAAGGCAGGCAGAGAGACCCCAGGAGAAACCAACCCTGCCGACACCTTGATCTTGGACTTCCAGCCTCCAGAACTGTGAGAAAATACGTCTGTTGTTGAAGCCACTGGTCTGTAGTATTTTGTTATGGTAACCCCAGCAAACTAATACAGGGCTGCTTTGAGCTCTTTCATTCTCTGTTCTCTTTTTCTCATCTGTCTCTATATCTACCTTTTTGTCACACTCTTTGAACTTTAAGAAAGAGATACTTTACCTCCAGCCTCTAAATCTCTCTTGCTGCCTGGGAGGTAATTTACTTCTAAACATATCCAATTTTTCTTTGTCTTTCCAGTCTTTAAGAAAAGGGGGCAGGATTTAGATAATAAGTAGATCTTAAGTAACATTCTTTTCTTTACCTTGTATTATTTTCATACTCACCCTTTCCAAAAACTAGGTTCCTTTGTGGCTTGAGCTATGCAGCTGGCTCTCAGGTCAGCCTGCAGGACACGAGGGCAGGAGGTGGGTGTGTTTGCATCAGAAAGAACATGCTCTCACTGTGACTTCACTACAAACATTAGTCTTAAACAGTGCTTCTCAAATAGTCTGGGAGGGAGGACCTGGGATTTCCCCACGATCTGTACCGAATCTATATTTTTTGTCAAATAAGATCAAGGGATTTCTAGAAAAAAAATGAAGACATACAAAATACAGGTCCCAGGTTTTTATTATTAGATTCAATAGACAGAGAATTACTCTGTCCGATTGCTTTAATTGTTTCTAAACGGTTACTTTCAATGTCTGTACTTTTCACACACACTCAACATGCAGTGCAAAGACAGACACTGGTCTATGGAGCACGCTTTCAAGACAGCTGGCCCAAAGGGTGGTGCCAGTGATTTCCATTCTTTCTCATTGGTTTTAATAATCTCACTCAGAGTCAGCTGAGCTGTGTGTCTGGAAGAACTTCTCCCAGACTTTCTCTCTCTTTTTTCTGCCCCCTGCCTTCCTGTTGGGGTTCATCCCACTGAACTTTCCTTCATGGTCAAGGCTGGGGAGAAGGTGGTTATTCCTGAGGGTTCCTGGGGAGACCTGCAGTGCTCTAGAAGTGCAAGCTCAAGTTTCTCGGTTCCTCTGAGTGGAGCGTCTAGAAGATGGAACGCTCTCTTGCTCTATGACAGCCTCTGCCATATTTGACTCTTTTTTTTTGAGATGGAGTTTTGCTCTTGTTGCCCAGGCTGGAGTGCAATGGCTCGATCTCGGTTCACCGCAACCTCCGCCTCCCGGGTTCAAGCGATTCTCCTGCCTCAGCCTCCTGAGAGCTGGGATTACAGGCATGCACCACCACACCCTGCTAATTTTTTGTATTTTTAGTAGAGATGGGGTTTCTCCATGTTGGCCAGGCTGGTCTCGAACTCCTGACCTCAGGTCATCCACCCGCCTCAGCCTCCCAAAGTGCTGGGATTACAGGCGTGAGCCACTGCACCTGGCCATATTTGACTCTTGATCACTCTTACTTTCCTGCAACCTCTCCTTTGTCTCCTTCTTGATATCAGTCTGTCCATGGGCAGCCAGACTGGCAATATGTGAGAGGAAGCTGCAGTAACAGCTTTCTGGGTACAGGAACTTCTCCACCATCTGTTATGGTAAGTGGGAGAGCAGAGTGATGGGCAGAAATTCAGGGAATGGAATCATCTGGAACTCCTGAGGAAGTATGGAGCCAAGAGCTACATCATTCACTGGAATAAACCTTCCCCAGGGAAGTTATTGTCACATAGTATGTTTAGTTTATTGTTCAATAATAAACAGAAGGTTGCAAGACAATAATCTTTAGGCTGGCATATTAAGAGTGTGGATGGCTAAAGCCAAGCAGAATGGACCCTACTCAATTTCCCATCGCTACCTGGACAACAATCCTGCCCTGCCTCTCATCTATCTCATGACCAATACATACCAATTGGCACCTAATAAGGTCAGTTTTGTGAGGCTGGATTCCCCTGGAACTATTCCAACTGGTTTAGAATGAGCATAAGAGGTCACCATGCCATTTTTTTTTCCCATGCAAGTGCAGCCTACCTCAACAAGAAAACATCCTATCCAACCAGGGCACCTGGTTTCTAGAAGAGGTGGATGCGTGTGCCACTTCTGTTTTCTTGGAGGACCAAGATGCAAGGTACTCCCAGAGCAAAAGGGATCCTTTTGTATGGTCAGGCTGTAACAGATGTGGGTGAGTCTGGTATGGGCCTAAGGAAGTAACTCTGACACTAGTTGATTCCAAAGAAATATTGTTCCGCAATAAACATACGTGTGCATGTGTCTTTATAGCAGCATGATTTATAGTCCTTTGGGTATATACCCAGTAATGGGATGGCTGGGTCAAATGGTATTTCTAGTTCTAGATCCCTGAGGAATCGCCACACTGACTTCCACAATGGTTGAACTAGTTTACAGTCCCACCAACAGTGTAAAAGTGTTCCTATTTCTCCACATCCTCTCCAGCACCTGTTGTTTCCTGACTTTTGAATGATTGCCATTCTAAGTGGTGTGAGATGGTATCTCATTGTGGTTTTGATTTGCATTTCTCTGATGGCCAGTGATGGTGAGCATTTTTTCATGTGTTTCTGGCTGCATAAATGTCTTCTTTTGAGAAGTGTCTGTTCATGTCCTTTGCCCACTTTTTGATGGGGTTGTTTGTTTTTTTCTTGTAAATTTGTTTGAGTTCATTGTAGATTCTGGATATTAGCCCTTTGTCAGATGGGTAGGTTGCGAAACTTTTCTCCCATTTTGTGGGTTGCCTGTTCACTCTGATGGTAGTTTCTTTTGCTGTGCAGAAGCTCTTTAGTTTAATTAGATCCCATTTGTCAATTTTGGCTTTTGTTGCCATTGCTTTTGGTGTTTTAGACATGAAGTCCTTGCCTGTGCCTATGTCCTGAATGGTAATGCCTAGGTTTTCTTCTAGGGTTTTTATGGTTTTAGGTCTAACGTTTAAGTCTTTAATCCATCTTGAATTAATTTTTGTATAAGGTGTAAGGAAGGGATCCAGTTTCAGCTTTCTACATATGGCTAGCCAGTTTTCCCAGCACCATTTATTAAATAGGGAATCCTTTCCCCATTGCTTGTTTTTGTCAGGTTTGTCAAAGATCAGATAGTTGTAGCCGGTCCAAATGTCCAACAATGATAGACTGGATTAAGACAATGTGGCACATATACACCATGGAATACTATGCAGCCATAAAAAATGATGAGTTCATGTCCTTTGTAGGGACATGCATGAAATTGGAAATCATCATTCTCAGTAAACTATCGCAAGGACAAAAAACCAAACACCGCATGTTCTCACTCATAGGTGGGATTTGAACAATGAGAACACATGGACACAGGAAGGGGAACATCACACTCTGGGGACTGTTGTGGGGTGGGGGGAGAGGGGAGGGATAGCATTGGGAGATATACCTAATGCTAAATGACGAGTTAATGGGTGCAGCACACCAGCACGGCACATGTATACATATGTAACTAACCTGCACATTGTGCACATGTACCCTAAAACTTAAAGTATAATAAAAAAAAAAGAAAGAAGTATTGTTCCATCATTTATCCTAACTCTTAACCTTGCCTAGAATATGCTGAAATGTTGAAAGATGGAAGCTTCTGTGTTATGAAGCCATGGGAAATGAACTGAGGGAAACTTGACATTACTGATTTTTAGAAAGGGATAACTTAGAAGCAAATATCTTGAGAAGGGATGGGATGCAGAGAACACATGGAGAGACTGGCCTTTGATAGAAAAGGAAGTTGTTTTCTCAGTTGCTAAAGGAAAGAAAAAAAATCAACAATGTCAAGTGTGGATGAGTTTGTGAATCTGATGGTGGGAAGGTGAGGGCGGATCTGATGGCCCCTATTTTCTCAGCCAAGTGTAAGTTAAAGTGGATGGAGGATGTGAGGAGGCCACTAGGAAGGGTAGAGAGTTTGAGAAGAGAGAAGAAATGGTCTTCTTGGAGACAGGGACAGTAATCTTACTAGCAAAAATGCACTGGGTTGCTGGGTTACAGTGAAAGCCCATTTGGGGTGCAGGAGGATGAATTTTAAAGTGAAGCCAATTTGCTTAGTTGTATGAATCTGGCCAAAGTTCACCTGCTGGGTGCAGCTGAGGAGGAGTGAGCACCTGGGTCTCCTTAGGCAAGCATGATGCAGGGAGAGGGGGCAAGGTGGTTATAATGACGGGCCATGGGGTGTAATCTGGAGAAAAAATGTGAAGGAAGGAAAGGACTGATGGAGATCAAGAAACCGAGAATTTTATGTCATAATTAAAGGCGAAATATGGTAGAAATACTTGATCAAGTGACATAGAAGATAAGAGGTCATGGCTGGTATATGTAGTGTTCTGGAGGTGATGCAAGTTTGGGCGAGGCATGTGAATCACGCAGCCTATGGCAGTCATGGAGCAGAGGAAAATGTATTCATTGGCCCTAGGAAGCCCAGGAACTGATTGGCAGGGTGTTGGGTGGGTCATCTAAGTAGCTACTGAAGATGTCAAAAAAGGTGATGAAGGATACCTGAGGGACAGAGGTCGGGTCCGGTTGGGGATATGTTGGTACTGACAGATGCTGTGAGTCTCAAGGGAGAGAGGTGGGAGGTGATGGTCTGGAGTGGCAATAGTCACCTCCACAGATAAGCTTTGGGACAGCCTGGTTTCAGTGAAGGTTAGGAAATGGATCCAGCCTGCAGGAAGAGGCTGAAGCTAGAGGGCAGGGCTTGCTGTTACTTCTGGAGCAGGGATTCCGGGGGCCATAGTGCATGGCACACAGGTAATATGTTTGTTCTGTATTATTAATAATGTTTTCATTGACCGAAAAAGAAATAAGTGCCTGTCAAAGAAAAATTGGGAAATACAGGTAAGTATGGAGAAGACAATAAAAACCATCCATAATCTGACTCTTGGTGACGACAACTTTTAAATGTTTTGTGTTTTTCCTTCCAGTCTTGCCCCTACATATCTGCACACATTGCCCAAATTAACCATGTGTGTAATTGGGTAAGCTAAGATGCAGTATAGGTTAGAGATTGAGTCCATAGGCTCTGGAGTCAAATCGACATAAGTTCAAATCCTGGCTCTGTGATTTATTAGTCGTGTGAACTTAGCCAAGCTTCTTAAATCTCTGACTCGGTTGTTTATAAAATAGAGATAATAAGATAATTCGTTGCGTCATTGGTTAATATGAGGATGAAATGAGACAATGTATATATAGCAACTTACCACAGCATCTGGTACACAGTAAGTTCTCAACACATTTTTCTCTTTATCTTTTTTAAATGAACATTTCCCATATTATTAATAATTCTTAAAGTCCAGGATTCTTCCTATTTACTGAGTATCCATTGTACTGATGTACACTGTGTCTATCCCTTTTTGATGACAGCATAATACAGAAGTCGAGGCAGCCTCCAGAGTCAAAATGCCTGGGTTTGACTCCTGGCTCCGCCACTTATCCCTGTGACTTTGCTGAGTTACTCAACTTCTATAATTTCAATTTTCTGATCTGTGAAATGGGGATAATTATATCCCTACTGAGTTTTTGTAATAATTACCTGATGTAACACATGTGAAGTGCTCAGTAAATCTTAGTGATGTTGATTATGATGATGACGTTTGTGAATATTTATAGTGTTTCTGACATATGCCAGTTTGCATTACTGGGTTTCATAATTTCTAGAAAGTGTGGGTAACTAAAAGTGTAAAGTTTACCAGAAAAAGAGGGGCTCTGGTTGGCCAATAGACAAAATTTACTTCAAGATTCTGAAAGGTGCAAGTAAAATAAACTTGCGTAATAACAACTAATATTTCTTTTTTTAGTAAAACTGTTGAATCAAGAACAAGGCAAACCACTTCAGGAGGCCATGGAATGTGATTATAAAGTAATGAGACAGACTCCACAGCAGCCAGCCTTATAATTTTACAGTCACACCTAGAATGTTTCCTCTCTGCTAGAAATAGGGGGCTTTGGTGAGCCTGATTATGTCACTGATGTCCGCTGATGATGAATAAAAGTACACACAAATCTGTGAATATTCTCTTTGGCTCCAAGCTTTCATACTAGTAATATGACCGAGCATATGTCAACTGGCTTTCTTGTGAACCCTAAACTCATTCTTTTCCCCAGATATAACCTTCTATTTGGTGACTCAAGCACTAATGAATTCAATACAATGTCTGTTATTGTCAGAGAAAATTCCTGGTACATTTTTAGTTATTATCTCAGCTGATGATACGGGTCTGAATTCAAAAATGGAATCCAAATTCTTCTGAAGCTGCACTTTGGGAGGCCGAGGTAGGTGGATCACCTGAGGTCAGAAGTTCGAGACCAGCCTGGCCAACATGGCGAAACCCCGTCTCTACTAAAATATAAAAATTAGCCAGGCCCTGTGGTGGGCGCCTGTAGTCCCAGCTATTCAGGAAGCTGAGGCAGGAGAATCGCTTGAACCTGGGAGGCAGAGGTTGCAGTGAGCCAAGATCACGCCACTGCATTCTAGCCTGGGCAACAGAGCGAGGCTCCGTCTTAAAACAAAAACAAAAACAAAAATTCTTTTGAAGCTGTGTGAGATCTATCTGTTCACTTTATCTCCTGCTCTGTGCATCAAACAATGAACATTGGTTATATTAATATAATACTTTCCCACATAAAAGAAAAATCACTATTTTTTCAAGCAAAATTTTTATATTAAAATTAAAGACCTGGGAGTATCAAAAATATCGGACGGTAGAATCTGGCCAAGAGCAATACAACAAAGATATTTAAAACTGCTGCCTGCTAAATGGGGAGGCGGGGAGGCTGTGCTTCTTTCTCGCCCTTCCTTTGACAGATCTTTTGACGGAAACATCAGTGGAAAGGATTTCTGCTGTGTCTACATGAAGTGAGGAATTGGATTAGATTTTTCACATCCTGTAGACCATGGTGTATAATAATCTAGAGTAATGAAAACATCATTTGTTATGATAGATTACAAGATGACCCTGTAATAGCTAAATTGAGATCAATTACCTTGACTCCAATAAGAGTATGTTTCCACGTGGGAGGAGAGGAAAACAGGAGCAGAGTGTAACTGTGAGGAGAGCAGCTGTTGGTCACAGGGATGGAGCCTCAGAGGTCCAGGGCCCCAGGACCAGCCTCACAGGTGGGTGACTGCCCAACTCTCCTTCATAGAAGAATCCTTTGGAGAGCGGAAATGCCCTCAGGGCAACAGTTACTGCAGTTAGTACATTTTGTTAACTCTCAGATCTAGTTTTGTTTTTTTTTTTTAATTTGTGAGTTTCTTTCTTTTTGCCCTTTTTAAAAAATTTCAGCTCCATATTTCTTAATTTTACCTATTTCTTCTTTGGCTACAACTTGAGGCAGACTTTACTCCCTTTGAACGTGGACTATGGACAACACCTGGCAGCTGTATTTGTCTTGTATATAAATATTTCACAAATGTTTGGCCCCGTAATCCATGCAAGGCCTGAACCAGGCTATGCAGTGGGTGCCCAATAAACATGCATATGCTTCTCAGTGTACAGGCCTTTCACCTCTTCTCTGAGCCTCTCTACAGCCCTGTGAAGAAAGCAGTGCAAGGCTGGGCGTGGTGGTTCAGACCTGTAATCTCAGCACTTTGGGAGGCAGAGGCAGGTGGATCACCTAAGGTCGGGAGTTCAAGACCAGCCTGGCCAACATGGCGAAAAACTGTCTCTACTAAAACTATACAAATTAGCTGGGTTTGGTGGCACACACCTGTAATCCCAGCTACTCGAGAGGCTGAGGCAGGAGAATCGCTTGAACTCGGGAGGCGGAGGTTGCAGTGAGCCAAGATTGTGTCACTGTACTCCAGCCTGGGCGACTGAGCAAGACTGCGTCTAAAAAAAAAAAGAAAAAAGAAAGAGAAAGAAAGCAGGAAAAGCATTAATGCCATTTCCTAAGAGGAGAAAATGGCGCAGATATGAAGAAGCAGAAACAAGTTCCCATCGTTGTTAGGAGTAGAACTAGAATGTGACTCTTGTGACTTCCCTTTGCAGCTTCTCCTCTTTCTAAGGGAACCGACAGAGATCAGCAGGTACAGTAGTTGGAGCACACCATGCTTTCCCAGAAACCTCCAGTTCTTACTGGCTTCTGCCGAAAACAGTTACACCAAGAATGGGCTTTGAGTCCCCACAGCAGAGGTCCCTAACTGTGAGTTTCTAAATTCCTAGGATGTTGTTTATGGATGGGTGACATGTGACCCTCCAAAATCATGTGCCAACTGCATGTGTGTGCATAGTTCCAGGGACACTCCAGAGCTACCAGCAGATTCTCAAAAGGTCCCTCAAATGCTAAGAGCTATCACCTAGGTCAATCTTACACCTAAAGCTCTTGAGGCTTCTTCTAGCCTTTGCTCCAGGAAGAGATGCCGATGATGAGTGAAATTCCAGTATTTCAACTCCATGAGATGATTCTCTACACTGGAACTTTATTAGAATAAATACATGAGAAATTCCTAGTCTGCAGGAATGCGGAGGCCGTGCTTGGTGTCATCAGGGTAGGCAGGAGTTACTGTGGATAATGGATGAATCAGCTCTGAAAGAAAGAAGCTCAGTTCAGTCACTATCAGTGAGCCTCAAGCTTTGGCTTATGTAAAAAGCTCCTGGAGAGATTGAGAAAGCTTCAGATTCCCAGGCCTCATCCCAGACCTACTGACTTGAAACCTCTGAAGATGGAAACTTGTCATCTGTATTTTAAATGACAACCTTGGGTAATCCCGCCAGTTGTCCACACTAGGAGAAAAAGTGCTGTAAAGGGTGCTATTTTTTCATGTCAGGAACATCTCTTCTTACATATAAAGAAGTTTTTGGTTTTTTGTTTTTTTTTTTGAGACGGAGTCTTGCTCTGTTGCCCAGGCTGAAGTGCAGTGGGTGATCTCGGCTCACTGCAACCTCTGCTTCACGGGTTCAAGTGATTCTCGTGCCTCAGCCTCCCGAGTAGCTGGGACTACAGGCACGCACCACCTAGCCTGGCTAATTTTTGTATTTTTAGTAGAGACAGGGTTTCACCATGTTGGCCAGGCTGGTCTCAAACTCCTGACCTCCGGTGATCCGCCCACTTCAGCCTCCCAAAGTGCTGGGATTAGAGACATGAGCCACTGTGCCCGGCGGAAGTTTGAGGAATTTAAGAAATTATTATTAATTTAAGTAAAAACCACACAAGGGCAAATGCACAGCATAAACAAATAGTGCAATGAATTGTCACAAGAAAATACACGTGGGTAATCATCACCCACGTCAACAAACAGAACACAGCACACCCACCGCCACCACCTCACTCACTTCCCGATGGAGATTCCCTCCATTCTCTCTAGAAGTGCCCCTTGTTTTACCCATTTTTTAAATTTTTAATAAATTGAGTCATACGCTATTATTTTGTATTTGGTGGCAACAGGTTCTAGAAGCCACACCAGTTATTTTAACAGAGATAATTTAATATAATGAATTCCTAACTGGGTATTACAGAACAGAGAGAAAGAGACACTGAGGTATGTAGGTAGCAATGTCAGGGTGCAATTACCACCTCTAGGACTGGGGAGACAAAGGAAAGAAGCTGGAACTATTAAAATTGAGAACAGCAAGAGGAGGGATGCTGCGGAGTCAGAGCCCAGACCTCCAAGGGGATGCAATGATGCTTTCTTTGTGTGTGTGATGGAGGAAAAACGGAAAACAACCCATGCTCCAGGAAGGAGCCAGTCACGTCTTCCTCACAGCCTTGAGGCCTCCCTCTGGTGCCCCCTATTGGTAGAACCTAGCAGAGAGACAGCTAGAAAAGCAGAAATGTGCTTTGCAGAGTCCTAGTCTCAGCATTGCCAAGCAGAGAATAAAAGGATGGGCTTGAAGCAGGAAGACAACAGTTAAATACCTGGCACAGTGTCCCTAGCTCAGTATGATCTTTGTGAGATTCATCCATGTGACATGTACCAGAAGTTCACTTATTTTTATTGCTAAATAGTATTCTGTTGTATTAATACACCATAATTTATCACTTTATTGTTGATGAACATTTGGGTTGTCTCAGTTTCTTGACTATGATGAACAATAATAGAAAGACGTTTCTTGGTGCGCATGTGTGCACGTTTCTGTGGGCCTATGTCTAGAAATGGAGGATGGGTCGCAGAGGATGCATATATTAAACTTCACTAGATCAGGCCAGTTGTCCAAAGAGATTCTGCCAATGTGTACTCCCACTAGGAGTGTAGTAGACTTGTCAGCTCCTACTCATTCACATCAGCTCTTGATGTCTTCAGTCTTAAATTCTAGGCATTCTAGCCAATCTGATAAGGATAGTGATATATCATTGTAGTTTTAATTTTCTTTTCCTGATGACCAATGACTCTGAGCACATTTCAAACACGTTTATCAGCCATTTTGTGCCCTCTTTTGTAAAGTCAAGTTTGTCAAGTATCTTGCAAACTTTTCTGTAGGACTGTTTCTTATTGATTTGTAGGAATTCTTTATATATACTGAAGATGTCTTTTATCATTTCCATAATATGCTCTTTCTTTGCTATAACTTACCTTTCCCATTCTCTCAATGAAAAAGAAAAGTTCTTTTTTTTTTGTAGACGGAGCCTTGCTCTGTCACCCAGGCTGGAATGCAGTGGCACGATCTCGGCAATGAACCCCATTAGTGAGGGCTCCATCCTCCTGAACAAGTCTGTGTTTCTTTTGCTAAATAGCCTAAGAGCTCATTGTAGAAATTGTTCTAAATTCTAGAGAAATAAGGCGGGTGTGGTGGCTCATGCCTGTGGTCCCAGCACTTTGGGAGGCCAAGGTGTGTGGATCGCGGGAGCCTAGGAGTTCAAGACTAGCCTGGGCAACATGTGAAACCCTGTCTGTACTTAAAAAAATACAAAAAATTAGCTGGGGATTGGAGACCCGGTCCTAGAAGCAATTCTTATTATATGTATTTCCCTATTGCTGAATGTGATTGGATATATGCCTGCAAGCTTTTAAATTTGTGTTTCCATGAATTTCTAATGGATTTCCTAAATGATAGGAAGCCCTGTGAATTTGGGACCTGTGCCTTCCATCTGATTCAGAAGTCTTTATAAAGTCCTAAATAGTAGTCTTCCTGGCACCACTGTACATATTCCTTAGTGCCAGATTGGTTTCCCACAGTGCTGTTTTCTGTCTTTCTTTGTCTTTGCTTGGCTCTTCCTAGAGAAGTACACATTAAATTTTCTTTTTCTAAAAAAAAAAAAAAAAAAGCATTACCATAGGGTGGATAGCAGGAGGAGGGCTGATGTCCACCGATGACTCCCAGTTCAACCTGGGCCACAGTCAGCTGTTTGGACTACTGAGGCCACCACGTACTGACTTGCAAACTGGGATTCTGGTTCCTCATCACAGGACTCGGCAAACTTGACAACTAACTGTTGCCTTGGCTGGCACAGGCCACTGTGTTTGCACGGCCTCCCTGCCCATGTTTGCATGGCCCTTGAGGGAAGGATGGTTTTTACATTGTTAAATGGTTGAAATGAAACCAAGAAAAGAACAATATTTTGAGGCATGTGAAAATTAGACGAAATTCACATTTCAGAGTCCATAAATAAAGTTTGGTTGGCTATAGCCACTCTCATTTGTTGATGTCCTTGACAGCTCTTTACAACAGCAGAATTGAGTAGATGCACACACACTGCAGAGACGCAGAGACCGTGTGACCCTCGAAGCCTAAAATCGTTACTCTCTGGTCCTTTACATGTAAAGTTTGTAAACCCCTGCCTTATCTGGGGGCCAAAAGAAAAAAAAGAGAGATAATGATTCCTACACCAGAAGGTTTTTGTGAGGATTGAATGAATACTAGTGATAAAATAAGAGACTGTACCTGGAATATGTGGGTGCTTCAGAAATGATTTCCTCCCACCAAGCTTAGCAGCTGGCTCTTATCACATTCCCTAAACAGTTACATTTACAGCCAAGGTGGCTTTGGATCACAGCACAGAGCTTCTGCATGTCACACAGATGGACAGGATAAATGTACCTCACCGTCTACTCAGAAATACCCTTCATGAATGAAACTCCTAGAAATCTGCAAGGATGAATTTAAACCTAAATGCTTCCCCATGAATTTGAGAAACCTCTAATATCCAGTCTAGAAATCACACAGCTGAGTTTAATAATTTATAAGTGTTTTATGGGTAGCAGCACAATAGTTGGGAAAGGCAAGTTGCTCATAAACTGTTCCCCCAGATCCAGGAGATGTAGATTGCAGTGGAAAGCGACTCTACCTTGCTTTCCAAAATTAATCTTTAAAAAAAAAATTGAACTTTTTAGAGGTAGGGTCTCGCTGTGTTGCCCAGGCTGGTCTCGAACTCCTGGGCTCAAGCAATCCTCTCTCTTCGGCCTCTGGAATAGCTGGGATTACAGGCTCGGCAACAGCCCTTTAATTCTAAATCCTCTCCCCAAGTGACTCCCTGCTTCAGATAATTTTATGTTCATATGGCCACTAGAGAGCACTTTGAGACTAACAAACTTTGCTCTGTGCGCCCAGGCCTCTGCTGCACCCTGGTCTCCTGAGGTGGAGGGGCTGTGTTCCGCTGCTGCGCCATCTAGCTACCAGCGGCGGCCTCCAAATGGCTATCAAGGCTGATGGATGCATTTTGTGAAGCTTAGTGACCTGTGGTAGTGATAATGAAGTATTCTGAAGCTCAGATAACATTTTATTCTGTCACTATGGTTTTCTGACTTTAGTGACATCACCTAATTTGTACTGCTTTGCCGCGTGTTTCTCAGGCAAGCATTTCAGCCAGGGTCCCAGTTTCCTTATTGCTCCTACTCCCTTCTGTCAGATTGAATTTCTCTCAAAGAGAAAATATTGCTTGATATTGATTCCAGTGCACAAGATAATTTCAGGTTCTCACTCTATAGTTCATCCAGGGGCCCTGTTTAAAATCTTGAAGAGGTTTTCCAAGGCTAAGAGGCACAGTTCAAAAGAACAGTTCTTGAATGTGTTTAAAAGACCCTTGGCTACATTTTCTGATGTTTCATCAGCAGCTTGCACTGATACACTTTCCATTGCTATTACAACTGAACCATATCATAGGGAGCTGTACCAGCAAGACCATCAAGTTTTCTAAAAAGCTATAAAGCTTTCATGTTTTCTGGCCTATTTCTTACTGTGCTCTTAAAAATGTTTAGCTTCTGCCGAGCCAAATGTGTACCTCCAAAGGCAGACGCAGTGAAAAACTCTTCAAGTATCTCAGTGACTGCTGCAATATCTGTATATACAGCAGGAGGATGATTCTGTTTGGATGGAGGAAGGGGCAGTTCTCTGTGGTGTGCCCTGTGAATGAATCACACCGCCCTTCGGCGAGGCCCGTCAGCACTGGGGTCCAGCTACGGATGTAGAAGGAGAATCCACTTTCCTGACCACTGCTTATGAGCACTCCCCAGAGCCATTCCATTCTGGTATCATTGTTTGCATCAAGGAGAAATCAAAGTCATCAGTTCTAGCCCTGACTCCTCAACAGGTGGAGGCATTTATAAGGAGAGGTTTTCAGGGGATTTCTTTGAGGTTTTCAAAAATCCTAAATAATTTCTCCCTCTTTTGAATGACACTTGACTTTCAAGTAAAGAATATGCCTGCATGTGAAATGTCAGTTCTGTCTAATAATAACCTGCTTAATGTGCCACTGAAATCGCTAATCGAATTTGCCACCATTTTAATAAAATGAAGTTCTTTTCCTCTGT
This sequence comes from Homo sapiens, assembly GCF_000001405.40. Lineage (NCBI taxonomy): Eukaryota > Metazoa > Chordata > Mammalia > Primates > Hominidae > Homo > Homo sapiens. The sequence continues at coordinate 182,924,278 of NC_000004.12, read as the reverse complement.
CCTGGCGCCTGGCTCCTAGAAGCTGGTTAGAACGGTCAGACTGTTACAAACAAAACGGATGGCTTCATAAGGAAATTACACTCTAAAATGTAAACTCACTATCTCGCTCTTTGCCGACACACGTCGTTGGTACTTTGCCATGAGAATAGCAAGGAAGTGAACAGGCTACTAACCAAGACTTTCAAGAAATATACTTCTCTAGGTTTCACAGGGAGCCATGAATATGAAAACTTAACGGAGTGGAAGGCAAGATAAGGAGTTTCCATGGGGACATGTGCATTATTGAGTAGATATGGCTAGTTTTCAGCAGCCAGACTTAGTTTTTAGCTATCAGTCTCTAACCCAGACCAAGCCACCTTCTTCTCCAGTCCTGGAGGGTGTACCACATGCTCCTGTTTCTTTATTTCATGTGATGCTTTTTTGTGTGTGGGTAATATGATGGTCAAACTTTATCTGAAAGGCAATGTTATCCCTGGGATTTCAACACGGGTCGAATAGTACAAAGCAGAAAGATTATCTACATGTGCATGTATGCATGTTTCTTTGACTGAAATTCCATGGTTCTTGGGGGCTACAATTTTGTTAAGGACATATGAACATTTAATATTTAGTGAATGCAAAGAAATGGCACTGACTCTGCCTTGTCTGGGCTTTGTTCCAGAAACCAATACAGATGGAGTCTTCTCCCTAGCTAGTGCAAGGCTCCGGTTAGGGCAACCTCTCATACTTAAGGCTGCGATGCTAGTAATTCTGCCTGAGCTCTCGCTCCATATGCAGGCTCCCATTCCTTGCAGCGAGTGTATCTCGCACTCCTTCCAAAACAGAAACTGGGGTATAAACACAACTGAATATTGTGCTAAGTGGAAGTAATAATAAAGGGAACAGGAAAACCCCTGCCTTTATAACCTACTTCCTAGGTGGGAAGAAGGGGCTTTTTTAGGTAGAAGACACACACACACACACACACACACACACACACACACAATCATATTCTGCTTTGGGACAGCTCTCTTTTATTGTTGTCTTACATCGCCACTTAACCACTGAATCTTGGGTAACCTATTATGTAGTTTGATCTTCTCTCCGGCAAAGAGAGGGAGAAGACTGATGCGGCTTTCTTTACGCCCCTCGAAAGCTTGGCAGAGTGCCTTCCACAGAGAGGCTCAATAAACAGTTGTGTTTTGATTCATGGACTGCAAAGCTGGACATGAGCAGTGTGGCATGAGGAAATCTCACCAGAGCAGCCGTGTGAATGGGAGCGAGCCAAGTCATCTTTCTGGGCCACTATTTCCTCATCTGTAAAAAGAAGGGGCTGGACTCAATGATTGCTAAGGTCACTTCCCAGCTCTGTAAATTCCATGCTTTTAAAAAATGCTCGGATCCTGAAAGAAGACCATCTTCTTGGGTTTGCAGACGAAACAGCCCGGGGTGTATTTATGTTTGACCTCCTACCACATTCTGACTTTCTACTCTAATGAATCCTGGTTTATTCTTCACTGAAATGGCTCGGCTCCAGGAGCCCTTGGTGTGATTCTAACACAGTGTAGATATCGATTTTTCTTGCAGGTTAGTGGTTACTGTAACCACCACACTATTAGATCTCTCTCATTCTCTTAGGGATGATTTCATGAGGGCCGTTCCACTCCCTTTGGTTGATATTTAACTCAATCCAGGGCTAATTTGAAGATAGCATTACTAGGATCATGCTTCATGGCTGAGAGCTCCCTACCTTGTATCACTTCAAGTTGTCTATCAAACACTGCAGCAGACAGAGGTTCATCAGAAATGGGGCCTTTGGAGAACTCTGGCCTCGGTACTGCCTTGTTGCTCTCTGTCAGCTCTTGAATCAAAGCTTTGAATTGCTTACTGTGAACAGTGTCAACAGTCATTCACATAGGATAGGGTTCCTCCCTTATTTTGTTTGCTCCTGACTGTGGAAGATGACTTTTTCCCTCATGGCATTAACAACAGATTGTTGTTGTGGTAGGATCACAGGTGTTATCTTCAATATACACATACATGGTGTGCCACAATACTAAAATGTTAATTTGATTCGCGCCTTCTCCTTTCAGAGGTTCACACCCAGTGAGCTTTCCAGTTAGCTGAGGGAAGGCGCAACACGTCAGGCAGGTTATGATGGCCATTAGCTCCCAACTACAATTTCACAGGGACTTTCATTTACAATGGTTCTTAGGCATTCACCTTGCTACACCAGTTAAAATACACACTGCAAAATGAGTGGTGACTCTGATGTCAATAAAGAATTCTATATCCAGAACCGTAATACCTTGTTGATTACCCTTTAGGAGGTTCCTTGGTGACCCCAGCGTAGAGGGTGTAATTTAATGAAATCATTAACATTTCTATAAAGCCAACAATCTGATACATTCTCTTCAGGTTAGGCACTTTCACAGAATAGCGTAAGTGACTGTTCCACATGAAGCATTATCTTTTCTTGTACAACACTGAAAGCTTACATGCTGCTTGACAAATGTGAATTTTAAAAAGTAAGAATGATTGGCACTTGGTAACTTACACAGAAATAGAAAGTGGTACGAGAAAATTGCCCATTTCTTTTAGATTTAATATGTTTTTTTTTCTTTTAAGAAGCAATAAGACATGTAATTTCCATCCACTTCAACCAGTTGTGTATGAAAGAGGCTACAAGTTCAGCTCTGTAGAAGCAAAGAAGTCATGGGGAGAGGCATCACACCAGGAAAGAGGAGACAGCCTTCCCCTCCGCCTTCAGCTCTGCTGTACGAGAGATGGTCATTTTCAGGCCAAGCCCCAAATCCTAGGACTGAGATCCATGCCTCCTTAAAATGATACTGTTCACTCTTGTTTCCCTGACCCACCAGCCCCAATGTCTCACTTATCAAATGTCTCTCCAGGTCTATGAATTGCAAGGAGAAAAAGGAGGCGGATAGGGAAGTAGAACCAGAGTTCACAGACAAAGACTTCTCTCTATGAGTTAGATGCTCCAAACAATTTGGCATAGAACAATGATTTTCTATTAACTCATTTATTTAGTCAACAAATATTTATTAATAAAAAACGGCAAAACACCCAGCTTTGTGCATATGCCATGTTAACATTTCCTTATTGATCTTCATTGAAAAAAAAGATTTTTTTTTTTTTGAGATGGGGTCTCCCTCTGTCACTCAAGCTGGAGTGCAGTGGTGCAGTCACAGCTCACTACAGCCTCAACCTTCTAGGCTCGAGCAATCTTCCCTCCTCAGCCTCCTGAGCAGCTGGGACTACAGGCATGCACCACCATGCTTGGCTCATTTAAAACTTTTTTTTTTTTTTTTTTTTGCAGAGACTGGGTCTTGCATAGCCCAGGCTGGTCTCAAATTCCTGGGCTCAAGCGATCCTCCCACCTTGGCCTGCCACTTTGCTGGGATTACAGGAGTGAGTTCATTACAACAAACCCGGCCCTTCATTGTAATTTTGAAGATGTATAATGACAAAGTAATTGGTGGCTTCAACTCATAACAAAAACGCTGTTTAGGGATCCTGATTTTTTTTCTGATAGGAGTGCTCTGTCATGTCAATTTGCAGTCTGTATGCCCTTCATGGAACACAAACAACTGACCTCATGCTCTAACATACATACGAAAATGTATATACAGGTTGAATATCCCTTCTCCAAAATGCTTAGGACCAGAAGTGTTTCAGGTTTTGGATTTTTTCAGATTTGGGAATATGTGCATATATGTAATGAGGTGTCCTGGGGATGGGACCCAAATCTAAACACAATATATATTTATGTTTAATATACACCTTACATACATAGCCTGGAAGTAGTTTGACAGGATATTTTTCATAATTTTGTGCACCTATCACATGAGGTCAGGTGTGAATTTCCCACTTGTGGGAGTGTCAGCACTCAAAAAGTTTCAGATCTTAGAGCATTTTGGATTTTGAATTTTCAGGTTAGGGATGCTCAACCTGTACTGTATTGATAAGACCACATATTTATTTTTTTCTAGAATTTTCATTGTGACTTTTTTGTGGTTTAGCAGACTTACAGTCATCCCTTACTTAAGATTTAAAAAGAGTTTTCTCTAGTTTGCACTTTAGCATGGAAACATAAACAATTATTCCTTTGAAAACCAGTCAAAGTGGCACTTTGCCTCTAAGTGCAGTTGTTATGCAAAGGAGTTTTTGGTCCTGACTGACAACCACCAAATTAAGAACAACAGGCAGTTTATAACAACATTTACTATGTTCACTGGGCCAGCAATAAGGTTCATTTTTTTCTGTGTTTATTTGCGGAGAGGGGAATGTGAGGGCAAGAACTGGCTTATAGTATCCATCATGGTATTTACAGCACTTAGCACATAGCAGGGAATTAATAAAAAATGAATATTGTTGATTTTACAGAGACTCCAAGAATGGAAGTAGCTTCTCAAGGTTACTCGGGTTGTAAGAAGTGGGAGTAGGGTTCAAAGTCTGGTCTGACTCCAAGGCCGGTGCTCTTTCTCTCATGACAAACTTGATGGACAGATTGGCCACCTTCCTGACTCCTTGCCTCTGTTTCCCCAGTCACAGGTCTCATCCTTACCTTGGCAGGCAGAGGAGGTGGAAGGAGGGGCAGGTAGTATCTCGGTACGGCAGACATTTGCAAATGCCATCAACCCCTCTTCTGAGGCAGCCCTGGAAGAGTCTTACCTTGACTTCTGTTTTTAATCGGGATCCCCTACCTAAGGCACACTGAAATATTAATATATTCCAGGTTATGCTCTAGACTAGACATAGATAGCACGAAACCCCATAAACAAAAGGGCCAAGACAGTAGTCCTTAGGAATGTGCTGATTGGGTTCAACCTGTGTGAGGCCCTCAAGGAAGGCCAATCTAGATAGGGCTGAACACATACCTAACCTCTGTATCTGTAGTAGGTGGAGAAAGATCCTCAATTATAAGCCCAAATACAAGGTATTAGCAAGAGAGATTTAACACCTACAGTCACACTTGGAGTTACAAGGTGTTAATGAGAAAGACATACCAAGGAATATATTTCTCCCCCCTTTGGCCGCGTGGCTTCACTATTGGTGTACAATATTTGAAACCTCAAGTTGTGAAACTCTGAACCAGGAGGGTTTCCTGTATTATGAATGATGTCATCTTTAAGATGAGGGACTTTCAGTGAAATGCGGGAACATTCAGGGTAATGTGTTTTCAGCAAGCAGGAGCTTGAATTTATGGCAGAGGGGAGTGTGTGAGTTGACCAAAATGGAGAGTGATGAGAAGTAACTAAATTATGTATGACAGTCTTTACCGAGCAGAGGAAGGAAGAAAGCTTAATGATGTTGTGGTTGAAGGAGCAGCAGCAATTGGTGATGTATGGGTTGTAGGTTGGTAAGAAGAGAAATGGATCTATGAAGACCCAAAGACTGTAGATGAGTGTGACAAAGACCAAGCGGTGGATTTGGGAGGAGGAGGGAAACCAGGGGCTCGGGATATATGACACATTTTAGCGGCAACAAGACAGCCATGTAAAGTCAACTTGAAATTAAAAATCATCATCTTAATCTATGTGGCTCTTTCAAGCCTGAGTCTTATCAAGGCAAAAAAAAAAAAAAAAAAATCTATAGTTAACGATGAAGTATTTCTCCCTTTTGCTTTCCCGGCATCCACCAAGAGCAGTACATAATTTAATTATTGAATCTACAAGCTGGACCATGAGATGAAGAATGATGTGTCTGCTGTAGTGAGAAATTAGATAGAACCAACTGTTTACTCTCATCATTCTTCCTCCGTTAGGCTAAATTAATATAGTTAACAAGCTTTTGTTTGGAATAGCAGTTCAAATCTGGGATGTGCAGATCAGAACTGGCGATTATTACAGTAGCTGTTATTTATGGAGTGCTGACAGTCCCCTCAAGTCCCATGAATGAAACAGAAAGGGGTTCTTCTGTCATTCTCTGTGCTAGAACCACTGTAAGGGGCTAGACGTCTGCACAGGGTAACGAAGTTCATGAAAACCAGATTAAGTTGCTTGGGGCATACGACTCCAGAAATGTCACTGATGGTCTTTCCTATTGCCCTGTTTTTCTCATCTTTGAAACAACTGCAACAAAATGTGCACTATATAAGTGGGCGAGCATTACCAGGAGGTAACATGCAGGTGGGGTGCCTGTGCGGTGATACGGGTCGAGCAGGGCGCGGCAGGCTTTAGCAAACACCTCAGGCCCTTCCGCACAATTTGAGCAGAAACTGAAAGCCTGTCAGGCGCAGCCAAATGCAAATCTAGCTTCGAGGCACTGAGCCTCGAGGCACAGCGCCCCCGCCGGACCCAGTTCCCTGCCCCATCCAGTGTGTGAAACTGTGACCCAGCCACCGGCCAAGGGTCCCCACGGGGACGCTGCGACACAGCGGGCTCACTCCAGAGACCCAAACCAGGTCTCCCCACCTCCCGCCCCGCCAGTTTCACGGCACTAGATTCTTGGGGTCGTCTTTTAATCACAATCTCCATAGCCGTGTCTCTAAGCAGTTGATGGAACACGGATGGTGGGGAAAACCTCACCACCGCCACCACCACCAAACCAAGCAGCCCCCGACGGTCGTGCAGTCAGGCCCGGGAGCGCCCAACTCGCGGCCACCCAGCGCCACGCGTGACCCGGGCAGCGGGGCGACCTCGGGGCGGTCTGGCACCCGGGAAGTAGTTTGTGCTCGGGCTCTGAACACCGCCGGCCGGACCGCGGGCTGCGTCACGGGGACCGGGAGGCGTACGGCGACGCGGAGCAGCGCCTTTGCGGCGTGCGACCCGCCCCCGCCGTCCCTCCCTCCCTCCCCTCAGGGCTTCGGGCCCCCGGGGCCAGCCGCCGTCCTGCGAACGCGCGGCGCCCGGGCCGCTGCCCCCTTCCGGCCCCGCGGCGGCCCCGCCTCCTCCCCCGACTTCCTTCCCTGAGCACGGCGGCGGCGGGGACGAGCACCGGCCTGCGCGCGGAGCCGGCACCGGATGGTGGGCGGGGGCCAGCCGTGCGGGTACGCGGCCCGCGCGCCCCTAGCCACCGCCGCGTGGCACCGTCCCGAGCGCGTGGCGCGGGGCGCTGGCTGCCGGGCGGGGGCCTGGGGCCGCGGACGCTGGGGGCGCCTCGGCCGCGCTCAGCCTTTAGATCGGAGAATGCGGGCGGGGTGGGGGCGCTCGGGGTCCCCGCAGTCACTCCAGGGTCGATTTCTCGGCGGGCGCCGCGGCCTGTGCGAGGCCGGGCCCCTTGGAGTGCCCCGGGAGGTGGTGCTGGGCGTCTGAACACCACATCCCTTCCTGCGCCCGTGTGTGGGTTGGGAATGCCGGGTGTAGGCCCTGGATCAGAGCTGACGGGGTTGCGAGCGGCGTGGGGTGTGCCTGGGACGGTGACCGGATGTGTCTTCCTGAATCGTTGTATTCGAGCTCCAGTTCTCTCTGTTTCTACAGCTGGGCCTCAGTCCTCACAGGGCTCTAGTGGGCGTTCAGCCACACCAGGAGAAGGCGCCCAGGGGATTAACAGGACCCTTCCCTCTCCTGCTCTTCCCTCGCCCCCCATGGCTCCCCCTCCCTCCTATTTAGTAGGTACTTCTCCAGCACCCCACAGCGATGATGGATGCTGGCCCTAAAGCCAGGTGGGAAACCAGGCTGATTCAGCACCTGTCTTTTCCTGTTAGGGGGGTTGCCAGGCCTCTCAGATGTGGGGCAGCGTAATCAGTGGGTGACCGTGGTTCCCAGCACCCACTCTCCACTGCATCCTTGTCTTAGGCACTGCCGCCCTGCACTGTAGCAGATGCCTAAATAAAGTGTGGAGCCTGAAGCAGAAGTTTTGGGAGATGCTTGCCTTCCTTTAGACCACATTCCTCGCCTTTCTCAAGATTTCTCCGTGGTACCCACCCCGTTTTTGTGTTGTCTTCCTTCCTTGCCCTTGTTTCATTCCTTTTGAAAGCGACCACTCCCCTGAAGTCCTAGGACCCCCTTCGTGGGCTCTCCCTGCCGTAGACAGTCTCTGCTTGCCCCTGGTAAACTACGTTCCAAAAACCTTGCTTTAGGAGTAGCACTTGACGTTTTTCATAGTTTCTTCTCATGTAATTCATTACTCGGAGTTGATAACTTCTGTCCCATCTGGATTATTGAGGAGAAAGGGAAGGGAAAAATTATCTGGTTAATATCAGAGTTGGGAAGGCTTCAGATGTTTTCTTTGAATCCGTCTGGCATGGATGATAATCCTGTGTGGTTTAGGTTAAGTTACCTAAGTTCTCTGAGTCTGTGTAAGATGGGATGGCACTGTCTACCTTAGCTAGGAGTAAGGCTTGAGTGACATGATGTGTATAAACTTTAACAATGTCTGGAATCTATAGATGATCAATAAATATTTCTTTTTTCCACCCTCCTCCTGTGCTGACTCCGCTTTGTAAGGGAGACAGGTAAAGGACACAACAATTTGTAGGCTGGCATAAAAAATCCTATGAGAAAGCAGTAAATAGATGAAATATTTGGGAACGTGAAGCTATAGGTTTCAAATTCAAACTTCTGAAATAGGAAATTTCTTAAGTTTTTACTTAAGACCAGAGACTGTTTAGGGCCCATGTGCTGTGATTTCTGATTGATAAATGTAGCTGAAGTTGCCCATGTTTAGAGATTTAAAGGTTCAGTGTGGTTGGGTTGAACTGGAAAACAGACTTACTAAAATGCTTCTCTCAACTTCTGTTTTGTCATGTTTTTCTTCTAGACCCAACATGAGTGAAGTTTCCTGCAAGAAACGGGACGACTATTTGGAATGGCCAGAGTATTTTATGGCTGTGGCCTTCTTATCAGCACAGAGAAGCAAAGATCCAAATTCCCAGGTAAATGAATTTCACGGGAGAATGCTTAGATACTCACAGGCAAAGAGATTACTGCACATGAGCAGAAAGGGGAGACTCAGTGGACGCCTGTCAACTTAAAAGTGCAGGGTCGGTCTGCCTTTTGTGCTGCGTTTCTACAAGCTTAGTTCTTCCTGTGAGACAGAAAATTGTCACATGCCATTGTTAACTGCCTCTTGTGCCCCTTCTGGGACTGGGGGTGCACTTTCCTTGGCTTGTGGGTGCTGCCACAAAAAACCAGGCAAGGAGACCGACAGCTCTCAGCACCTGCAGCAGCTATGCGTCTGTTTTGAGTTCTGCAGTCCCCCTGGTTTTATTCCCTGCTTCCACAGCGGCAGACCAGCCAGTTGCAGGCACCAAGCCTTTGGGCATGTTTCCTTCTAGGTCGGCGCCTGCATCGTGAATTCAGAAAACAAGATTGTCGGGATTGGGTACAATGGGATGCCAAATGGGTGCAGTGATGACGTGTTGCCTTGGAGAAGGACAGCAGAGAATAAGCTGGACACCAAATACCCGTACGGTAGGGCAAGTTTTATGTCCCATTCTGCTTAGTGACATAGCCTGGTGAGTGCCTAATTAAGAAAGTTGGTCAGAAGGCATCATCTCCCTTTTGTCATCAACAACTGGAAAGAAAAGTATCCTACTGAACTACCCCAATTTCCTGGCCTTGTCTCTTAAGTTCCAAAGAGAGCCACGGAGAGAAGCATGGTAGTGGCCACACAGGCTGGCCCTGAGATCCAGGGCTCTGCTGCCTGTGCTGAGCCTGGCAGGCTTCACTGGCAACCTGCTGGCCTGCACCACACCAGTGCACTGATAGTCGGCGTCTCTGCAGAGGGTCACAGCCCCTTGCAGAGATAGCTGAGGGATGTGCATGGTGTCTCTGTGGGTTCCTTTTTTTACTACTTGGAAGCAGGGTCGGCTAACCAGGGGCTGGCTCGGGCTTTGGTCTGATGAGAAGCAGGCTTCATTCAGCCCATGTGCCTGATGAGAACATCTGGCTCAAGCTCATTGCTGGCAAGCAGGAATCAAACTGTGAACTAGACATCAGGAGATGGAGGATCCAGTTGCTTCCTCCAGTTACAGGGGATGCTGCAATTTCACAGTAGGCTGTGGTCAGACCAAAAGCCAGAAGTGAGGCTGGGCACGATGGCTCACGCCTGTAATCCCAACACTTTGGGAGGTGGAGACGGGCAGATCACCTGAGGTCAGGAGTTCGAGACCAGCCTAGCCAACATGGTGAAACCCCATCTCTACTAAAAATACAAAAATTAGCTGTGCGTGGTGGCAGGTGCCTGTAATCTCAGCTACTCGGGAGGCTGAGGAAGGAGAATCGCTTGAACTCAGGAGGTGGAGGTTGTAGTGAGCCAAGACTGCGCCACTGCACTCCAGCCTGGGTGACAGAGCAAGACTCTGTCTCAAAAAACAAAACAAAAACAAACAAACAAAAAACAAAACAAAAACAAAGAAAAGAAAAAGCTAGAAGTGTAGAACTGTAAACCTTTGGCTTGACTGTCTCTGGATTTTCCCCTTGAAATTAGGGAAGGCTGCTTCTTAGAGTTTGTTGCCTGTCTAAGCCCCAGGGAAAATTCCTTCAGAGATTGCCTGGGAGGGTCCAGCCATAGCTTTACTTTTCCTTGCATTCCTTGGAGAATATGCAAGCAATGCTGGAAAAGAGGCAAATCATGCTGGGTATGCAGGTTGCTGATTTTTGTAAGGTTAGGCCCTGTATTTTATGTCTGAGAATGAACAGACTGGCGCTGTTGGAAGTGAAGGGAGAGTAAGGCCATCCAAATGGGAAAGATTGTGTCTTCAGGCCAAGGCGTGATGTACGACCTTTCTTCTTTGTTGACTCTCCTGGTAGGTTTTCTTCTGGGTTTTTCTCATGAAGAATCCAAGTCAACATTTAGTCTAATTTATATATTTTTACTAATGTTCCTGGACCTCAATCATGTTAAATAAGCCCCATAAATTTCTTTCTAAATTGCCTAGGGGCAACTTCTCCATGTTTGAAAGAAAAAGTTAAGAGGTACCTGGAGAGAGAGGAGGAACTGAGGACTGCAAAGCAGTCTGGGTTTCCAGGATGTGAAAAGTAGTTTAGGGATGAAGGGGACCGAATCCTCAGATCCTTGATTTAACCTCACCCTCCCTCGTCGGAGTGGGAAGAGAGGATGGAGTTGGGGGAGGGTAAGACTGTCTTCTCAGCACAGCTTCAGAGCCGGTGGTAGTGGATGACTAATTAGAAAAATGCGCGGACTCAGAAACTGTCACCCTGATTTTGATTCTATAAGCTTTTGATGGTAAGAAAGAAGGGAAGTGATTAGTTGTTTTTAAGTCCATGCAAAGATAATTTTTCACAGTGCGGTTCAAAGTCCCCTATAAAAATGGTGAAAGTGGAGGGTCGATATGTTAAAGGTCTGCATTGAACTGTGTGACGGCCACAGTCAGTATGTCACCGAGTCTGGGCAGTGAAATATTGGCCCTGGGGCTGGACTTTGATATGGAGGAATTCTGGGGGGATGGCGGTCCGTCATACTCAAGCTGGTGCAAAAGATACCCGTGGTTGGACAGTGCGGAGGGGTCCTGGGTGAGCACTGAGTGGGCCTCCCAATGGGGCCTGTGCCTTCTTCAGTCACCCAGAGCCCCCAGCAGATCTTTAAGCAGTGACCTGGAAGCCAAGGGCCATGCAGTACATTTGCAGCACCTGCCCCACACCCCAGACTTCCCAGCTCTCCTGACTTCCCGTGTAGCTGATTTTGTTGGTTATGAGACACTGCCTTTTGTCCAAATTGAGGAGAGTACCTTTCAGAGCCCCTTTCTAGAAGGAATTTTTTTAAAAACCTGCATAGGTATTTGTCCAACTTCACCGATTGTTTTTTATTGAATAGCTCCTGAGCTCCTGGGCACTGGTTGTCTGTCTGCATTATTTTTTATTATCCATATGATACCTCTAGGTTTTCAAAGCTCTTTGCTCTTACTTATCAATTATTCATTTATATGTAGCTGTGTTAGAATGTCGACAGTTTTCTTTCACGAGAGTAAGCTTGTAATTTGATGTACCATAAAAGTTGTAGAAGGTATTAAATGGTTTCTAAAAGGCATTTAGTATTACTGCCGCCATAATACAGTAAAGATGGGCTTAAAGTCTAAATGACGATGACTGTGTATAAACTGTACACTTGTTGTCTTCTCAAGGTTTTTCAGGCCACAGAGAAGTAAATGTTTGGATTGCCTGGGATGTCACAGAAATGTTTGCTGATAATTGACTCAAATGCAAAGTCTTTTTTTTTTTTTTTGCTTTCGTTTTAAGATTTTCAAAATTAATTTAAAAAATAAGGGGATACTGCCTGGAGTTGGATAGCTCAACCCATTCTTTCCTCATCTACATTAATGGTGACTGAGCTGCTGTAGCAGGAAGGGTAAATTCATAGGTTAATCCCTGTAAAGGAGCTTTAGAGATTATCTCGAGTTCTGGACAATGATTTTTAACTCTTTTGAATGTACAGGACCCTCTTTTAAATGCTGAAAAACTTCCAGGACCCCTGCATAATGCTAAATTCTTAGTATCTTTTGAGTAAGAAACTCCACAATGACAAAAACTACTTCGTATCAGTAACATTTTTTGTTAATCTGAACTTTATTAATTGGATAGCATTTATGTATGTTTGGGAAAAGTTTATGTATGTCCTGGACATGGGATTTATCCAGTTGTGGATATGCTTGGACCCCTTGCAATACCTTAGTAGTGTCTCAGGGTTCTATGCCCACAGGATCTAAGCCTCCTCCTTTCTTGTAAGTAACTTCTATAATGTCACACATGCAGGGTGACATCTCCTAATTCCAAGGTCAGTGCTCTTCCTGCTACCTCCCTGTGTCTCTCCTGTGGGGCACATGAATTCAGCTGTACTGAAATGCCAATCATTGTCTCATTTTTTTTTGCAGTTGATCAGACTGAGGCTCCGATAAAATAATTACTCCTCAGAGATCAGGAGCTCGGGGAGGGGTGGCCTGTGTCCGGCATCATGCAGAAAGCCACATGCGTGGCTCACTGTAACATTTCTTCAAAGGGGAGTGCAGTGGACTGAATGTGTCTCCCCCCAAATTCACATGTTGAAACCCTAATTCCAATGTGCTGATATTTGGAGGTGGGGCCTGGGGGGACGTAATTAGGCCATGAGGGTGGAGCTCTCCTGAATGGGATTAGTGCCCTTCTAAAAGGGACCCCAGGGAGCTCAGTTACTCTTTTTCCATGTGCAAGGATAGGCGGAGAAGATGGCTATCTGCAACCCTGAAAGGAGACCTTGCCAGAATCTAACCATGCTGGTGTCCTGACTTCCAGCCTCCAGAACCATGAGAAATAAATGTCCATTGTTTCTCAGCCACCCAGTCTATGGGACTTTGTTATAGCAGCCCCAAGGGACTGTGACAGGGAGCTTGAGAACTGTGTAAATTTGAGTTTACCAAATAACATACAGCTTAATACTGCTTTATTAATTCCGTAAGTCGGAAGTCATTAGTCCTGATTGATGCCTTGTGGGGAGGAGGGAAACACACACTACTTGTAACATAATAGGAAGATGGAGCTTTTCCTGGGCTGTGTCTCTAGAGAGTTATTTTTAAAGGGTGTTTTTGTTCTTCCAGTCTTGGGATCAAAACTTCATAAAACTATTTTATTATAATGTAGTATTAATGTGGAAAATGAAAATTCCCTCTGCTAAAGAAGCTTTTTATTCCATCCTTTTCCTGAAAAATCCAAAAGATAATATGATGTCAGTAACATTAAGTGGCAGGAAGAAGGCAATGTTATTATACTAAGAATCTTTTCAGATGAATGACAATTAAAAAAGAGGAAGCAGCAGATTTATCTAATTTACAAGATTAAAAAACTTGGGAAGATTTTTATTTTCATGAGGGGGTGGGTTGCTAAACCTGTGATGAAGTATTCAGTTGACATTTTTCATTCCTTTTTCTTTGTGGAATTCATTATAGTGAAGCACATTTAATCAAAATACCAATGTTATCAAATGAGGTAAAATACTCTTGGTGATTCAGATATCACTCTTTCCTTGGGTTTTCGTAACCGATTTTGATGATATAGTTTACAAATTAGAGAGTTGGAGAATTAACTTGTTCCCGTTGTTAAACTTAAGGGAATTTTTAGTAATGCTTGCCACATGTATCCAGCTGCCCAGCACTTGTGGCCTTGCTGATTTCTGCTGGCAAAGGGCTCTGGGTTTTGGTGAGTGCCTCTGTGCTTGGCCTCCTATCCCACCCAATGGACCAGGGAGCCAGGGTTGCTTGGCCTGCTGCATCTCACTGCACCAGGGAGGGAACCGTAGCATCTCAGTGTCCCCAAGAGTCGGGGGAGGCCTCACTCTGAGTGCGTTGGGTAGAAGTGGGGCTCTTACCCGAGTCAGTTCCTATGTCTACAGGGATACTCTAAAAAGGATGTAATGCTGGGAAGGAAAATGCTGAAAAACCTGGAATTAATTAAGGCGAAAGAGTTCAGCAGAGCATCTTAAACACCTTTGCCAGTGTGGGGCAGTGCCTCTTTAAATTCTCTATTTAAATTTCATCTTTATTTTTCAGACTTAGCATATTGTTAAGCATGCATAGATGTCACTTTTGTGATTACTTAGCCATTTACTTTACCCCCTTGAACACTGACATTTTCCTGACTGCCATGCACGTGATATATTTCTTTGGCATCTGAAAGGTTAGTGTTGAGAAACTAATTTATCAAGAAGTTAGGAGGCTGATCCTTCTTAAGATATGACTTCCTCACAACTTGTAAGAGCTTCTTAGTAATTAAGATCAAATTTGTTCTTTCCGTCCTGAAATTGAATGTCCTCTGGTTTCGTTAGTCAGTCCATGAATTTGATAACTTGCTGTTTCTTTTCCTGCAGAATTTAATTTCACTTAAAGCTTCCTGCCGCTCCTCCCCTGCCTGGCCTTCTACTAGTTGTGGCCCGACAGCAGGTCTAATTAGGGACTTTTGTACAAAACTACTGTTATAATCAATGGAAAACCTTTGAACAACTGCATAGAAAAGAAATTAAGTAGATTATTTTTACGAATCAAGGGGCAAACTCAGCTGTGATCGTGTGGGGTTTCAGATAAACAGAGGGACACACCAGTGTATATATGAGTCTTCTCCCACCCACTAAAATCAACCAGCTCCATGTAAGCATGTTTTACTTTAAGATATAATTGTTTATAAACAGTTTTCAGAAAGGAATAAATAATGATATTTTAATATAATTTATTTTGATATTTATGTATTTTTATAGTTACAGAGTTAATTATTTTTAAAGTGCTAGAGTTTACTATTTCATTATGAATATCTATGAAAGACATATAGTAACAAAATAACTCCTTGTTTTGAAGAGCACACATGTTAGGAAAAGCTGAAATGTTTGGGGATTGGACCTACCCATGAAAATACACATATCTGTCTCCTTTCTATAAAAAGTGACTTTTGAGTCAGTTCACCTCGTAGAAGTTTGAAATAAAACTTAATCTAAAGTAGTGGTTCCAGGGTTCCCAGAAGTGGGCTGAAGTTTATCTTTGTACTGTAATCTCTCAAGATAAAAGGTTTGTTGAAAAATTAGTAGCCTTGATAAAATGTCAGGGGCACATGCAAACTAATTTAGAAAACAGCTATGTTAAGTATTTGAGCACATTAATGATCTGAATGCAAATGGATATTCCTTCTTTATTTCTTCTTCTTCTTCTTCTTCTTTTTTTTTTTTTTTTTTTTTTTGAGACAGAGTCTTGCTCTGTCACCCAGGCTGGAGTGCAGTGGCACAATCTTGGCTCACTGCAGCCTCCACCTCCAGGTTTCAAGCGATTCTCCTGCTTCAGCCTCGGAGTAGCTGTGTGATTACAGGCACGTGCCACCACGCCTGGTTAATTTTTGTATTTTTAGTAGAGATGGGGTTTCACCATGTTGGCCAGGCTGGTCTCAAACTCCTGACCTCAGGTGATCCACCCGCCTCAGCCTCCCAAAGTCCTGGGATTACAGGCTTGAGTCACTGTGCCCGGCCACTTCTTTATTTCTTTAACTTTGCTAAGTCTTTGCTTAGAAACACAGGGATTGCTGTACAGTGTGGTTACCTGAGAATGATTACTCTCATAGTCTTGATTCTGGTGATCTGTTCTATGTCAGTTGTGCTGATTTTGACTGATCTTCTCTGAAATTGGCTGAAATGACTAAAGCTTTATTGTATTTTGAGTTTTTTTTAATCCGGAATCTCCCTTCAGGAGTTTTGTTAATACCAGCTATATTAAAGTAGAATATGAATATATTGTTTGCTCCCAGAAATACACAATAAAACCTAGTTCTTAGAGATTTTTGCAAATGTTTGTATTGCTTTTTACTTTTACTTCCTGAAGACTTTTTTTTTTTTAATCTGGATAGGGATATGCATGTCTGTAATACACACATTAGCTAAGTAAAGCCCCATAGTGCTTAAAACAACAATTGCCATATTCACACGAAAGAATCCTGGAGCCGCCGTAAGGAGCCAAGGGTTCCAGGTTTGGTATGTTCATGCCCAGTGACTGTGGGGCTGTTAGAGGCATCACCTGACATTTATTTCTCAATATCTCTATGAAGTAAATTATCACTGAAGATTCTTCCAGTTCTCTTATTCCAAGGAAAAATATAAGTATTATAGCTTTGATGGCATTAGATTAGTATCTTTTTCTCAGCTTACGGAGTTCTGAAAGCGTTCTCGGTCAAATCAGAGCTGTAAAAAGCTGTTGGAGGCAATGCCACAGGGAGAATGTGCATGTGTACATATGGATAAATTAATAGAAACAGGCGCCTTTCCCTCCCTCCTCTAACGATTAAAGACTGGCGCAGTTCTAAGATGAATATAGACCATATGGAGATAGGATGCATGAATAGGAGGGGACAGTCAGACTGTAGGTTACTCCACAGACATGCAGATTAAAAGACATTGGATGAGAAAAGGTTGGATAACAGCAATAAAGAAAAAGATCCTAGCTGAGTATGGAGTGCACGCCTGTAATCCCAGCACGTTGGGAAGCCGAGGCAGGTGGATCGTTCGAGTTCAAGAGTTCAAGACCAGCCTGGGCAACATGGCGAAATCCCGTCTCTACAGAAAATACAAAAATTAGCCGGGTGTTGTGGCGTGCAGCTGTAGCCCCAGCTACTCCAGGGAGGCTGAGGTGGGAGGATTGCTTGAGCTCGGGAGGCCAAGGCAGCAGTGAGCCAAGATTGCACCACTGAACTCCATCCCAGACGACAGAATGAGAGACCCTGTCTCAAAAAAATTAAGAAAAAGATCCTATGTCTAAGTGAAAGAAAATGTATGATTACATGGGACACGCTGAAAACTCTTTGAAAGAGACAAGAGGTTAAGACCAAATAGAAAGAAAGGACTTTAGAAATTCTTTAGAGAACAAGTCAGCATGACAATATTTATTCAAACAGAGATACTTGCTTGACATTGGGAAATCCCTGTGATAAATGCAGGATACTGGTGAAGGCAAGAGAGTTGCAATGCAAGGGAATGGGCGCTCCCCTTGCTGATGCTGTCTGAAGGGTCGGTGCCAACCAATTAGTGGAGGTGTAAATTTTCTCTGTGCTTCTTTCAAATGATAGATGCCATAGTAAATTTAAAATATTGAATATGATAACTGAGCATGAATTTTTTAATTCTGCAATTAAAAGACTTTGTTCAAAATGCCATTAATTTTGAGTTTAGGTGAATAAAGGGAAGCAGAATTCTTCTGTCATTTTTCCTTCTCCATGTGAGTTATCACTTTTTAGGAATTAAAATAAGTACTAACGAGTCACCTGTTCTCTTACCAGTTTCAGTTGTCTGCTGGTGATGGGGATGATCTCTGGAGTCATCTTTCTTTCTTTTTAAAATCCTAACTCTATTTTATAATGCGTTGGAGTTTTTCAGACACCATCACATGTGGTCATTTGTTCATTCAGCAGACACTTCTAGGGCATTTATTATGTGTTTTACATGCCGGGCACTCTGCAGAGGTCAACAGAATGCCATGGGAGGGTCTCTGTTTTTGAAGAGTTTGCAGACTAATTGTGGAGGAGGTAGACATTAATGAAACAAACAGATATGATTGAATATTCCTTTCTGAGGCAGTCACTTTTTTTTTCTTTTTTAATGAGATAGGGACCAGACCCCGAATCTGCCAGCCCCTTGATCTCGGACGTCCCAGCCTCCAGAGCTGTGAGAAATACATTTCTGATGTTTAGAAGCTACAAATTTATGATATTTGTTAGAGCAGCCCAAACAAACTAGGACAGGTTGTGTGTATGAACTGGATTGTTCTGGGGCAAGAGTGGAAACAGCGACTCGCCAGCCGGGAGGTGACGTGGTGTACGATGCGAGGGCCTTGGAGGGGGTGGGTGCTGGGGCTGGAGAGGCCTGGCTGGAGATGGGGTGTATTTTAGGGGCAGCATCAGGAAGATGGCGTGATAAAGGGTGGAAGAGGTAGATTGACTCCCCCCAAATGGTTCTGGTTGCAGTAGCTAGACAGGCATGCTGAGGAGGAGAAGCAAGATTTTGGAATGATCAAGGAAGATTTAGACACCTGAAGGCTGAGGTGCCCATGAGCGCTCCCTGCAAAGGGTTGGGTGGTCAGGTGGGTGTATGAGTTGGGGATTAGTCCCGACTGGCTGTAGCAGTACAGGTATGTCAGTGCCAGCGACCTGGGTGGCTGATGAAGGGAGCATGTGCAGAGGCAGTAGGAGTAGCTGTGGCTGAGCCCTGAGGGCTCCAGCGCTTAAGGTGGTTGGAGAAAGAAGGGCCCGTGAGAAGGAGCACACAGAGCAGTGCTTTAAGAAAGAAGGCCTCATTTTGGGAGGCCGAGGCGGGGAGATCATGAGGTCAAGAGATCGAGACCATCCTGGCCAACATGGTGAAACCCCGTCTCTACTAAAAATACAAAAATTAGCTGGGCGTGTTGGTGCGTGCCTGTAGTCCCAGCTACTTGGGAGGCTGAGGCAGGAGAATTGCTTGAAACTGGGAGGCGGAGGTTGCAGTGAGCCGAGATCGCGCCATTGCACTCCAGCCTGGCAACAGAGTGAGACTTTGTCTAAAAAAAAAAAAAAAAAAAAAAGAAGGCGGGCTTGTCAGCTGTATCGGAGGCTGCCAAGAGGCCTAAGATTAAAAGTGTTCATGGGGTTCAGCAACGTGGAGGTCAGAGGTGATATTGCCAAGTACAGTTTCAGCCAAGTACAGTTTCAGCGGAGCAATAGGGTTGCAAGCCACATTGGAGCCTCTTGAAGGAGAACAGAGGGTGAGACAATGGGGACAGCTTTATTTAGATCGGGCTTTGGGATGTGTGGCTGAGAAGAGAGCAGAGAAGTGGGGTGGTGGCTGGAATGGAGATAAGGCCACGGGAAAGGATTGCATTGTTTGTAGGATAGGAGAATCTGGTTTTGGCTTTGGTTTTTGCTTTTCTGTAGCAGACATTTGTTTGTTGATGGGAATAGTCCAAGACAGAGAGAGTGAGATAGAGATTTCTGGAACAGAGGCAAGGTGCTCAAGGCTGTGAGGATCGGTCTCTCAGACACCCTGGTTGATAATAAGAGGAAGGACTGAGAGGGGAGGTGGGAGGACAGCAGACACAGGGTCCTGGAGCGAAAGGCAGAGTGTGATCAGTTGCACCATTCCGGTGGAGGAAGCAGGGTCATCGGTTGAGAGAGCTGGGAGTTGGAGCTTGGATGCCGGGAGAAGAGAAGAGCTGATTGTGTGGGGTGGGAGAAGAATGTCCTAGGAATGTAGGGCAGTGTCAGGAGCTCACATCTTATCTGAGAATCTCGAGTTGGGCGGTTGCTTCCCATTTTCTACCTGCAGACCCAGGATCAGTGCGCTGCCTGAGGCAGGCCAGGGAGAGCTGGAATTAATTAGAACACACATCCCAGCTCCTCTTCCAGTGCCCAGTGCTCAGGCCCGGTTCCCCTCTAAACGCTATTAACACACAAAGGAGGCTTTTAAGCTCCATCACAGTACTATCAGCGCTGATTAGCGCTCTGTTTCTCTTGGTGCTGTTGTCACGCATTTTAGGCATCACGTGTGCATTTCACATGAACAGTGGGAAGGGAGTTGGCATGGCCTACCGTGGATGCAGTACAGCTATTTCCACATCCTCCTCCTCCTGACCTGATTGTGTGCCCTTAGCCCATAGGGAGGCAGTGTAATTAGAGTTCTGGGGGCTTTATTACCAATAATGGCCTTACCACAGTCAGAAATCTCTTTAGCCCTGAGCACTACCATTGGGGCTAAGTGGCTCCCCTGGGTGCCGTGAGTTGTCATCCGCAGCTTTAGCAAGAGGCATTGAGGAAGGGGGCAGGGATGGGGAGCAGAGTGGGAGAGAGGGAAAAAGAAATGGGTATTCTCACAGGCAGGCTGGATTGGGCAGGCCAGGACAGCCTGGTCTCAGGTGGGCACACGTGGGAGAGGATGGGAAGCACTCACATGTAGCAAGTAGCTTGTCTGTGCTGTGCTCTTGACAGATGTTAGTCTTTCTAACCGTTCTTGGAGAGGGACTTTTCTCTCTATTTCTTAGGTCCGGAGGCTGAGGCTGAAGAAGATGCTTGACTGGTAGGTTGTGGACAGTGTGTGAGGACATGGTAGGGAGGAAGCAGAGAAGACAGGCAGAACCAGGGGTCTCCAAGACCCCTGAGTGCATTGTTGCAGGAGCGGAGACGGAAGTTCTTGCCTCAGCTTTCAGGGCCCTGGGCTGTGGGCAGGCGGATGGGCACCCTGGGTGTGGAGGCTTCCCTCAGAGCCTGCAGGATGGGCTGCCTTTTACGTGAGTGACCCACCACTTTCTCCCCAGACCTTGGTAGAATTCCTTTGCGCTGTCATTTTCTTCTAGCAGAGCCCTCCTCTCTGGGCACAGGGTGGAAACAGAACAGAGCCCACACATTTTCCACGCATGCGGCGGGTTTCTCCACATCACCCCCGTTTCTCGTCTTTATTTTCACACACACACTTACACTGTCATGCCTATCAGGTGGAATCATGTGTCCCTCCATGGCGGGAGGGCTCAGTTACTTTATCTTCTGAGTAGAAAGGCCACACTCTGCCTGGGGCTGGGCTGGGGGCAGGAGTGTCTGGATGCCAAGGACAGGTAGGCTGTCGGGTGCAGCGTGATCGGGGAGGCAGAAGCGCTGTCACTTGTTGTCTCTGATCAGGAAGACCTGGTTCCTGCCAGCCAGTGTCTTTCTTAGGAAACAGGTCCTGTTCTGAGTACTGGTGACAAAGTCCCCATTTGCAGAGTTCTTTGGAGTTCACACAGCATTTTCCTACTGTGTCCCTCACTTGCTGTTCGTGTGACCCTGTGAGATGGGAAGGGGCGGGTGTCGTTATTCCTATTCGTAGCTGAGAGAGGCTGGAACTTGAACAGGGTATTACCTTTGTGTAGGCACATCCTAGGATTTAAATCCCTTTGTCCTGAAAAAACATTTGTAATCCACATACATTTTTCTACAGAAACAATGTTACTTGAAGATTCAGTTCCCCTTGCACCTGCGAGCAGTGCCTAGAACCCTCGTTTTCTGGATTTTCTCAGCACTCCTTCAGCAGTCCTACTGTGTTGCTTTAGCTTGCACTCGGGCCGCTGCTGATTTCCATGCTGGGGCATCGCAGCCCAGCTGGTGTGAGCTCTGCAGGGACCAGACCCACCTCCATCCCGCAGCCCACACACCCAGCCCTGTTAGCTCTCCACCCAGTGCAGGCCAGTTTGCAACCAGAACTTACCAGAACATACCTGGGAAACTGCGAAAGTTTTAAACTGTTTTATTTTCTTGCTCCAGTCCTGTTACTAAGGGCTGCTCCCCTGGGTGGGGGACAGGGCTCTGTCTGAGCAGGCTTAGAGGGACATAGGCTTTGGAGCAGTCCAGCAGGCTGGCAGGAGGAAGACAGGGCCTTAGCCAGGAGAGGGGCGGGGAGCAAGAGGGGCTTGTCTGGTGGAACTATCTTAGAGAAGTGATATCTGTTGATTTCTATATGGTGCTCCCTTCCCCAGTTCCACCTTTATTTCAAATCATTTGAAAACCTTGATAATGAGCCAGATTGCTGCTTTACTAATAGGAACTTCATGCAGGAGAGATAAGATAGAGAGGTGACATTATTTGGGACCAAATTCTAGAAATCTTTGCTTTAGATTTTGGGGAAGCCATAATTGGGAACACTTCATAAGCTTTTGGGAGAGTGTACTTGGTGGGGGTTGTGGGGGGCTTAACTGTCGCGGCTATTCCGTTGTTAAATTATTGACGTGCAGGATAGGGACTGCGGAGGCTGGCAGTGACATATGAGGCCCTGTCAGGATATCTTTCAATAATTAAGAAACAAGTAGTTGAAATTCCATTTTAGTTCCAGAAGCTGTGAAGCAGTTCCATAAATGGATCAGTTAGAGGAGTAAGTGTGTACCCCATCCCTCAGCGGAAGTTTCCATCAGGCATCTGTGGGCAGTGGGGGCCGGGGCAGGGGTGCAGGTGCTCCCAGAGACAACATGTCCAGGTTTAGCAACTCTGATAACTATAGGACCCCAGAAGTAAAAGCACTCAGGCCCTAACTTCAGGAAGAAATGACAAAAAGCTTTGTCATCAGAATGGAAGTAGAAAATCCTGTAAATTACTGAGTTTTTTTTTTTTTTTTTAATGCACAGGTCAACCTTGAACTTGGGTATGCCATTTCATGTCACTTGTTAATTGCAGGGTGGGAACCCAGTAGAAATAATAGAGGGTGATGCTTCCCACCTTTTCATTCCAGAAGGCCATGAGCAGACGCTTCTTAGCTCGAGTCCTGACCCTTGTCTTGTCAGTGAACAGAACTGTCCGTGCTCTGAACGGCTCAGCCTGGGGTGGCGGCAGAAGGCGTTGCAGGTCTGTTCTCAGTGGCAGCAGGCACTCCATGCCTGGCCTTCTGACCCCGGTCCTAGCGGGAGCCACCACACCAGGCTGCCACCTGTTCAGGTCAGCTTTGGCAGAACAACCCTCAGGTCTAAGGACATCGTTTTCTTTAAGGAAAATCCTGTGTCACTAAAAATGAGGGATTTTTAAGCAACCTGGAGAGTTCAGAACTAGAACTAGAGTTCAGAACTAGATCAGAACCTTCATTTTCCTGACTCCAAATTTTCTCAGGCCCCAGTAGTTCCTGTCACATCTCCATAGCAGATGAAGATCAGTTGAGGGTAGAATAACACTATCACTGCTAAATTATTTAGGCAGCAATTAGAATTTGTTCAGCATTATTTAGGGTTTTTAAACAAACCTATCTGAGTAACCTTATAATACTACCGTCTAAAATAGATATTGTATCAGTCTTATATCAGATGAGGTGAAAGTCACATCTATAAAACGCTGAACTCTTAAATCTAACCAGGGATGGAATATATCCTGTTAATTTGTCAAACTTCTAGAGAACCGCCTACATGAGACAGTAAGGATTAATCAAGCCCTACTAAGAGAGAATTTGAAAAATACAGTTTTCTAATTATACAGTCTCTTCTCCATGGTCCAAGGTTAATGCAGTTCTGAATTCTGACAGTTAGTAATAGAAAAGAAAAAAAAAAAAAACCAAAGCATATGAATTGTCTTATAATTACCTGAAACAGAAAGTCTCTTCTGGCAATCAAGGCCTTCTAAGCATTAATCTGATATTTTCAGCATTTGATTCTTTTCCTTTTAAACAAGGTTGGGAATAACTGGAGGGTTGTGTGTCACTCTTTGTGCTTATCAAATATATATGTACTGTTTGCAGATTTATTTTGCTTATTGCTTAGCTGTAGATGTGTAATTCTAGGTTGAACATTTTATCTTTTTTTCTTTTTTTTTTTACAATTTAGACTAACTTATGAATACTTCCTAGACACTGTATCTTTGAAATACTTGATCCTTATTCCTACTACGAATATAAAAACTAACAATTACTTCTTGGTTAGTTTTGGTTAGTTGTAGCTCTTGCTGCAGTTCATCCAGGCAACACAACAAAAATGTGCACTCTAGGGAAAGGTAAATTTATTCCTTCATTTATTGCTGTCAAATATCTGTGGAATGTTTATTGTACAGGTTGAGCATGCCAAATCCAAAAATCAAAATCTGAAACTTTTTTTTTTTTCTGAGATGGGGTCTTGCTCTGTTGCCCAGACTGGAGTACAGTGGTGCAAACACAGCTCACTGCAGCCTTGACCTCCTGGGCTCAAGCAGTCCTCCCACCTCAGCCTCCCAAGTAGCTAGGACTACAGGTGCACGCCACCATACCTGGCTAAGTTTTTTTATTTTCAGTAGAGATGAGCTGTCACTATGTTGCCTAAGCTGTTCTTGAACTCTTGAGCTCAAACGATCTCCCCCACTTGGCCTCCCAAAGTGCTGGGATTACAGGCATGAACTACTGCACCTGGCCCAAAATCTGAAACCTTTTGCACACCAGCATGACACTTGAAGGAAATGCTCATGGAGCACTCTGGATTTCAAATGTTTGGATTTGGGATGCTCACCTGGTAAGTATAATGCAAACATTTTAAAATCTGAAATCTGAAACAATTCTGCTCCTAAGCATTTTGGATAAGAGATATTTAACCCATAGAGGAAAGGTACATGGAAGCCCCAGACCACCCAAAAGAAAAGGCCTGGGGAGAAGATGGGCAGTTATGGCTAGACACCAGATTTCAGGTTTTACAGATGGATCTGGCATCTGAGAATCTATGAACAGATGGATTCTTAAGGTCAGTGACTGGCCGGGCGCGGTGGCTCATGCCTGTAATCCCAGCACTTTTGGAGGCCGAGGCAGGTGGATCACCTGAGGTCAGGAGTTCCAGACCAGCCTGGCCAACATAGCGAAACCCTGTTTCTACTAAAAATACAAGAATTAGCTGGGCATGGTGACGGGTGCCTGTAATCCCAGCTACTCGGGAGGCTGAGGCAGGAGAATCATCGCTTGAAACTGGTAGGCAGAGGTTGCAGTGAGCCGAGATCACGTCATTGCACTCCAGCCTGGACAACAAGAGCAAAACTCCATCTAAAAAAAAAAGAAAAAGAAAAAAAAGGGCAGTGACTATGGGAGAAAAATCAAAGACCAATATTTTACCTTGGGAAGTGCCCACAAAGGCAGGAAAAATAAAAGGACCTACAGAAAAGTAAAGCAGAAAGAGAACACAAGTGTATGGTGGTCCTGAGAGGTTTTAGAATAGAGAGGAGTCCAAAGAGAGCAGGTGAATCAAAAGGTTCCAGGCCAGAAGAGACCTTGGGTTTTCATGATGACGAGACCCTCCTGTGGCCTGTGGAGCTGGCTCTCATCAGGTCATCAGAGCCAACTGTGCGCATTGCTTCCCAAGTACACGTCATGTTGGGAGTGGGAGATTGGCTGTGTGAAAAAATGTCTACACCACGGAAATTGGCAGATATATGGTGACCCAGCAAACACAGTTGACACCTGAAACATAATTTTTAGGAATAGTATTTAACCTTGTATGCGGGATCCATTCTGACCTCTATCCTTCCCTTCTTACCTATTTCATTAAAACAGAAGAAAAAGCTGGTGTAACTCATTGAACTGATTTCATGACCTGCAGTTTGAAAAACATTATTTTAGAGAAAACTGGGGATTATGTATGCCTTACAAAGTCAGAAGACAATTATTTTAAAAATAAATTATAGTAACAATTGTAGATAGGATGATTTCATCTTGAAAGGAGGAAAAAAAGAATCCTAAAAGGCTGACAAGATGACCTCTCTAGACTAAGGACTAAGTATGCATGCTTACAGGAGAAGAAAAACGAGCAGAGAGAAGCGGGAGCCCTCAGAGATGGAGGGAGGAAGGGGCTGGGAGCACGGCCTTGTGTTTGCCTGGGGAGAGGAGGCCGTGTTTTGATAGTGAAAGCTTGTTTTAGAGAAAGTCACCTGTTCTGGAGGATTGAGGAATGAAACTGGAAACCTTAGGAAAAAAGCAAAGACATCGGATGTACTTGGTATTTTTTAAATTGCTTTTATTTAGTTAGCTGGAAATGCACTTTCTCAGATCCACTGTCACTCCTGCAAATTACAAGAGCGCTCAGCCACCCTGTCGAAGGTCATCCGGCTTCCAAGCAGCAAATTGGACCTTGAGCCCTCGTGCTGCCCTTGTTGCAAAGCTCTTTGTCCACACTCGCTGGCAGAGGTGGAGAGTACAGAGGGGAGGATGCTTGGCCTGTGGTGGTCTGGCCAGCCAGGGCAGGCATGAGCTCGTCACAGGCCAGGCAGTCATCGAGTGCTCTTTGTGGCCTGAAGTGGATTTGGCAGGTGCCTGTTATTTGATCAGTGTCGATGGCCAGTCGACACAAGTAAATGAATCCCCAAACTTTACTCTGACCCACCTGCTTTAAACAAATTGGAGGAAGTCATCAAGTTAGTTTCCCTAGTTTCCTCTCTGAGGACAGTCTGGGGGCTGAGGCCTGGCTGAGTCCTGTCTCCTCAGGACAGGCCCAAAAGGAGGTACAGGGCGGCCTGGGGGACAGCAAGGTTCAGAGTTTCAGGGCTATGGAGATCCTGGAGCTGATAGACGAGTGTCAGCCACAAAGGTGAAGCTGGATTTCAGGACCACAACAGGCGGCAGCTGGGAGTTACGAAGGGGGCAGGGCTGGGTTGCGGCCTCAGGTGCTCCTCTGGGTTGGGGCTTCTCTCCTCAGCCCCGCAGGTGCGGGTCGGGCAAGCCTGTGATCATAAGACAGGGCTGAGGGGGTCTGGGGAAGGGTACGGGAACCAGCAAGAGAGACCAGGGTGGGGCTGATCTTACACCCTCCACCGAACACTTGAGTTTCCTGCTTGTCAGTGTCCACTTTTGCGTATGTGGGATTTTGGATTGTTCCTTTTAGAGTCTCATGTGTACCCGACACACTACTGTTCATATTGCCCAGTAGCTTTATATATATGTAAATATATATATATATATATGGGTGCTAAATATTTATCAAATGAATAAAGGAGGAAATGCAGATTCCAGTTATTCATGGTGATGTTGGGAAGTACTGAAAGTCCTCTTAAATTCAAATATCAGAAATATGCTCTCCCATCTAATAAATACTTTTTGATGGTGCTGGTATTAATATTCAGATATGATATATATTTAATATTTATTTTTAATATTAATATTCATATATATATATTTTTTAACAAGAAGCTTTACATTCTTCATCTTGTGATTTTTTGGTTAAAAGAAAGGAAGTCTGTTTATAATGCTGTGCATTATTTCTATAAATCGCCCTCTGTACACAGGGATGTCAGATGCTGCCCAAGAGAATCTGTTTCATATGGTAATTTTCACTAATGAATCCAGACCTATACTGTTAAATTTTGCCCCAAACTGCCTGGGATGAAGTAGAGGAAGCTCATGGCAGTGAGCGTGACAGTTCTTAGAGGACGCTATCATAGTGTTTCATAACAGATGCAGAGGCTCTGCAGTTCTGAATATTAATACCAGCACCATCCAAAAGTATTTATTAGATGGGAGAGCATATTTCTGATATTTGAATTTAAGAGGACTTCCAGTACTTCCGAACGTCACCATCAATAATTGGAATCTGCATTTCCTCCTTTATTCATTCGATAAATATTTAACACCCATTATGTTCATGGCATCACATTAGACTCTGGGGGAGTTACAAAGAACCTAGGCTGGGCTCTGCCCTCAAGGGGGAAATAAAAGAAACAATTACATGTAATTGTTTTTAACACCAAGCAGCGTGAAACCCAGCTCTGGAGCAGCCTGGTCACAAGGGGGAGAAGAGGTCACGGGAGCCCCTCCAAGGCCAGCGCACATGTGGCCATACCTTGTGCCTTCCCAAGCCCGGGCCCTCGCACCCTTCTCTTGTCTTTCCTTGTCCTCCCATGCCGTCAGGGTTTATGAGACCTGCAAGTCTCGGGGCATGGCTCTGGTCACTCTGGGCAGCGAAGATGATTCTCTGATGGGCTGTGGTCAGTGAAGCACAGCTTGTTTGCCTCTTTTGATTTTCCTGCAATGCCAGGAGAGATTGCTCAGTTTTAGGCAGGACTGAGATCTCCTAAAACATGGAATTTGTAGACAAAAATGAATACTTCCTAACATTTCCTGAGAGAGCTTTTGGTCAGCCTTATGCCTGCAACATTGCATTGCTGCTGGGGGACCCAGGCACACAGAGGTAGCTGCAGCTGCACCCGAACACGAGAGGGTGGCTGAGGAGAGTGGCCAGGCCTTCATCTCTCTGACCCAGAGTACGTGCTCAGTAAATGATCATCGATGAAGCAAGTGAGTCGGGACTGAAATGTATGAGCGCCATAAGTTTAGGCCACTGCTCATTTAAGGCCTCAGAACTCCTGGAAGTGTTACGTGTAGAAGGTTGGCAGGCTGGAGAGGGTAGGGGAGACCTTGAAGATTCCCATATTTATATTCTAGGTGGCTTGTGTGATGTGGGCCATGGCCGGATGTCATTCATTAACTCGTTTGACAAATATTTATTTTAGCACTTGTGTGCATAGCATGTGCTGGGAATACCAGGGGAGCCAGAAGGCAGTGCTTCCGGAACTTGTCTGCACGTTGGAATCACCCGGGGAATTGCTTACAAATTCAAGCCCAAGCCACAGCCCAGGCCATCACACTCTGCAGGCACAGGGCACAGATCTCTGTATTTTGGAAGCGCCTAAGGGTGTTCTGATATCAGAGAGGTTTGCAAGTCACGGCTGTTAGGATTTATAATAGAGTTTTAGATAACACACCCAGGAAAATTCAGTAACGATACAAGACGGCCATCCAGAAACCTCCTGGGCAGGATGAGGGAGTCAAACCCAGGTGTGTGCTGTGGGCACCACTCATTCCCCCTCAAGGAGGATGTCGCCTGTGGATTAGGGAGCGGGAGCATCTAGGCAAACTGGACCTCTGGGGTGTGTGTTGGCTTTGCCAGGTTCGAGAGAGGGAGGAAGGGGATCCCCTTGACTCTGAACTCAGGCAGGTCCGGATGTGACCCGGGATCATGGGTGGAATGCACTGGTCTATCAAGAGCTCAACTAGTCATTGCCATTTAAGTGGATGAATGTTTTTCTTATAAAAGACAGACTGGGCTGGGCATGGTGGCCCACACCTGTAATCCCACAGCTTTGGGAGGCCAAGATGGGAAGATCACTTACGGCCAGGATTTCAAGACCAGCCTGGGCAACATAGTGAGACTCCATCTCTACAAAAGATACAAAAAATTAGCTGGGCTTGGTGGCACGTCTGTACTCCCAGCTACTTGGAAGGCTGAGTTGGGAGGATCACTTGAGCCCAGGAGCTCGAGGCTGCAGTGAGATATGATCATGCCGCTGCACTCTGGGCAACAGAACGAGACCCAGTCTGGCTGCTGGCGTTTTTCCTTGTGCGTATGTGGGCTGAGCACGATGTGGTAAAGCAGATCCCTCAGGATGGACACGCTCAGCTTCGTCACTTGTTGATTCTCTTGCTCTTAAAATCCCCTAGCCCTCTTAACAGCCACGGTGAACTTCCCCATGTGTGCGTGTCAGCACACCAATGAGCCAGCTCAGGTGGGCACTTTCATGCCCCAGGGTCTTGTGGAGCCGTGAAGCGGAGCTGCGCTTAGGGTGGGGAAGGCACTTGACCTCGGCCGTCCTGGCCGCTCTAGGTGCCTTCAGGCCTCACTGCTCATCAGCAACCAGCCAGACCACGTGGGCCTCATTTGGTATTCTTAGGACTTGCCATTTCTAATCAATGTTTTTACTTGAGTCTGTTATATGTTATTTCAGAGGGGGGAATGGAATGTGTTAACACTTAGTAAATTCTTCATGAGCTGCAACCAAAGTTTTTCTTTCTTTCCCTTTCAACCCACAGTGTGCCATGCGGAGCTGAATGCCATCATGAACAAAAATTCGACCGATGTGAAAGGCTGTAGTATGTATGTTGCCTTGTTCCCTTGTAATGAATGCGCTAAGCTCATCATCCAGGCAGGTAGGAACCGGGTCTTTCCATTTGTCACATTTGCATTGCTGCCTGCTCGTCAGTAGCTCATTGCTGATGTGTTTGATCTTAAATTGCTATTGTTTAGATCTAAATTAATTGCACTATCAGCTTTGCAAGATATTTCCCGTGTTTTGTTTTTGAATGGTGCCAGGTATTCTAAGACTAATTGCATCCTCTGTGATTCTTAGCATGTTTTTAATTTAGTTTGCAACTTCTTAAACTGCAAGCTGCCAAAAAACAACACAGGCATTGCATATAATTACTGTCAATTTACTGTTCTCTGACATATTGTGCATAGATTTGGGGGAGGGAAGAAATGAACTTCTGTCAGAAACAAGGTCAGCTGGGAGTCTGTATATGAAATTTTAATTTGTATCTAATACATGGTAGATATTTGAGGATCTCAACATACCTTGGCATATAAATGTCATAAGACCCAAATGGCACTACCTTCAGGTTTTCTTATTTTACGGTTCCCATAAATCTACACCATTGTATTCTGAATATTTCGCCTTTTTCAAACTGTCACATCTAAGATTCAGCTACACTTTGTCTCCATAAAACTCTCGGCTGGAGATTTAAAGACTTACCATGTTTAGCCAAATGTGTGGTTTGAAGGGGCCGTTTATCACCAGTCCTGTGGATCTCAGAGCAGAAGCGGCCTGCTGGTACTGAGGAGTCGCGTGGGCTCCCTGGCTGTCGCCGTCACCGTTCCTGGGAAGCTCTCCTCGCGGTGCCCAGGTGTGGAGGCGGTGGCAGGCCTGTGGGCCGAGCAGTCCGGGCCCCACACTGCAGCCTCCTCTGCCTTCAGAGGCTGATGGAGCAGCGGCCTTCAGTGCGGGGCCCTTGGGATTCCTGGCTGCCGAGTTAGCGCTGCCTGCTGAGATCAGGACAAGAAAACAGATCTGCCCTCTGTAGAGCTGGTTTGAAGTGGTCTGCAAAGCCATGCTGGGAAGCACAGTGGTGCCCACCTCTGAATTTGCCAGCAGCCCCCACTCCCTCCATTAGTCCTCCCACTAGTAAGAGAAGCTACCTTGTGCATACTGCCTTGATTACCTGTAGTAAGGGAAATTGGTTAATCGGATCAAGGCTTGACTACTTGACATGTTTTCCCTTTGCATTTGTTTAAAAAAAAAATCCATAAAGACTGGAGGGAAGATTAGATAGAATCCACCCTCTGCTGTATTAGAAAGCAGCAGATATGTATTTCAGTGACTGGACACTGTCTGCAAGCACACTCAGAAAAGGTCATTAATCATAGACGCTGAAAGTGCTCCAGCTGCTTCCGCCTGTCTTTTGCAGCATCTGTAGGTGCGTACACTAAGGGAGCTCCCATTGTTACCTTACAGGTATAAAAGAAGTGATTTTCATGTCTGATAAATACCATGATAGTGACGAGGCAACTGCTGCGAGGCTCCTGTTTAATATGGCCGGGGTGACATTCCGGTAAGTGGGGAGAATGCGGGCGGGGGGACGGGGTAGGGTGAAGGCTGATGAAGAGATGTATTTGACCTTGTCTCCTCCTTGTGATGCCTGACTTCCACACTTGGAGGTGTCTTTAGAAATGCAAGGGCATAAGAATTTAAAGACTATTATAGGGGTAGATATTTAAGAGCAGTGACAGGAAAATCTGAAGACCATTTGTTTAATGATTGTACTTTAATTTCAGTAACTTTCCGGGGTAATTAGACTAATTATTCAAGTACTGAGAAGTTTAAACATTCACAAGTTTTATAATAGGAATGCCAAACCTTGGTGAATTTTGCAAATGTAACAACTTTGGCATAGAAAATTTAGGATGAAAGTAGCCTGCCAGATTGAAACATTGGGGATTCTCTCTTTTTTTTTTGAGACGGAGTCTCGCTCTGTCACCAGGCTAGAGTGCAGTGGTGCGATCCTGGCTCACTGCAACCTCCGCTTCTCAGGTTCAAGCGGTTCTCCTGCCTCAGCCTCCCCTGCCACACCCAGCTAATTTTTTTGTACTTTCAGTAGAGACGGGGTTTCACCATGTTGGCCAGGATGACCTCATGAGCTGCCTGCCTCAGCCTCCCAAAGTGCTGGGATTACAGGTGTGAGCCACCTGGGGATTCTTTTTACAGCAACATTTTGCATTGAGATTTGAAGTCTTACAGATTTTTATGATTATCTTTGCTAAGAAATGGTTGTGAGCTATATTTTACTTGCAAGTAAGTTCAACTACCTTTGATTCATGGCAGAAAATTCCTTTGGGACTGTAAAGTTTTCCAGCGCTTCATGGTATTGGCGTTCAGCAGCAGTGGGACCATGGTCATAGGTGACGTGCCCTGGCCCCTTGTGCTGGTCATTAGGGATACAGCTCAGTGTATCTCATGAACTCAACCGTGGTGCCTTCTGAGACTTTAAATTCAAATTATTTGTATACTCTCTTGTTCAGTGATTCTTAAAAGAATTTGTTTTGTTCCCAAATGTCTTCTTTTTAATTGTTGTAGAAGAAATGAGGAACAAGTGAAAAGTTAATGAGCAAAAAAAAAAAAAAAAAAGTTGGTTTATGTTTGCATTTTTAGAATGTAATTTGAAAAATTACTCCTCACTAAAGGTAGTCGTTTTTTGCTATATATAAGCGGCAAAAGAAAATTTACTATTTTTTTGCATTAGAGAGACTCCAAGTTGGCTGCAGAAATTTTTCTAGAAAATAAGATAAATCTGATGGGAAAACTAGTAATCGGATATCATGTTGTGCAGCTGACTTGTTAGAAATCCTTTGACTCCCCAATAATTCGTGAACTCAGAGAGCTGAAAACATACAAACCACACCACCCCATGCATCTTTTTTTGTCTTAGTCTTTTCTGCTCTGTGTTTCTCTTGGTATGGTGCACTATAATTGGCTCCTATAGAGAGAAAATAGCAAGTGAATCCCAGGACATATTTTTCTCTGCACAGAAAATATGAGTTAAGCCAAAGTAAACAAATTGCTTTCACTACTCACCAGATAATAATTGTATTTTGTTTTTATTTTTAGGAAATTCATACCGAAGTGCAGCAAGATTGTCATTGACTTTGATTCAATTAACAGCAGACCGAGTCAAAAGCTTCAGTGAGTTACATCTCATTCAATCTCCAGAAGATTGGGATTATCGTCTTCTAAGAGGTTGCTAATGCCTTTCATCTTGAAGTTACACATAACTTCTTACTAGCCAGTATGGCAAAAGTAGGCATCTAAAGAATATAAAGCCTCAAATCTTCCTTACTGTCTCTCTTGTCACATGGAATCTACATGTGTTTGAACTATTGCTTTAGGGTTTAAAATAGGGGAGCCTGTGGTGGCCTGGTGCACAGGGCTAGAACGAGAGTGCCTCCCCTTCTTGTGTCCTGGCTGGCTGGGATGCTGGTGGCTCTTCAGAGGAGCATCAGCTGTCTGTCATCTGCTGCGATCCGGCAGCCTCTCTTCACTGCTACATGTGCTGGAAGGACAAATAAATAATTGTGGTTGTGTTCTTAATGGGGACGAGCAGACACACTGATCTGAACATCTGGCCCAAGTGAAGCATGGCATATAGTGCCCTTGGAAGAAAATTAGGCCTCAAATGACAGTAGCATTGAAGTGTTTGCTGCAGAGTTGAGGGAAACCCCCAGCCACCCTCCCGGAATCCGAGATAGGGTGGCACATCTGTCCTGACAGACGAGGAGTGTAACTGAACCAGGAATATTTCCTCCATTCCTGCTCTCCCACTGCACACAGGGTGGTGGCACATTATCCCTCTGGGGGGTGGGGACGCCTGTTGTTTTGGCTCAATTTGGGTTTGTTGGTCACATGGAGCTCTTCCATTTCGTTTAGCTGAATAATGAGTTGTTCCTAGAGGAGACAGCCTGTCTCTCCTTGTTGCCCCCAAAGCCCATGCCCTGCCGTGGTGGCAGCTGGGGCTGTGGATGGGAGGGGTCCCCAACATGGATGTGTTGCCCCTCCTCCGCATGCCAACGCAGTTCATGTACAAGGCCCCTCTGCAACTGGAGAGAAAATTAATTCCTATCCCGTGAGTGGATTGTGAGAAATTCCACCCACGTGGAGACAGCTTACTGCAGCACTGTTGGTGTTCGGAGCTCTTCTGTGCCCTGGCTCCATGCTTTCACCTACACAAGCATCACCTTCCTAATCACCGCGGGGCGGGGAGCGTGTGGCTGTGCCCCTTCTCTTTAATCTCATTTAATTTTTATTAAACATGCTCAGTACCTGTGTTGAGAAAAGGCTTTCTTTATCCTAAAGATTATTACCTTTTTAAAGTGCTCTTATATTTTCATGAGTTTTTATTTTGTCTCTGAGATTTTGTATTCCACATTCTAGGGTATTCTGTAATTTGGCTCCTTACCAATATTATTAAAATCTTATTAAAATCTACCCTACCAAAGCATGTACATTTTTATGTTATTATAATTATATGCTTAATTTTCTGCTCCTGTCCTTTCTGTATTGTCTCCGAAGCATATTACATATGTTTTAATGCTCAAAGAATAATTTGAGATGCCCAAGCTGTGTGCGTTCCCCAGGGTTGATGTCTGGGGCTGCTTTATGGATCAGATTTATGTAAAATGCGAAGGCAGCCGCTAGCCCTACGCTCTCTCCTGTGTACCCTGCCCCTGGTCCCAGGTGTGGCCATCTATCTGGTAGGGCCCAGGCCTCTGTCCTCCCGGAAGGCTTCAGTCCTGAGTTCTGCCCTTTGCTGACTTCTCACCTTATCCTCTTTCCAAGTCTCTCTTCTCTTCTCTCCTAAATTTCCTTCTCTTTTCTCCTCCAAACTCCTCGCCCTGTGTTTGCTCCAAAATACATAAAACAAAAGGTATGTGGAAAAAAGAATCAGTAGACTTAAAGGTAGAAAATTAGAGATTTCTCTATTGCCGCAAGTCACAAGAGTTGTGAGTCCTGTTAGGATGGAGTGTGTCATTTTCATCACATCACATTGATAAATATGTCTAGGGGCTGATAAGCCAGTAGGGCATCTAATTTATGTAATTTTGATACTATCTTATATCTTGTCTGGTTGTTACATTCAGTTTCAGTGAAAAAAAATTGACTTTTTTCTTTTTCTGTCTTTGAGGGGAGGTTGACAGGAAGGGTCCTTGCTAAAAGGGGAGTCCTGGTACTGAGGTCAGTTGTGGGTGTTTATTTGGGGGCAGATGCTGTCGCTGGGGGGTTGTGATGCTTCCACCTATGAACCGACCCTGGTCTCCTGGTGACTGGAGTGTGAGTGATTATGTCTTCGTTTCTAGGATCACTATAAGAATAGTAGAATTGTCCTATCCAGAGAATTCTGCAGATGTTCATGTTCCAGTTAATAGAGGTTTGCTTTGAACTGGTGCCTTGGGGAGAAGCTTTCCAGAAGGAGGGAGTTTTGTGCAGTCTTTTGCCTCGCAGGCATTACTAGATAATTGTGGTGAAGGGAGACTGTATCTGAGCCAATGTTGCTGCCTGTCATGGCTAATAAATGACAATAAGGAAACCATCTTTCACTGAACCGTTGGTAGAAGGACTACATTTAAAAGGCAGAATTTGTGAGTGAAATGATAGGAACTCCATTTCCCTGACACATTTTCTGCTTTCTTCCCTTTTACTCTTTTAGCAGTCTGTCCTTAAAGACTTCTGAAGCCTGACAAGACCCAGCAGTGAAAGTGATCTAATATATTAGCCATCTTTTCCTAAATTAAAAATGAAGCAAAATAAGAGAACAAGCATACAAGCTGAGCTCATGAATACAAATGTAGGCTTGCAAGCCCGGTGAGCTGAAGTTCCTGTGGCCCTGGTGTAATTTTTGATCTTCCAATGTCTGTATCTACCTGAGGATTAAAAATATTTAGGTTGTTGCAAAAGGGCCTGAGGAATGCAGGGAGGGAGTTTTCTCATTGGCGAGGCTGATAAGAAGTTTTAATATTTATAGTTCACTTTTGTTGTTGTTGTTAAAGTAAAGCCACTCTAAAAATGGTAGTTTCTACAAATCATTAGCCAGGAAGCCTGTCTAAAGCTCCAGGGAAGGACCAGAACTCAAGGTGGGGGTGCTTTGCAAGCTCTCTTGTCAGGGAACCGTGATGACTAGAGTTATGGATTACTGGCTGCAGAGGTGCCGGCAAAATAACCCTGGGCCCAGGAGTCACATTTAGAGCAGGGTGCCCCAGAATTGTTCTGGAGATACCTTTAGCTAGCTCGACTTTTATTTCGGAACTGTTGGAAGAATCTAAAGCCATTTCATCGTGAGGGTATATGAATCTCAAATAGTTACTGAGTACCTACCAGGTATTGGGTTCTCTGATGGCTCTTGGGTGAGAGTTAGAACAGAGTGGATAGCTAGATATTAGACAAGTTCCTTAGATGAAGCCCAAACTTGCCACCCGCATCCCTGAGCCGTGCAGGTGCCACCTGTACTTTATTTTCTGTGTGATTGGGTTGTCTATTATTTTGTGTCTGTATCCATTGGAGTAAGACCCTGGGGAGAGGGCAGGGACCAGACACGAAGTCCGCAGGAGCTGGGTTCTTACCCTGATTCCAAGGCCGAAGACTTTAAAAAATTCTACAAGTCCTGGCCGGGTGTGGTGGCTCGCACTTGTAATCCCAGCACTTTGGGAGGCTGAGGCAGGCGGATCACCTGAGGTTGGGAGTTCGTGACCCGCCTGACCAACATGGAGAAACCCTGCCTCTACTAAAAACACAAAATTAGCCAGGTGTGGTGTCGTGTGCCTGTAATCCCAGCTACTCAGGAGACTGAGGCAGGAGAATTGCTTGAACCCGGGAGGTGGAGGTTGCGGTGAGCCAAGATCGCGCCATTGCACTCTAGCCTGAGCAACAAGAGCAAAACTCTGTCTCAAAAAAAAAAAAAAAAATTCTACAAGTCCTTCATTAAATTAAAATGAGTTCAGTATTTCCCAAGAAAATCAGGGGAAGGGTTCTCTGTTGATGAAAGAAAAGCATACCGTCTGCTCACCGCTCGGGTGTGGAGCCCGAGGGTCTCAGGCCTGGGGCCTGAAGAAAGGTATTGCCCTTATTTTTGGTAGCCAACTGCCAATCTCTTCTCTGGAGCCCACTTTACAACTTCGCTTGGCTGCTGCCATTCTTAGCCATTTTTAAGATCAGTGGTATTAATTACATGCGTGTTGTGCAGCCATCACCACCATCCATCTCCAGAGCTCTGCATCTTGCAAAACTGAATCTCCATACCCATTGTACAGTAATTCGGTCTTCCCCCTTCCCAGAAATGACAACCACCATTCTACCTTCTGTATGAATTTCACCACTCTCAGTACCTCATATAAGTGGAATCGTACAGAATTTTCTCTTTTTGACTGGCTACTTAGCATCATGTCTTCAAGGTACATCCAGGTTGTAGCCTGTGTCAGGATTTCCTTCCATCTGAAGGCCGAAGAATCGCCCATTGTGTTCACATACTGCCTTTTGTTTAGCCATTCACGCACCAATGGACACCTGGGCCGCTCCCATCTTCTGCAGCCATCCTTTCCTGAATGTGCAGTGTGCCTCGCCAACCTGGCCCCGTCTGCCTCAGCCACCCAGCGGCCTTCCTCCCTGCACCAGTCACCTACCTTGAAGGATTTTTCTTTTTTAAAAATCAACATTTTTTTTCCTTCTTTTTTTTGAAACAGGGTCTCACTCTGTCGCTCAGGCTAGAGGGCAGTGGCGTGATCATATCTCACTGCAGCCTCAACCTCCTGGGCTCAAGTGATCCACCCACCTCAGCCTCCCAAGTAGCAGGAACTATGGACATGCATCTCCACACTAATTCCCTGGCTAATTGTTATTTATTTTTTATTTTTTGTAGAGACGGGATCTCACTGTGTTGCCCAAGCTGGTCTCAAACTCCTGGGCTCATGTGATCCTCCTGCTTTGGCCTCCCAAAGCGCTGGGATTGCAGGCGTGAGCCACTTTGCATGGCCTAAACCCAGCATTTTTAAGAGCCTCTTCCTGTGCTCCCTTTGACCATCCACAGTTTCCATGCATGTTTCAACACTGAGTTGGATCCCGCCCTCTCTGTAAAGTCTCCCCAGACCTTCCTGAGCTTGAAGTGATTTTTTCTTCTTTGAAATCCTGCAGCAGTTATTGTCAGCAACTGTCTTTCTGGCAATGAATCGTGTACTGTTTTATGATATCTCTTCTACTGTCTAGAACTGTTACTGAAACATGTCATTTAACTTTTCATATGTATCTTGTCCTGCTCTAACGAGGTTGGAAACTCCACAGAGCGCATGTGGCATCCTGTGTATCTTGGTGCCTGGCTACCATTTCTCTCCATGTCTGCACGGGACCCTATGCAGAGGGGCTTCATACACATTTTTAATATTTCCACTTAAAAGTTATAAACTTGATTGCACTTTAATTCAGTGAGGTAGCTGAGCAGGAGCCAACCTCCTAAATTATTTTTTCCATGCTGATTTCTTTGTGAATGGCTTGAAAAAAATTGTCATCTGGAATGTAAGAGAAAGAAATCTTCCTGTTAGCAGCCAGGGCTAATGGGCACATTTATCTTTAAGAGAGACAGGAGATTACTGTTTAAATGTCTTATTTTTGACTTCTGCGTTTCAGTTAAAGCATTCTTATATATGGGTTTGAATGAGGAATTTGGCAATAACAGACACTCTTGGCAGAACACCCAGAGACGATGTTTCCACTGAAACCCATCCGATTAGTGGATTTCTTGACCTTTCCAGGTCTTAAATCACTGTTGAATGCTTTCTGTTGTAGGAGTTCTGTATGTTAACTTTTGTTAATGAAAACTGTTAGAAACTTAAACATGCCATTTGGTCCAGGTTTTAAATGGGCATTCTGTTCTGGAATTGCTTCCTCTGCAGGGGTGGGCATGGTGTGCAGCCTTTTGATTTATTCTGCCTTTCCCCAGCCTCTGAATAAGTAGGCATTAGTAATGCATGTAGCTGTAAGTAACAGGCCCCTGACTCTCAGTGACTAAACAAGTAGCATATTTTTCCTCACATAACAAGTACGGTGGTAAGCATTTGCTGGAGTTGGGTCAGCTGGTCCATGATGTCTGCAAAGATCTAGGTTTTTTTCTTTATTTCTGTCTTTTGCTTTATATCTTCAGGCTTGTTTTGTCAAAAACTTCAGGCATCCCATTCACACTAAATGCAAGAAGGAGATGGGTGGCAGAGTGGGGATGAGGCTTCTCTGCTCTTGGCTATCCCTTTGATCAGAAAAGCAGAAACTTTCTCAGAAGCCCCAGCAAGTATTCTCTTCCATCCCTTGGGCCATAGCCAGTCACATGGCCACCCCTAGCTGCAAGGGAGGCTGACAGGGTCCTTGGCATTCCACATTCGATAGAGGAGGCTGCAGGGGAGAAAGAGGCTAGTAACTGCTGTCATTCATGCTGTTGGCCACAACATACCCCTTGCTTGGAAAATTGTATAACAGTTTAATTGTGTAATTTCTACTCAGTGGTTCTTCGCATCCTCAGTGTTAAAGTTGTTGTTGAGTTGAAAAATGATACTTGCTTCATAGGAATTTTGTGACCTTCACGTTGACTTTCAAACTCCTGTGCAGGAAATCTTAGTTTCTTAGCTGGTCACAGCTATGAAAGAGTGATATATATACATAGGCACGCATACCACTTGAGGGTCAGTTACAACATGGTCTCTGGCCCCTAAATACTCAGCGTTTGTTTCCTAAGAATAGGGACATTTTCATATCCAGTATAGTTAAGTATAGTTATTGACAATAATATGTTTAACATGGTTAGAATATTTTAATTTATTATTCCTATCCCAATTTTGTCAGTTGACCCAATACGTTTCTTTCTGGTGTTTTCCATATGGGATACAGTCTAGAGTTTGGTATTGCATTTTGTTGTCATGTCTCGTTAGCCCCTTTAATCTGGAACATTCCCTGTGCTACTGCTTCTTCTGGAGCCTCTTTCTCCTGCTGCCTCATGCTAACATTTTTTTTAAACATTTTGGTCTCAGGGCCCCTTTACACTCTTAAAAATTACTGAGGACCCCAAAGAAACTTTAGTTTCATGGGTTATATTTATCAATATTTACATTAGAAATTAAAACTGAGAAATTTAAAAAATATTTTAATTCATTTAAAATACCAATAGTAAACCCTTTACATGTTAACATAAATAACATACTTTTACGAAAGAATAACTATTTTCCAGAACAACAAAAAATGTTTAATGAAAAAAGCAGCATCGTGTTACATTTTTGCAACTGTTTTTCGTGTCTGGCTTAATAGAAAACAGCTGGATTCTCATTTCTGTGTGTTTTCTATCTGTTGCAGTAAGTTGTTTTGGCTGAAATATGTGGAGAAAATCCAGCCAAACCCAGATATATAGTTGGAAAGGGGAGGCATATTTTAATAGCATTTTCAGAAAATTGTGGATAGTCTTTGATACCACACCACAATTTGATATATGAAAGTTTCTTAAAAGCTAGTTGCAATGTGAAATCTGAAATCATATTAATGAGTATTTCCTATTATCTTACATTAAAATCATTTGGTCTATCTTGTATTTTGAATTGATGTTTAACCCATGCATGATACTATTGGTCATTTGGAAACTACCAGTTCATTGAATGATGCAGATCTTTCAAGACTTGACACATTTCATTATACAACGTCCCCAAATCACTTTTGTAAACATCACCACTAATTTGAGAAAAATCTCTCTCTTTAAGTACTGGGAAGCTGTCAAGTTCACAGTGACCGATAACAAGTTTTCCAAAATTCGGATTTTATCTTGAAAGCGTGAATTTTATCATTTGATCACTTCATTTCCCTCAAAGTGATAAATAGCTTACTTTGTTCATTTTCAAGAAAATGTCTGTCATGTCCCCAAATCTGAGTATCCACAGTCACTCTTTCTTTGAAGTAAAAATGGCATCCCATGAACAAAGGGGCTAGTTGAGCTTGCAACTCAAACAGGAAGAGCGTGGCACTCTTCCTAAGGA
This sequence comes from Homo sapiens, assembly GCF_000001405.40. NCBI lineage: Eukaryota > Metazoa > Chordata > Mammalia > Primates > Hominidae > Homo > Homo sapiens. The sequence continues at coordinate 182,883,543 of NC_000004.12, read as the reverse complement.
CAACGTGCAGAGGTGCTTCATGCACGCTTCCCATCTCACCCAGGAAGTGTGAAAAAGATGACTCGTCAACGTGGAGGTTCCCTACAAGTAATACTTTTTCCTGCCGGCATCGCTGAGGACATCTTAAGGGAAATGGTCTTTTTACTTCTCTGCCTTTGTTTTCTTCCCTGAGCATGTGGTGGTGAAGAGTGCACGTGGGCGCCACTGCCTCTGATTCCTTCACCCTCACTTTTCCTCACCATTGCTTTGGTTGCATAGTGCAAATGTCCACACAGTGAAAAAAGGCAAAAAACATCTTAGTATTATAATGAAGATCATTTTGACAGGGTAGACCCCATGAAAGAATCTGTAGGCTCATGCTTTGAGGTGCCAGCTGCCTTAGATGACAGTACGGTTATAGCCCGAAAGGCACTTTGGAAGTGTCTGTTCGCTGTTGACTTTGTTCGTTCGTTCTCTTTCTTTCTTTCTTTCTTTCTTTCTTTCTTTCTTTCTTTCTTTCTGTCTGTCTGTCTGTCTGTCTGTCTGTCTTTCTTTCTTTCTTTCTCTTTTTCTTTCTTTTTTTTTCTCTGTCTCTCTCTCTCTCTCTTTCTTTCTTTCTTTTTGACAGAGCTTCACTCTTGTCACCCAGGCTGGAGTGCAGTGGCACAATCTCAACTCCCCACAGCCTCCACCTCCCGGGCCAAGTGATTCTCCTGCCTCAGCCTCCCGAGTAGCTGGGATTACAGGCACGCACCACCAAGACTTTGCCCCTTTCTATGTCTGCATTTCTTGGCCCGGATGACATCACCTGATGGGGGAAGAATTAGATTTTTTTTTTTAAAGAATTGATCATTTTCTTTTTACCTCTATTTTTATCTCCTATAATATAGTGAATATGCAAGGTATGATTAATATCATTGCTTTAAGAGAAGAAAAAAAATAGACAAACTCTTGGTATATACCAGGCTATCTTGGTTTGCTGCAGCTGATCAAATGAAACAGTTTGTTATGGTTTTACGAATGAGAATATCACAGACTCTCTTCTAATTTAAAGCCCCTGTGTGAAAATGTTCAGTCAGGTCGCAGCAGTATATTTCAAGAGGATGAAATATTCAGCCAAGGTCTCTCTGCAGTCCAGGCAGACAGCTGGAAAGGTGCGCTCTGAGTTCTGATTAAACTGTGTCCCCATACCAGGGGCTTCCTGTTTCTTGCATCCTTTACACTGAGAGGGGACAATAGTTCTTTCTAAGCTTAGCTGAGGCTGATTGGCCATCTTCGCGGTAGAGCTTTTAATTACGTGTGGCAGCCCTAGAAGGGGTGATGAGCAACAGAGCAATCAACACCTGAGCAGCACATGTTGGCGCTGATTAGCGCGGCTGGTTAGAGCCAGGACTAATGAGGCTGAGGTCACGGACTCGGCCCCGTAGCCCAGGTAGCCCGGCCACCCTCCAAACGGCCGCTCCGCCTGGTCAGCTGCCTCACAGATGCTCGCTGCTGTCTGGAAAGGGGCCAGGGAGGCTCGAGCCAGCAGCCAGCACGGGCTCTTTGTGTTTAAAACCAAACAAAATAAAAACAGGTTCTCTAATGTACCACCCCCTGTGATCCTCTCTAGGAATATCAGACTTAATGATTTAAATTTAATTTGTTAGCCATTTGGTGGTTAATTTTTTTTATTAAAAAAACTAATGATTTATTAGCATTCTTATAATAAGCAACATTTAATATCTATTCATGAGAGTTCAAATGGATCAACTATTTAATTTTGTAATAAAATGAATCAGAAAAGTATTACTTAGAAGAAACTCCATACTGTGAGCGTGTTCTCTGCATGTTTTCTGACCTTGATTCTCCTGTATTGTTAGAGTCAGGAATGGAGGGAAATGAAGCTGATTTCAGCCTTTCCCCCCGCAGCTCTGCCTTCCAAGAGGGAGAGGCTGAGTGGAGGGCACAGTGGACTTTTCATTTAATTTCCCAAATTTCACAGACTCATAACGACTCTACGTTCCTCTCCTTTCTACTGTTTCCCTGGTGCCGTTGACAGAAACAGGCTGGCCCCAGGTCATACCCAGGAGGCAGAGGAAGGCGCACACTGGCATAAGATAAGTGCCTGACAAAAATACACATATAAATACATCCAGCCCTTTGCTACCGACTCAGAACATCAGTGCTCATGGGCACATTTTGATTAAGCAGCTACTACTGTCTTTAAAGGGGTGGGAGCAGGGAGGAGAGGGTTCTGAAAGGTTCTTACGAGAATCACAGGAAAAAGAGGTGAGGAGCAGCGTGGCCACACATGCCTCCCCCCCCCACCCACGAAAAAGTGGGGCTCTTTACCAAACAGCAGCAGCAGATTGATGAGAAGCGTCATGGCCGAGCATCTCTGAGTCACGGTGAGCACGCACAGAAGAGACCAAGGTGGAGTGTGCCCCTCCTGCCCCAAAGCACCTTTGGCTAAACATTGTCTGTTGGGTCGTGAGTAGGGAGGAGCAAAGTGAACAGTCACTAAATCCATAGCAGGGCTAAGTCCAAGCAGCACATGCTGAGGCCTGGGCGGGGGCTCCAGGCTTGCTGGGTTTGCAGCCCCAGCTGCGGGTCTCAAAGCCAGCACAGATCACAAGAGCAAGGCCAGCAGCTCCTCCAGGGAAGAGCAAAACGCTGCCTTGGAAACACATTTTAATTGATGAAAGGATTCTTTGTTTTAGCCGCTGATGGCAGTGCAAGTGAACTTCAGGGCACTCGAGGTGCTTTGGCCCAATTAGGAAGTCAGCCGGAGCCTCCCGTCACAGGCAGCCATGGTACCTGCTGTCTGATGTTTTGCCAACTTGCTTTAGTGCAATCACCCCGCTGCACCGGGATGTTTCAATTTAGACTTCTGCTACGTCAGGACTCTGAAGACGCTCATTGTCTGGGAGTGGGCTTCCTGCCTGTTACCTCTTTCCTCCTGCCTCTCCTCTCTTGGACACAGCTGTGACATTGCTCACTGGCCAAGTGAGTTGTTACTGTCCCTCGGCTGCGGGTTGGCAGGTTTCCACTCTCGGAGGAGCAGCAGCAGGGTTTGCAGGCGAAGATCCTGGACTCTGTCAATGCAAGCCCGGCACCTTGGCATTGGGAGTGCTGGAGTTCTTTGTGAGTCATCTGTGTGGCCGGCATGGCACAGTCGTTGCTGGAGAATATTAGAGTTTAGAATCGTATCTCCAGCATTGCTTTGTAGATAAGGACATGCAGTTAGGACTTAGGCAGGCTTGCACAGCTCTAGAGGTAGAACGGGGCTGAGAACTCAGGTTCCCCAGCTTGGAGGCTGGTGCCCATACCAAGACACTGGGCCAAGTGACATGGGGTCTTGGGACAGCTCATGAAGCTGGGTGCTAAGGCAGGCAAATGGGAGCCGTAGTCTGTGGCCCTCCACCACAGCTGGCTTTCCAGCCTCTCTGCTCCTGCCTTCCGATTCCTGATGCCCTAGCCTTGCCGGCCTGTTTTCCTTCTCGAGCGTTCCTTTCCAGATCGGCAGCTGCACTTGCTATTTCTTCTTCCCAGGTGAGAATTCTCTCCGCCAGCTCTTCCCACAGTTTCCTCCTTCCTATTTCCAGCACTTCCACTCAGAGTCCGCTCCTCAGAGGGGCCCACCCTGGCCCACCCTGTCTACCAGCACCCCCAAGACCCCCACCTCCCAGTAACCATCAGGTCACCCAGTTTCTTTCTTTACATAACTCTTTTGTCTATTTGTCTTACTGTTTTCTGTTTGTGTCCCCCCAAAACAGCAGGGCCAAGCCTGCTTTATTCCTCTTGACTCTCTAGTGCCTAGAACAGTGCCTGGCCCAGGGGTTTTGGGTTTTTTTGTTAGTTTGTTTGTTTTCTGAGATGGAGTCTCACTCTGTCACCCAGGCTGGAGTGCAGTGGTGCGATCTCAGCTCACTGCAACCTCCGCCCCCCGGGTTCAAGCAATTCTCCTGCCTCAGCCTCCCAAGTAGCTGGGACTACAGGTGCGTGCCACTACACCCAGCTAATTTTTGTATTTTTAGTAGAGACGGGGTTTCACCATGTTGGCCAGGCTGGTCTCGAACTCCTGACCTCGTGATCTGCCTGCCTTGGGCTCCTGAGTGTTTTCAGATAAGTAGATATTAAGTGACTGACTGAGTAAAGGGATACACTGGATCTATGGAAGTCTTGATCCAAAAAGCTCTCCATTGTCCAGTCAGACTCCCTTTTCCATCTCCAGGGCAGACCAGGGCATGGTATAAACTGACTCCACTCCTTGTGTGTAATACAGTGTCTTCCTAGAGAGGGCGTCTGTCATTCCACCCCCAGGGACTGCTTGGCATCTGTGTGGCAGGGGCCATGCTGTTCCCCGCTGGGAGCACCATCCTACAGTAATCTCTGTGCAGGATGCTATTATAAGAAAGACTTGGGACTTTGTCCCCACTCTGCAACCTCACACCCCAAACTGGGAAGGTGCTGAGAAACCGAAGATTGGCTCGGACAAGTCCAGCTTGGCCAGTAGATGACTCTATTGAGGGCCCTCCTGGGTGGCGGCAGGACAGCTCTAGAGGTTCGCACTGCTGCCATCACTAAGCAAAGTCTCTGGTTCCTGGCCTGCTGTGTGTGATGGGACTGCCTTCCTGGGTAGGTTCCCAGATACTCCCAGGGACACACGCTCCTCGCTGGGCCCCCCTGGCCTTGGCTCCTTGCCTGGCCTTCAGGGTTCAGGCAGTGGACATCCACCCCACGTGACATGGTGGGACACCTGTCACACCACCGATGCCCCTGCAGATGGGCCACGCAACAGCCCTCGGGCCTTCCTGTCTCAGAGCAGGGCTGATCACAGTCAGGCCCACTGCAGTGGAGAAAGACTGTGCAGAGCTAGACGCTGGACTCGGATCCTCTCTAGCGTGGGACAGGCACTGGGCACCCAGGTCAGCTGCAGTTCCTGAGAGAGGGCAGCCCCAGAGTCAGAATCAAGGTGTCAATAATAGGAGAAACGATGGTGGGGAGGAGACCAAGGCATTAATATAGGAACTCTGTATACTTTCCAGTCAATTTTTCCATAAAACTAAAACTGCTCTAAAAAAGGAGTCTGTTAATTTTTTAAAATCTCAAAAAGAATGTGGCTGGTGCCACAATGAACAATTTGAGTGAGAAGCTACTCAACGAGGTCAGAGGCATCAGAGAGGAAGAACACAGCAGCCTGTTTTCTTTGCTGCTCTTTACCGTTAGAAAGAACACTTTTACAACAGACTCTGTTTGAGGACAAACGCTCCACATTTTTGCCCGCTGGCAGCAGTCATAAATTATGAGATTTCTGAGGGGCACAAAACTGCAGCGGTCTAAACCAGGCAACAAAAATCAGCCAAGTCCTTATCAGGATCCCCTACAAATTCTATTGACTTTTTTGGATCTGTTTGTCCCTAGGTGTGAACTAGGGAAAAGTCAGGCGAGTCTGCCTTGCTAGTATATTTAAAAGAGGATCTTGGAGAATTTGAAAGAAAATGTGGAAGAAGAAATGACAGTGCTTGGTGAAAGTCAGCAGAAGGGCTTGATAATGGAACAGACTAAGGGTGGTGGATAGTTTTAAGGTTGAGAGAGAAATGGAATTAAAAAAAAGGGAGATATTCCTGGGGGCTTGAAGCAAGAAGCAGCAGCCGAGAGCAGCGCTGATCAGGATGTGAAGGGAGCTTGGTGCGGAGGGCAGTGCTTCCTATGAGAAAAAGTCCAGTGGTCAATCTTTTGGGAAGGAGCTGGTGGGATGAGGGGGCAGCTGGACTGACCTGAGTGCTGTTGTACTGTCTGACCATCTCCTTTGTAAACAGACGCTCCACACTCATGCTCAGAGCAGCATTATTCACAGCAGCCAGGAGGGGGACGTCGCCCAGGTGTTCCTCGGTGGATGAATGGATAAAGAAAATGTAAACACACAGTGGAATCTTACTCAGCCTTGAAAAGGAAGGAAAGTCCATCCAACACATGCTACTGCATGGACGAACTTTGGACAGTGAGCTAAGTGAAAGGAGACAGTCACAAAAGGACAAATACCAGATGATCCCACCTGCGCGAGATGATGTGAGTGTCAAATACATAGAGACAGAAAGTAGGATGGTGGGTGCGGGGCCTGGGAGAGGGGAAAATGGGAGTTGTTTAACAGATACAGACTTTCAGTTTTGTGAGATGAAAAGTTCCGGAGGTTGATTGCAAAGCAGTGTGCATATAGTTAACACTGCTTAACTGTACACTTAGAAATGGTTAAGATGGTAAATTTTATGTTATGTGTTTTTTTTGTTTTGTTTTGTTTTGTTTTTTTGAGATGGAATCTCTCTCTGTCGCCCAGGCTGGAGTGCAATGGCACGATCTCAGCTCACTGCAGCCTCCACCTCCTAGGTTCAAGCCATTCTCCTGCCTCAGCCTCCTGAGTAGCTGGGACTACAGCCTCACGCCACATGTCCGGCTAATTGTATTTTTAGTAGAGACAGGGTTTCATCATGTTGGCCAGGCTGGTCTGGAAATCCTGACCTCAAGTGATCCACCCGCCTCGGCCTCTCAAAGTGCTGGGATTGCAGACGTGAGCCACCGTGCCTGGCCTTATTATGTGTGTGGTTGTTTTTGTTTTGTTTTGTTTTTTTGTTTTCTTACCACACACACACACATACAAAACAGCTGCCCTGGCCCCTAGAGTAGTGAATTTTCACCAGCAGCCACCTAGGGGGTGAATTTTCTGATCATTTTGGGCTCAGTTCTGAAGTTCTGACTTTGAGCCCCACCTCACTCTGAATCTACAATCATTCTCTCTCCTGTCATCCTGTTGCAGTCTGCTCAGCTGCCCATAACTAAATACAAGGGACTGGGCGGCTTAAACAATAAGCCTTTACTTCTCACTGTTCTGGAGGCTGGGAAGTCTGAGATCAGGTGCTGGCATGGCCGGGTTCTGGTGAGGGCTCTCTTCCTGGCTTGTGGACGGCCGCCTTCTCACTGTGGGCTCACCTGGCAGGGAGTGGGGCCGGGAGCAACGGCTCTGGTCTCTTAGAAAGCTACTAATCCCATCGTAAGGGCGATACCCTCATGACTGCATCCAAACCTAATTACCTATAAAGGCCCTACCTCCAAAAACCCTCACATGGAGGGTTAAAGTTTTGACATATGAATTTGGGAGAGGGACACAGCTCAGTCCCTAGCACACCTTTCCTCCAACCCCAGAATTCAAAGGAGCAGCACACATTCCTTCAGCTCCGTCCATTGTAGCCTCCATTCCTCCTACGCTGTCTGAGCATCCTGGACTGTCTTGGGAACACCTGTCCTGTTTCCACCAGCTCCCTGGGATCTGCGGTGCAGACACCCCCTGAGAATGCCCACTCGGCTCCCCTGGGTCTTTAACCCAGGGACCGGCCAGATGTCTTGCTCACATGTCATAAATATGATTGCAATGTGGCTGTGCGTGGAACCCTGGCCCACTCTGGACCCTGAGCTCCAGAGACTCCGAGGCAGAGCTGCATTTCTATTATCACTTAGTAATTGGAGTTTTGCAGGCTTGGGATTACTGCTAATGGAAAGCAAATGGGCCAAGAATCAAGAAATAAGCACTTGAACAGCCAGCAGCACTCGGTAAAGCAAAGAGGCTATTATGCCACTTTATGTGGATAGAGATCATCATTTGCAGAAAGATTTGCAAAAATCTTTCCAGCCCATGGAAACAATGCCCACCAGGCCTTCTGGTGGCCCTGCCCTCCCTGCCTGGTGCAGCTAAGTGGCCGCCCAGGTAGGGAGCCTCACCTGCAGCACAAATTACCACCCGAAGCCAGCCTCTCCCGCTTGGCAGGAGCAAGGTTTGATCTTGCCTTCGCTGCCTGCTTTCTCGCTGGTACACAGAGCTCAGAGAAGCTCTTGGAACCAAAAGCCCTCCCACACACCCTGCCTCAGACTTCCTCGGCCTTCTCACCAGCCCCAGCCCAGAGAACAGGCGGTGATAGGGCTGCCATGAGCTGCTGTGACGGAAAGCTCGGAACAGTGGCTCTTGACTCAAGGAGAGAGAAGTGGCTGTAAAGAGTGACGTTTCCCGGGGTTTGCTGACCCCTGGTCTCCGGGTTAGTCTTGCCCTTTCTCCTCTGTGGGGTTGTGTCACCATCATACATTTACATGAGGGTCCTTTTCTCCATAGATCACGCCACCCCCTTCCCAGTGGCTAAAAGGCAATTTAATATGCAGAAGCTCTGCTAGAACAGCATTAGGTTATGACATGAGGAAATGGAAAAAAAACATCTAAGCCCAAACTCTGCCCTTCAGCCGTCCTCCTGAGACAGCGTGCTGCTGTCAGCCAAGGACAGAGTGGGCACGCTGGGGTTCTTGGGCTCAGCAAACAACAGGAAAACTGAGGCAACTTCAGCTGCTTACAAGAGAGAGACACAAGATTCACATGAGTTCCTAAGTTCAAGTTGGCTGAGGGGCTCAAGGGACTCACCGCGTCCCTCCCTCACTCCGGCAGATGCTGGGACGCTTCCAGACAGCCCCGGACATAGGGGGAGAGGGAGAGGCATGGAAACCCTCTTACCTTAGCCCCTCAGAAAGGTGCCTCCACTCATTGGTGACTCCCTCACTTAGCCATTAAATGTCACTACAGCCCGTTCGCACAGGGGAGAGAATCTACATCTAGCAGTAAAAAAAGGTGATGAAATGAAAGAAGTTGTGAAATGACATTTTTTTCCAGCAGGTTTGTCATATCTCCTGCATGGAGGAAAATTGCTTTCTGTAAATCTTGGTCCAACAGAACAAAACACCTATTTCTTTCCAGTTGGGAGGACAGCCATTCTCATCGGTATAATGAACGTATTGTAAGCTGTGACTTTTACAAAGTCTGAGGGAAACCAATCTGCAATCTTGACAGATACGATCTTTCCAGATGCACTGTTCGTTTACGGCGGCAAGAGAGCTCAATTAATTTCTGAGGGAGGACGGCAGGATGCGACCCCTTGTGCGTGGCCTAGGAGGAACTGTCCCTGTGTGAATTTATGTTCTGGTAATTTAAAAAGATTTATATTAAGCTTTTCTTTCATTTTGAGAGTAGATTAAAATTCTAATGGAAACCATTTGTATGCATTTGTTGAATTGAAGAGTATTTATGGCTGTGTAAAAAAAATGCTGCAAAATTCTGCCGATAATAAAGTCAGTGAAGCAAGAATAAGTGTAAAAACAGGAAGGAAATACGCGATAGAAACCATACTGTATTATACAAGTATAATGAGGGAGGCAAGCCGAGCAGAACGGGGCAGGGATTAGGCCCCCGGATGGGATAGTTTTTCTTATTTAGTGTAAGGCTTTTGTAGCCCTTTTATGACTTAAAACAAAATTTAAATTTTGAAACAGGCCAGGTCAGTCTGCACAGACCCCATGGCCACATCACTGTGTCACATCATTCTTGAACTCCTGCCGGTGTCTAGGACAAACAGGCAGGAAAGAAAATCCAAGCGGCGTCTCAGAGAAAAGATGCTGATGGCAGGAAAAGAAGACCCATGAAACAGGAGGCGGGGGTCAGCGAGCAAGGTGAAAATCAGAGCCCCGGAGTGCAGTGCAGGTGGAAGAGAGGTAGCAAAACCAGGGAAGTCGCCGTGCTCGGGACAGTCCAGTGTGTCCCTGGCATCCCCAGTCATTGCCGTGGCCACCTGATCAGAACCTGTACAGAAGCTGCCCCATCTCCTCCACGGTGAGGGCCAAGTTGCATGTGCCACAGCCCTGTCGGTGACCTTTCTGCGGGCTGGGGAAGCAGAGACAACGGCCTGACAATCTGCAGGCACAGCCATCCAAGGGGACAGGGTCCATGCAACAGCCACCAGAGAAAGCTCCTCACTGCCACCTTTGCAGAGGGAGAAAAGCAGAAAGCATCGTGGAGGCCCTTTATCATGTTGGAAGGCCAGAGACATTTGGCATTCCGTCAAGGTCCATCTTAGAGTTGAGAGAGAGTTTCACCAGGAAACTCACATTCTCTCAGAACTAGCAGCCGTGATCGCATGTCGAAGTCAGGCAACGCCAAGCGTGATGGTTAACAGCGCTAAGACAGGAGAAAATGGAAATTCCCTGAGAGTCCACTGCTCTGCTCCTGCGGCGGTGCTTTTCCCCCTCGTTGTAAGCATGCTCTTTACCAGAGCTGCACGGATGTCATAAACTGCCTCACGATGCACTAGAGCAGAATCGTGCGTTAGCAAATTTCACAGATGCAAAGTGGGATTTCTGTCAATGGAAGCCTGCATGGAAAATACGGAACAGCTTAAGAAAGTACTGTCTTCTCTCAAAATTCCACAGGAGCCTGAAATGCAGGGGTTCCGGCCTAGGCGTTTTTTGAGGCAAATAACGTCGCCACACGGCCGAGATACAGGCCCCTTTTTGCCCCATGAGACTTACTGGCCTCAGAGTCCGGCCGCTTCTGTTTTGTTTCTTCATGTATCCTTGGCTTCTAGCGCAGTTCCTGGTACACAGCAGGCGCTCAATACATATTTGCTGAGCTAAGCAAATATGTCCTAGGCCCTGTGGAAGATACGACATGAGGAAGACCAGGTCCCTGCCAAAAAGGCACCGAGGGCCCAGGCTGGGGAGGGTAGTGCTGACATCGAGTAGGCCTTCAGCTCTGACCCCAGCTTCATTTTAAGTGACTAGGAACAAATTCTCAAAACTTCTTTTCTATCAACTCTTCTTCACCCCCAATATCACAGCACAACTGTCTGTCATTGATGGAGTTCCTGCAATAAGACAAGCGCTAGAAGTTTACCATATTTGTATCCTTACTGGATTCCCAAATTAATCCTAGTAAGCAAGTGACATGATTGTTTTTAGTAGAGACAGGGTTTCACTTTGTTGGCCAGGCTAGTCTTGAACTCCTGACCTCAAGTGATCCACCCACCTCAGCCTCCCAAAGTGCTGGGATTAGGAAAATGAATACTTTTGCAAGCACAATGACAGGAGTGTCAAAGGAGGTAGGCTCCACACTCTGATGTCTCTTTATCAGTGAGGCCTTTTCTGACTCCCTCACATGAAGAGCAAACTCACTTCCCTTGTGCCAAAGCACTCAACATATATGACATCCCACACGGGGTAGGCTGAATCGTGGCCCTTAAAGTATGTCCATGTTCCAATCCTTAGAACATGTGAATGTATTACCTTATGTGGCAAAATGGACTTTGCAGACATGATTAAGTTAAGGATCTTGAGATTTCAGGAAAATTATCTTGGATCATTCAGGTAGGCCTGACATAATCACAAGAGCCCTTACAAGAGAGAGGCAGGAGGCCAGAGGCAGAGAGCTACACTGCGGAGCTGCTTTGCAGATGGAGGAAGGGGCCACCGAGACCTGAGAAAGTCAAGGAGACAGATTCTCCCCTGGAGCCTCCAGAGGGAACCAGCCCTGCTCACACCGTCATTTCAGCCCTGCAAGACTTGTTTGGGCTTCTGACGTCAAGAACTGGGACAGAATGAATTTGTGATGTTTTAGGCCACTAGATCTGTGGTAATGTGTTATAGCAGAAATAGGAAACTAACACAACTCATCTCTACTTGTGTATATGTTTGTTATCCGTCTTCCTCTGCTGGGACATGAAATCCGCAACAAGTGGAGGCAAAGCCAGGGACTTTGTCTATTATGTTGACTGGCATCCTTAGTGCTCAGAACAGAGCTCAGAATAATAAATATTTGTTGAATGAGCAAAGACGGAGGGGGCAGTCGCAGGAAGGGGGCCTACCGCGTGGCTAAGGGCCCTGAGGTATGAAAGATCTGAGATGCTGGTGGACGTGGCTGCTTCCCGAGCTGAACTGGGGAAGTGGTGGGGAGGTGGGAGATGTCGGGGAGCTGATGCTGGGGCAGTTTATACTTTATTCTGCAAATGAAGAATTATTGATGGGTTTCATGTAGAGTCATGATCATATTTCTTGATTGCGTTTTTTTTTTGTTTTGTTTTGTTTTGTTTTTTTGAGACAGAGTCTCACTCTGTCGCCGAGGCTGGAGTGCAGTGGTGCGATCTTGGCTCACTGCAACCTCCGCCTCCTGGATTCAAGCTTCCCGAGTAGCTGGGATTACAGGTGCATGCCACCATGCCCGGCTAATTTTTGTATTTTTAGTAGAGACGGAGTTTCACCATGTTAGTCAGGCTGGTCTCAAACTCCTGACCTCGTGATCCACCCACCTCAACCTCCCAAAGTGCTGGGATTACAAGCGTGAGCCACTGCGCCTGGCCTCCTGATTGCTTTTTAAGTAATTTTTTAAAAATAATTTTTCTCTTTATTATTAAATGTTAGAAATATATGGAAACGTGGGCAAAAAGTAAAAATCACTCAAATCTCATTCCTAGAGTTAGTCACTATTAATATTTTGGTGTATGTGTATTTCTTCCTTCAACATTCAGATTATATACTTTTTTGAAACTGGCTTTTTTCTCTTAATGTGAATTTCTCCATGTCATTAAATATTCTCCTAAAAACATGGTCTTTAGTAACTATATCGTATTCTATCATCCAACCACAACTAAGTTCATTTAATCAATTCCCTCTAACTGGACAGTTCTTTTACTCCCCCAGTATTTTGTGATTTTAAGTAATAATAATAGCACCTGGCATATACTAGGCATTCCATATTTGTTGAATGAATGCATGGTTCAGAGAACATTTCAGACATAAACCTTTATATGTATGTCTAATTGCTTCTTCAGGAAAAAAATTCTTGCGAGTGAAAATGTTGGGTCAAAGGCTGTATTTTTTTTAATGGCTCTTGATACATATGGCCAAATTGCCTTTCCAAAAGGTTATAAAAATTATAACTCCACCAACAGTATATGGGTGCATAATTTCGCTGCTCCAAGGGTGGTATTGTAATTTTTCAAACCAGTATTTGCATTTTAGAAAAGTTTCCATGGGGACATGAAGGTAGTAGTTAGCCGGTCTTGTGAAGTCCAGGCAAACAATAGAAAGAACCTGAATTGTAGCATTGGAGGTTGTGTTAGAAAGAAGACAGATTCAAGCTGTACAGGATGTGACATCCTCAGGACTTGAATGTAGAAGGTTGAGAGAGATGTTGGAATGACCAACTCCGGCTTAATTAACCAGACCTTTATTGTAAGCTCATGGGGCAACCCACAGAGTCAAAGCTAAGGTGTCAGGCTCCAGAAACACTGAGGCAGCATCATTTGGGATCCAAGAAGCAGAAAGGAATGGATGGTATCTTCTCAGGACCCCACCCCCAGAATGAGACTGTTTTTGTGTCACATTGCTTAAGGTTCAAATTCCAGAGAGAGGGGCGAGTCTGGCCTACTGTGGGTCAAGTGTCCATCCTGTGGCCAGAGGCAGGGGGTACCTTGATGGATAGTCCTTCCAAGAAGAGGGAGGGGTCCGTACTGTTTCCAGCAGAAGACCATCTAAATAAATACCAGGTATGCAAAAATCTATGGCAGTCTTCTCCAAATGTCAGTGCTTCCCATATTTAACAGTTCCTGCTCATATTCAGCCTTTCCTTGAACACAAGGATAACTCCTTTCTAAGAAAAAGAGGAAATAGGAGGGAGACAGAAATATCTTCTGACCTTGCTGGGATCCTGGCTCAAATCCCCTGTAACCCCGTGCCCTCTGGCTTCCTGGACCTTGGAGTGGCAGTCAGCTAGCTGACCACCAACATCTGTGCTTCCTCTCTCATGCCATGAGGTTGCTTCTGGGAGCACCTGCCCCTCCAGAGGCAGTGTTTCCCAGCCCCACTTGCACTGGCTTGGGGCCACGTTCCTACCAATGGAAAAAGCTGGGCCAGGGTTTTCTAGAAGCAGATGTCCCTGGACCCGGAATTACCACAGAGGGAAAGCTGCGTGCCAACCAGGAACACCCTCATTGGACTGAGATGTGAGTGAGAAACAAACTTTGAGTATGTGGCTCCATTGAAATGTTGGGGTTTATTTGTCACTGTGGCTAATTTATAACCTTCTAAACACCTCTAGATACTTGTTTAATAAAGGCCTGAGAAGAAATAAATGAGCCATGGGTAAAAAGGCCCCTACAGGATTCCAGAGTAACATAATTCCTTAAAATATAGGAAATAGCCCAGCAATTCCAGTCTTAGGTCTATATCCAAGAGAAATGAAAACATGTGGCCACACAAAAGCTTGCGCATGAACGTTCACGGCAGCATTGTATGTAACAGCCAGCAGGTGGATACCCAGATGCCCATCAACTGATAAGTAAAACTTATATCCATACAATATTGTTTGGCAATACAAAGAATGAAGTACTGATACAGATGATACTATGTATATTTAACATCATGCTAAGTGAAAGAATCCAGTTACAAAAGACCATGCGTTGTATGATTTCATTTATATGAAGTGTCCCAAATAGGCAAATCCATAGACTCAGAAATAAGTTAGTGGCTGCCTGGAGGTGGGAGTGTGAGGGGGTAAATTGGGAGGAGATGGGCAGTAAATGCTAATGCATATGAAATTTCTTTTTGGGGTGACAAAACTGTTCCAAAATTCATGGTGGTGATGGTTGCACCATTCTGTGAATATATTAAAAGCATTGAATTATATGCTTCAAATAGGTGAATTGTATGGTATGTGAGCTATATCTTAATAAAACTGTTATGATTTCTTAAAGAGAGAAACATAGAAAATAACAACAAAATGAGATAATGATGAAAAGGAACACAATAGACCATCTTCACTCCTTCTAGCAACCCAGTCTCTCATAGGGCAAAGGAAAAGCAAAGTGACAGCTTCCAAATGAAATCAGAGATGTCTCCCAGCCCTAAATAAATAAACCCGTACTTGCTTCACAGACAGGGTGAAGACTCTGGATTCCATATGATAACAAAGCTTTATTTCCAAATAAAGTATGAATATGGAGATCAAAGGACAGCTGACCAGGGCCAGTCCCAAAAAGGTTCAGAGAGGCTGTAGGTCTTTGCTGGCAAAAGTATTAAAAGTAAAACAACCAAACCAAAGGCAAGTCACAAGAAGCTGAAATGTCAAAAAATGAGCTCATCGGCACCAAGAGAACAGAAAGGAGATCCATGCTGGCTCAGAGACATAGGTTGGGGCAGTGGAGCTGAGTGAACCCAGTGCCCATGAGGAGGGAGAATCGCTGGAACCCAGGAGGCAGAGGCTGCAGTGAGCCGAGATCATGCCACTGCATTCCAGCCTGGGCAACAGAGCGAGACCCCGACTCAAAAAAATAAAATAATAAAATAAAGGAGGGAGACAAAATACCATATGCAAGAAAGGAAATCTTTTAACATGATTTAAACTTATAACAAAAAATTGGAGCTGTTACCAGCTGTTACCATTGTTACCAATTACCATTGAAAATGGTAATCAAAAACCACTCTGAAAAGCATAGCGTGCTCTCTGAGGGGTGGTGTGATTCGGATTTGTGAAAATTATTTTTATTTGAATGGAAAAATAAAAATCAAAAAAACACCAAAGGGCCTTTTACGTATTTTACCACAAATTCATAATTTGATAGGACAATAAGAAAACTGAATTAAGGCCAGGCGTGGTGGCTCATGCCTGTAATCCCAGCACTTTGGGAGGCTGAGGAGAGAGGATCACTTGAGCCCAGGGGTTCAAGACCAGCCTGGGAAACATAGTGAGACCCCATCTCTACAAAAACATTTAAAAATTAGCCTGGCGTGTGGTGCACACCTGTAGTCCCAGCTACTTGGGAAGCACCTGCAGTCCCAGCTGCTTGGGAAGCACCTGTAGTCCCAGCTATTTGGGAAGCACCTGCAGTCCCAGCTGCTTGGGAAGCACCTGTAGTCCCAGCTACTTGGGAAGCACCTGTAGTCCCAGCTACTTGGAAGCTGAGGCAGGAGGATCACTTGAGCTTCCAGTTATGCCACTGCACTCCAGCCTGGGCAACAGAGCAAGACTCTGTAGCTTAAAAAAAAAAAAGGAAATAAAATAACTTATAATGACTGATTAAAAACTTATTGTTGCTTGCTAATGTAGATAAAAAGCTGGCAAAATGTTGGTGCCTTAAATTTGGGGGAACTTTGCTTGCCCCAGTTGACAGATCTGGGACCTCTGAATCCCCTGACTGTATCAGTGCCTGGGAGCTCTGAGCCTCTTTCTCCCTCCCCAAAGCTCAGGGACCCTGGTTTCTGAACCCCAGGCCAGAGCCCCTGCTTAAGACAGGCTTATTGAGCAGATTTTCTGCTTTGTGGTGTTAGCAAATATTCAGATGCTCAGCAAGGTCTGGCTGATTCTAGACCAAAAAACCTGGAAGATTTCTGGCAGAAGAGAGAGGCAGGCAGCATTGCTACAGCATTTCAAGTTCAACCAAAGTCAGAGAGAGAGGAAGAAAGGCTAGCTTTGCTCCTGACAAGCACACAATTTTATTAGTTTTGCCGTTTTTTTCTCTTGAAAAAGATACTTCTCACCGCCTTCCTTGGTGAGGAATCCCTCTGTTTTATTATGAAGGAAGGGAAGAGCACCATGCGGGTGGGCTTTTTTATCTTCAAGCACTCTGGCAGGTCAGACATGATTTTATAGATGAGGGGACTGGGGCTGGGAAAGTTTATGAACTCTCCCTGGGCCCCCATACTGAGCGAGCGCCGGGGTCTGACTTCCAAGTTCATTGTCTCTGCACTGCTCCCCAGGGCTTCCTGAGAAAAATGGCTTCTTCTTGTTCCCTTGACCCCTCCCAAAGAACTGAGTTTTCCTTGTTTCCTCAAGCAGGGAAATGACAGGGATAAAATTAGCATTACTGTGTTTTAGTAGATAATTCATGCTGCTGGTCTCACTGAATCATGGTGATAGGTCCAGGCTGTCGACTTCCAGAGACTTTTGTTTAGGGCCCATTTGCTGGTGCAAGTTGAGGATAGAGTTGGGGTCAGTTCTCTCTGGTTACTCCAGATGCCAAATTGCGCAAAAGCTGAAGGGAGGCTACGCAGCGGGATTCAAACTCACATGTGCCACCCAAGGTCCTTGCTGAGGTGCAACACCTTGTGGTACTTGAGATTTGGGGAGAAACCTGGGGCTCTGGGACTGCTTTTCTCCAGGGGCTTGAATCGTGGGTTAGAAGAAGCTGGAGAGCGAGCGGCATGCCTGTGTTTGAGGCTGGTGCATTTGCTAAACACGGGAAATGCTGCCCTCTTCACTGAGACCCAGAGTGTAGCCAGCAGGTCTCTGGGAGAGCGTTTGCTGCCCTCAGCCTAACTCATGCCACTTCTCTAGTGTGGGCGGTGAGTTTTCACTCCCTGTAGACGCCGCAGCCTGCTATCACCATGAACAGATAGAAAGTTTCTGGAGTATGGGTTTAAAGCAGGGATTCTTAAAAAATTTTTTTCACCATGGACCCCTTTTGCAGTCTATGGACACTGTTTTACAACAATGTTTTTAAGTGCATAGTATTGTATTAAATATCAGCCAGGCACAGTGGCTCACACCTGTAATACCAGCGCTTGGGAGGCCGAGGTGGGACAATCAGTTGAGTCCAGAAGTTCAAGACCAGCCTGCAACACAGCAAGACTCTTGTCTCCACAAAAAAAAATTAAGAAAATTTGGCCAGGCACAGTTGCTCACGCCTGTAATCCCAGCACTTTGGGAGGCCAAGATGGGCAGATCAGGAGGTCAGGAGATCGAGACTATCCTGGCTAACACGGTGAAACCCCCATCTCTACTAAAAATACAAAAAAAAATTAGCCAGGCGTGGTGGCGGGCACCTGTGGTCCTAGCCTACTCGGAGGCTGAGGCAGGAGAATGGCGTGAACTCGGGAGGCGGAGCTTGTAGTGAGCCGAGATCGTGTCACTGCACTCCAGCCTGGGGGACAGAGCGATACTCCGTCTCGAAAAAAAAAAGAAAATGAGCTGGACATGGTAATGTATTCCCGTAGTCCGAGCTACTTGGGAGGCTGAGGAGGGAGCCCAGGAGTTTCAGGTTACAGTGAGCTATGATGACATCACTGCAATCCAGCCTGGGCGACCGAGGGAAATGCTGTCTCTTAAAAAAACACAGAGGATTACAATGAAAACCAATTATATTGATATACAATTATCAATATTTTAAAAAACCCATTTGTGATAGAGTATATATGTGCTTTTTATTAATGTGTTACATAACAAGATCTCATGCAGGTTTAATAACCACCATAACTTTGAAGTAGTGATAAGGGTAAATAATATTTCAAGATATTTGCAGCGACTGGTAATGGGATATGAAAATATCTGTGATTTCTACTGGGAACAAACCACAGGAACTGCTAATACTACTGTGGTTCAGTGGCCACATTTATAATTAAAGGAAATGCTAAGTTTCAGCTAGAGGTTAGTGAAAATAAGAGGTAATTGTTTTTCTACTCAAGTCTAGGATCCCCCTGAATTCACAGCTTCCTGAGTTCCTGTAAAAAGAAAGCCTAGCTTTCTTCTCACAAGATGCATTTTAGAGAAATCACTAACTTGCTGTTGTTCTTGTCGTTTTACATTTCTTCGTTCTTTTAATTTCCCTCTTACTTTGATTTCTGTTGTTCATTCTCACTGCAGTCCCCAAATGCTTTTCTCAGTCTTTCTAGACCTCTCCTTTCCTTTTTAAAAGGTTCTCTCCTTTCCTTTTTAAAAAGGTTTTCACTTCTCTCTGTTCTGTAGACTCAACGACAAATCCAAAGAAACACCTTTAAAATATTGAACAGGCAGAAAACGGAGGTCTGGTGGGGAAGCAAATGTGCGTGTCCCACAATCTGTAAGGAGGGGCCCTTCGAATCTGAGGTCTCTCCCTCATCTATCCTCCCGGGCTTTTCAGCTCTGCACTACTCCTCCTCGGGAGATGGCAGGAGGCTGTGCTCCTCCCCAGTCTGGCACCCCTTGCCTATGAATTCATGCAGTGGCCCCAATCTATTTTCCTGTATAGACCCTACAATAATTTTTGAAAAACTATGTATCACTTCATACATTTTTAGGTAAACAGGTCCAATTTTTTGTTATAAGTTTAAATCATGTTAAAAGATTTCCTTTCTTGCATATGGTATTTTGTTTCTCTCCTTTATTTTATTTTATTTTTTTGAGTCAGGGTCTCGCTCTGTTGCCCAGGCTGGAGTGCAGTGGCGTGATCTCGGCTCACTGCAGCCTCTGCCTCCTGGGTTCAAGCGATTTTCCCGCCTCAGCCTCCCAAGTAGCTGGGACTACAGGCACCCACCACTACACCTGGCTAAATTTTGTAGTTTTAGTAGAGACGGTGTCTCACCTGTTGGCCAGGCTAGTCTTGAACTCCTGATCTCAAGTGATCCACCTGCCTCAGCCTCCCAAAATGTTGGGATTACAGGCGTAAGCCACCGTGCCGGGCCTCAAGGGTCTTTCTGAAGCTCTCCCTGCCTTGACCTTAAAGAGTCCTCAAGAATAGTGTATTCAGGAATTGTCTCTTTTTTAGTGTCCTAGAGGTGTTTGCACCCCAAGGCAATTCAGGATGGGTGAGAGGAAGGACTTTCTTCTGTTCATAGAGAAGACTGTTGTGGAAGGGGGTGGGGAGGGGAAACGACCCTGCAGAATGCTGGCACATTCTTGGCAGATCAATTTTAGGAAGTTGAGAACCTGGAAATTGATTTATTGATTCCTTTAAAGCAGCCTGTGTCCACTAAAAAGCCTTTGTGGGCTTGGGTTTCATTGAAGACCCATGAAATTAGGGAAGGGGCTCATTCCCTTTGGGTGAACCTCTTCATTAGGTCAGTCGTGACCCAAGCATTGTGTACTTCTTCCATCACCAGGACCTGCTGTGTGTCACACCATGTACCGGCTGGTGAGGGAAACACAGCCACAGTCCCTGCCCTCTCTGTGGAGCCCAGGAGAAGGGGCAGTGCTCTGGAGGGGAAGTGGGGGCACGGCTGCCAGGAGGAACTCAGCTCAGGCTGGCGCTGGGGTGTGGTCGAGGCAGAGGGAGGACTTCACGGAGAGGGTGTCCTCTCTGAGGCCTGGAGGAGGCATGAATGAGCAAAGAAGGAGGTGGGTGGTGACTGCCAGAGGAGAGCAGGGAAGGGCTCTGCAGCCTGGAGGCTGGAGGGGAAACTTGCCCAAATCCGTCAATCCAGACAAAGAGCAGGAAACCATAAGGTGATTTAGTCAATTGCCTGCATTGCAAAGAAACAGAAATATGAAGGCCACACACTAAAATTAGTGACTAGCCTTGAATTATGATCCAGACATCTGAGCCGAAGGCCAGGGCAGTGACTCCTCTTCACCAGAGGTGCTGTTTATTCCAGCATGCTTCGACTTCAAGGCATTCAATCACTGTTGATTAATTAAGCGTCCGAAGACGCATGAGTACGTGGTGGGATCATCTCCAGTTCAGAGACGGGGAAGTTAGGGTTCAGCAATGCAGTCAGCTCAGACACGCTCCCACGCTGGGGTCAGGCAGCCTAGGACGCTGCCTCTCGGTGGGCATCAGTGGCTGCACCTCTGCGCTCCTCTCAGGTGCTGCTGACGTTACCAGGTGTGAGTGCAGCCACTTCTGTGGAGAAAGGAAATGGTCTTGGCCAGGTGCCGCCACCATGGAGCGGGGCCAGCCACCTGCCCATCAGCCGGGCGGCACAGCCAGGCACCTTTGTTCTCACATTTGCTTTTCTTTCCTGAACTTGGCACAGCAAAGCCAGTCCCAGGAGGAGAACTCCTTCCCAAGAGGAGGTTAAGTGCTTTGGCTTCAGTTTCCAATATGACTTGCTTGACTTTTTTTCCACTTTACAGAGATAAGTGAAAATCCTACAGGTAGGATTCGCTCTGGCCAAAAAGACTGGCGTGCTCAGGCCTGGCAGAGGAGGTGGGCAGAGAGTGGGCCAGCGGCCAGTGACAGCCTGGGAGGCCGCCCACTGGAGCCACCGGTCAAGGACACAGGCACCCAGGGAAGGCTGGGGGTGGCAGGAAATGCTTCCCAGTGACCTGGAGGGCTGTGTGTGTGAGTGGAGGGTCTCCAGAGCCCCGGCAGCAGCAGTGGTTTTTGCCATTTTATCTGCTGCAGGCTGTCAGCTGGCATGCAGCGGGGCTCCACTTTGATTTCTGGTTTGCTAGAGCCTTTCGGAGGACGGCGTGAGCTGAGAACTACCCAACTCCTGGTGGCTGTGCTAACTCGAGTGTGACAGAGCCACGCTCTGCCAGGACTCTGTCGTTGGCATGGGGGCCTTGTGAGGAGGTGTTCTGTTAGCCAGAAAGGTGCATTTTTCTCCACTTAGCTTCCAAGTTGTGGGGAAGCAGACCTGTCTTCTGGGGATCATCCTGGCCCAGGCGGGCCCCCTGCAGGGCCTGAGTGTGGCTGCAGACAGGCTGCAGAAGGTGTGAGCTCCAGGTGGGGCCGGGAGAGGAATGGCAGGCTCCCTCTTGCTTGCTTGCTTGCTTGCTTCTGGCTAATCACTGTGATGAGCTTGCAAATGGCTCTTTACACAGCGGCTCTCCAGGAGACGGGCAGGTTCTGGAATAAAATATGATGCCAAGCTCCCTTCTATCCATTCTCCCGGCTAATTTTCAAAGCCTTGACAAAAACATCCCATAGCACCTCATGCAAAGTAGGTGCTCAATAAGTATTCAGTGAACCACCAAGCAAATTAAAATAAATGACATGGTGGCATCAACATACTGATCTTGGACTTGATGTCCCAGAAAATAAGGGCTGTGGCTTTTGAATCTGCCTTGTGGAAAATTAGAAAAATTTTCTAATATTTTTGTGATGATGGTGAATCTAGCGCCTGAGTCCTGTGATCTGTAGAGTGGAATAGTGAAGCTTGAAAAGTGAGAGTTATGTGTATTCATCAGGAAAAGTGGGACAGAAAGTTTGAAATCACAGCATCCTGGGAAACACCTGGCCATGCCTCCAGGGGAGTCTCTGATGCTTTTCCAGCAAACTCACCAATACAAGAGATCCCTGGGCCTGGGAGGCCCCCAGAGAGCGCAGAAGCTTCTTTCTCGGTACCAGTGGATCCCTTTCTATCAAAAAAGTTAGTGGGAACATGTGTTTGTTACCTAGGGCTCCCTAACAAAGTACCGCAAACTGGGTGGCTTCCACAACAGAAATGTATGGCCCCGAGTTCCGGAGCCTGGAGGGTCAAGGTATCGGCAGGGTTGGCTCCTCCTGGGGCTGTGAGAGAGCCTGAGCCGTGCCTCTCCCCAGGCTTCTGGAGATTCCCTGGCGATCTTCGGTGTTCCTTGTCTTGGAGAAGCCTCACCCCAATCACTGTCTTTTTCTGTGTATAGTGCTCCTCCTACGTGTCTGTCTGTGTGCAAATTTGTTTTTTTAAAGAGAACACTGGTCATGTGGGATTAGGGCCCAACCCCCCCAACCCCCACAACCCCTGCCAGTATGATCTTATCTCAGCTTAACTAATTACACCTGCAACAACCCTGTGTCCAAATAGGGGCACATTTTGAGGGACTAGGGGTTAGGATTTCAACATATGCATTTTGAGGGGGACACGGGCCTATAACAGAGAATTTCCACAGCTTTGAGAACGAGAGTAAGGGGATCATCCGTTGAGCGATTGTATGTGAGAGGTGATGAGGGAAAAGGAGGGAGACGGGAAACGAAGGACAAGAGCAATTGTGGGGAGCCTTGGTGGGCAGGAAGGAGAAAGAGCCCGCAGCATCCGACAGCGGGGTGTTTTGTTTTGTTTTGTTTTTTTGAAATGGAGTCTTGCTCTGTCGCCCAGGCTGGAGTGCAGTGCGCAATATGGGTTCACTGCAAGTTCCGCCTCCCAGGTTCACACCATTCTCCTGCCTCAGCCTCCCGAGTAGCTGCGACTACAGGGGCCCGCCACCACGCCCGGCTATTTTTTTTGTATTTTTAGTAGAGACGGGGGTTTCACCGTGTTAGCCAGGATGGTCTCGA